>NT_167248.2:1675466-2008750 GCF_000001405.40 Homo sapiens
AATAAAAAATAATTTTTTAAAAAAGTGGCCGGGCACGGTGGCTCACGCCTGTAATCCCAGCACTTCGGGAGGCCAAGGCGGGCAGATCATGAGGTCAGGAGTTCAAGACCAGCCTGATCAACATGGTGAAACCCCATCTCTACTAAAACGACAAAAATTAGCTGGGCATGGTGGCACATGTCTGTAATCCCAGCTACTCAGGAGGCTGAGGCAGGCGATTCTCCTGAACCTGGGAGGCGGAGTTTTCAGTGAGCCGAGATCGCACCACTGCAGTCCAGCCTGGGTGACAAAGCAAGTCTCCATCTCAAAAAAAAAAAAAAAAAAAAGGAATGATATTGGATATCCTTATTTTGTCCCCAACACAGAGGAGTAGTTTTCAATATTTTTCTCATTAATTTTGACTTTAGATAGAGGTATTTCTTTTTTATAAATAACTTTATTAGCTTAAGGAAGTTCTCTTTTATTTCTGGTTTATTGAGTTTTTATAATGAATAGTTGTTGAATTTTATCAAATGATTCTCATGCATCTGTTGACATAACTGCATGTTTTTCTACCTTTTTCTATTCATGTGGTAAATTACTCTGATTTTTTAAAGTCACATTTCTCTTATAAATCCCATTCAGTCCCATTGTACATTATCCTCTCCATATATTACTTGCTTCTATTTTCTAATATTTTAGATGGAATTTTGGTGGCTGTGTTCATCAGTTCATTCAGATGGTGGATATCTTTTTTGTAATGTCATTGTCATGTTTAAGTTCTTCTCTGGGCTATGTTGTCTCATAAAATTAGTTGGAAGGTGTTTACTCTTTTTTTATTATCTAAAAGAATATATGATAGTCTGCCCTCCATGTCTGTGTGTTTCACATCTGTGAATTTAACTACCTGAGGATCGAAACTGTTGTTGCTGCTGATGTATACTATGTAGTTAGGCCTACCTACAGCGGTTACATCTGTACTGAAGATATATAGACTTTTTCTTATCATTATTTCCTAAACAATATAGTATAACAACTATTTGCGAATAATTTACATTGAATTAGGTATTAGTAATCTATAGGTGATTTAAAGTATATGGGAGGATGTGCATAGGTAATAAGTAAATACTAGACCATTTTATACATGGGACCTGAGCATTCATAGATTTTGGTATCCACAGGGGGCCCTAGATCCCATCCCAAAAGGATACCAAGAGATGACTGAATAAGACTGACTTTTTTAAAAAAAGTTTTGGAAGAATTGACAGGGGAAAAAACGTGGGCAAAGAGTGTTTTTGGTGGGAAAGAATTTAATTAGAATCCCATTTCTTAATGGATATAGGACTACTTATATTTTCTATTCAGTTTTCTGTTGGCTTGTTCAATTGTCGTTTTCAAGAACTCATTTCATTGCACCTAAATTTTAAAAGGTATTGTCAGGAAGTTGTGTCTAATATTCTCTTATTTTCATTTTAATAAAATATACGGTTTTATGTTGTTCTTTATAGTGTTCATTTCTGTTTTCTCTCTTTTTATGATTGATCTTTCTGGGGATTTTGAAATAGTTTGCCCATCTTTCCCTCTATTTTCCTTAACATATTAATCATAAATACTTTGAGAATGTTCTTGCTTGCCTGCTTCAATATCCACATCAACTCTTAGCCTGATTTTTTTTATTATACTTTAAGTTTTAGCGTACATGTGCACAACATGCAAGTTAGTTACATATGTATGCATGTGCCATGTTGGTGTGCTGCACCCATTAACTCGTCATTTAACATTAGGTATATCTCCTAATGCTATCCCTCCCCACTTCCCCCACCCCACAACAGTCCCCGGTGTGTGATGTTCCCCTTCCTGTGTCCACGTGTTCTCATTGTTCAATTCCCACCTATGAGTGAGAACACGAGGTGTTTGGTTTTTTCTCCTTGCGATAGTTTGCTGAGAATGATGGTTTCCAGTTTCATCCATGTCCCTACAAAGGACATGAACTCATCATTTTTTATGGCTGCATAGTATGATAGACTGGATTAAGAAAATGTGGTACATATACACCATGGAATTCTTAGTCTGATTTTATCTCTACTTGTTGCATTTTCTCTGCTGCTTGGCATGCCACATATTCTGGATGATGTGTTATAGAGGCTCTGGATTTTGCCATCTTCCTCCACAGACTGCTAACAATTTGATAGTTCATTAATTATAAAAGAATTACCTTTGGTAAAAATCGGACCCACTTTGATTCTGCTTAGGCTTGATTTTATTTTATTTTATTTTATTTTATTTATTTTTTTGTTATACTTTAAGTTTTAGGGTACATGTGCACAATGTGCAGGTTAGTTACATAGGTATACATGTGCCATGCTGGTGTGCTGCACCCACTAACTCGTCATCTAGCATTAGGTATATCTCCCAATGCTATCCCTCCCCCCTCCCCCCACCCCACAACAATCCCCAGAGTGTGATGTTCCACTTCCTGTGTCCATGTGTTCTCATTGTTCAATTCCCACCTATGAGTGAGAATATGCGGTGTTTGGTTTTTTGTTCTTGCGTTAGTTTACTGAGAATGATGATTTCCAATTTCATCCATGTCCCTACAAAGGACATGAACTCATCACTTTTTATGGCTGCATAGTATTCCATGGTGTATATGTGCCACATTTTCTTAATCCAGTCTATCATTGTTGGGCATTTGGGTTGGTTCCAAGACTTTGCTATTGTGAATAGTGCTGCAATAAACATACGTGTACATGTGTCTATATAGCAGCATGATTTATAGCCCTTTGGGTATATACCCAGTAATGGGATGGCTGGGTCAAATGGTATTTCTAGTTCTAGATCCCTGAGGAATTGCTACACTGACTTCCACAATGGTTGAACTAGTTTACAGTCCCACCAACAGCATAAAAGTGTTCCTATTTCTCCACATCCTCTCCAGCACCTGTTGTTTCCTGACTTTTTAATGATTGCCATTCTAACTGGTGTGAGATGATATCTCATAGTGGTTTTGATTTGCATTTCTCTGATGGCCAGTAATGGTGAGCATTTTTTCATGTGTTTTTTGGCTGCATAAATGTCTTCTTTTGAGAAATGTCTGTTCATGTCCTTCGCCCACTTTTTGATGGGGTGGTTTTTTTTTTCTTGTAAATTTGTTTAAGTTCTTTGTAGATTCTGGATATTAGCCCTTTGTCAGATGAGTAGGTTGTGAAAATTTTCTCCCATGTTGTAGGTTGCCTGCTCACTCTGATGGTAGTTTCTTTTGCTGTGCAGAAGCTCTTTAGTTTAATTAGATCCCATTTGTCAATTTTGGCTTTTGTTGCCATTGCTTTTGGTGTTTTAGACATGAAGTCCTTGCCCATGCCTATGTCCTGAATGTAATGCCTAGGTTTTCTTCTAGGGTTTTTATGGTTTTAGGTCTAACGTTTAAGTCTTTAATCCATCTTGAATTGATTTTTGTATAAGGTGTAAGGAAAGGATCCAGTTTCAGCTTTCTACATATGGCTAGCCAGTTTTCTCAGCACCATTTATTAAATAGGGAATCCTTTCCCAAGGCTTGATTTTAGACTTTGCTACTTTGCTATTTCAGTGTGGTACTTACTCCAAGGCCACGGCCCTCACTCATAGTGCTTCACCATCCTCATGTCTCAACCCGGGTTTGGCTGGGCTAAATTAATTCCAATATCTCCTCACACTATGAAGCCTTTGGCATTTCTACATAGCATGCAATCCCCAAGCAGCTGTTCTCTGGTGGGCTTCTTACAGTATCACCTGGAGCATATGCAGCTTTGGAGTGCAGATTTTGGGAGTTTCTTCGCTGTAGCTCCCTCCTTCAGCACCCTACCCTTAAATCCCAGTCAAAGTGCCAAGCCTGAACTCTGATCTCTGATTCCTTTGCTACTGAGATTGATTCTCTCTGCTTGGGTTCCATTTCCCTTCATTGAATTTTGAAAAAAATCCTCTTAGAAAGAAAGCTGATGAGGATGTGAGTCTCTCTTTCAGGGACTCCATTCCCTGGAGGGTGATAGTCCTGCTCTGGCTGCTGTTTTGCAGCTGCACAACTGCATCGTGTTTTGTCTGGCTTTTATACTTGTTTACAGTGGGAGGATGAGTTTTAAATGAGCTAGTCTATCACAGTTCAAGTCAGAAGACCTCTAATCCTTCAATAGTCATTGCATTTGAAAATCTGAATAGGGTAATTTGACAATTCACAGGCAAAGTTAATATGTTATATCTTAGTGCCCAGTTGAAACCTCAATTTCATCTTTAACAACCTTATACACACAAAATACACACACACACACACACATCACTGTGTTATACAGTCATGCACTGCTTAATGATGTTTCTGTCAATGATTGATCACGTATACGACTGTCATCCTATTAAACGGAGCTGAAAAATTCCTATCACCTAGTGACATTGTAGCCATTGTAATGTCATAACACAATGCATTAATCATGTGCTTGTGGTGATGCTGATGTAAATAAACCTACTGCACTGCCAATCCTATAAAAGTCTACCCCATACAGTTAAAAACAGCATGTAATACTTGATGATAATAAATATGTTACTGGTTTATGTATTTACTATACTTTTTATGGTGATTTTAGAGTGTGCTCTAATTATTTTTTAAGTTAAATTAAAACAGCGTCAGGCAGGTCCTTTAGGAGGTATTCCAGAAGAAGGCATTGTTATCACAGGAGATGACAGTTCCATGCTTGTTATTACCTGTGAAATAACAGTGGGACAAGATGTGAAGGCTGAAGTTGGTGATATTGTTGATCCTGACCCTGTGTCAGCCTAGGCTAATGTATGTCTTTGTTTTTACCAAAAAAGATTAAAAGGTTAAAAAATTAAGTAGAAATAGTTTCTAGAATGAGAATATAAGGAAAAATATTTTTGTATAGCTGAATAATGTGCTGGTGTTTTAAGCTAAGTGCTATTACAAAATAGTTGAATTTTTTAAAAAATTAAGGTTTATAAATATGAAAAAGTTCAAGACTTGAACTCAGCTTTGGATCAAGTGGATCTGATAGACACCTACAGAGCTTTCCACCCAAAAACAACAGAATATACATTCTTCTCATTGCTACACAGCACCTACTCTAAAATTGGTCACATAATCAAAAGTAAAACACTCCTCAGCAAATGCAAAAAGAACTGAAATCATAATAAACAGTCTCTCAGACCACAGCACAATCAAATTAGAAACCAAAAGTAAGAAATTCGCTCAAAACCATACAACTACATGGAAATTGAACAACCTGCTCCTGAATGACTGTTGGGTAAATTATTAAATTAAGGCAGAAATCAATAAGTTATTTGAAGCTAATGAGAATGAAGAGACAATGTATCAGAATCTTTGGGACACAGCTACAGCAGTGTAAAGAGGGAAATTTATAGCACTAAATGCCTATATCAAAACACCAGAAAAATCTCAAGTTAACAATCTAGTATCACAACTAAAAGAACTAGAGAAACAAAAACAAATCCCAAAGCTAGCAGAAGACAAGAAATAACCAAGATCGGAGCTGAACTGAAGGAGAGAGAGACACACAAAACCCTTCAAAACGTTAATGAATCTAGGAGCTGTTTTTTTGAAAGAATTAATAAAATAGACCACTATCTAGACTAATAGAGAAGAAGAGAGAGAAGAATCAAATAAACAAATCAGAAATAACAAGGGTGATATTACCACTGGCCCCACAGAAATACAAACAACAATCAGAGAATACTACGAACACCTCTATGCAAATAAACTAGAAAATCTAGAAGAAGTTGATAAATTCCTGCCCACATACACCCTCCCAAGACTGAACCAGGAAGAAATTGAAACTCTTAGCAGGCCAGTAATGAGTTCTGAAGTTGAGGCAATAAATAGCCTACCAACCAAAAAAAGCCGAGGACCAGACAGATTGATAGCTGAATTCTATCAAAAGTACAAAGGAGAGCTGGTACCATTTTCACTAAAACTATTCCAAACAATTGAAAAGGGGGGACTCTTCCCTAACTCATTTTAAAAGGCCAGCATCATCCTGATACCAAAACTTGGCAGAGATATAACAAAAAAAGAAAACTTCGGGCCATGCATGATGAACATCAATGCAACAATCCTCAATAAAATTCTGGCAAACCGAATCCAGCAGCACATCAAAAAGCTTATTCATCACAATCAAGTTGGCTTCATCCCCAGGATGCAAGGTTGGTTCAACATACACAAATCAATAAATGCGATTCATAACATAAACAGAACTAAAGAAAAAAACCACATGATTATCTCAATAGATGCAGAAAAGGCACTTGATAAAATTCAATATACTTTCATGTTAAAAACTCTTAATAAACTAGGTGTTGAAGGAAGAGATCTCAAAATAATAAGGGCAATATATGACAAACCCACAGCCAATATCATACTGAATGGGCAAAAGCTGGAAACATTCCCCTTGAAAACCGGCACCAGACAAGCCTCTCACCACTTATATTAGTTTCACCATCATGAGAACAGCAGTTTCTTAAGCTGATAAGGAACTTCAGCAACGTCTCAGGATACAGAATGTGCAAAAATCGCTAGCATTCCTATATACCAACAACAGGCAAGCAGAGAGCCAAATCATCAACTCCCATTCACAATTCCTACAGAAAGAATGAAATACCTAGGAATACAGCTAACAAGGGAAGTGAAGGACCTCTTCAAGGAGAACTACAAACCACTGCTCAAAGAAAAATCAGAGAGGATACAAACAAATAGGATAACATTCCATGTTCATGGATAGGAAGAATCCATATCATGAAAATGGCCATACTGCCCAAAGTAATTTGTAGATTTGATGCTATTCCCATTAAACTATCATAGACATTCTTCACAGAATTAGAAGAAAAAAAAACACTATTTTTTTTTTTAAGATAGAGTCTTGCTCTGTCACCCAGGCTGGAGTGCAGTGGCGTGATCTCGGCTCACTGCAACCTCCGCGTCCCCGGGTTCAAGCGATTCTCCTGCCTCAACCTCCCAAGTAGCTGGGATTGCAAATGCGCACCACCACGCCCAGCTAATTTTTGTATTTTTAGTAGAGATGGGGTTTCACAATGTTGGCCAGGCTAGTCTTGAACTCCTGACCTCATGATCTGTCCACCTCAGCCTCCCAAAGTGCTGGGATTATAGGCGTGGGCCACTGCGCCTAGCCTGAAAAAAAAAACAAAACTATTTTTAAATTCATATGGAACCAAAAAAAGAGCCTGAATAGCCAAGACAATTCTAAGCAAAAAGAACAAAACTGGAGGCATCACATTACCTGACTTCAAACTATACTACAAGGTTACAATACTAAAACAGCATGGTACTGATACAAAAACAGATACATAGACCAATGGAACAGAATAAAGAACTGTGAAATAAGATCACACACCTACAACCATCTGATCTTTGACAAGTCTGACCAAAACAAGTAATGGGGAAAGAATTCCCTATTTAATAAATGGTGCTGGGAGAACTGGCTTGCCATATGCAGAAAATTGAAACTAGGCCCGTTCCTTAAACTATATACAAAAATTAATTCAAGATGGATTAAAGACTTAAATGTAAAACCCAAAACTATAAAAACGCTAGAAGAAAATCTATGCAATACTCTTCAGAACATAGGCATGGGCAAAGATTTCATGATGAAGACTCCAAAAGCAATTGCAACAAAAGCAAAAATTGACTAATGGAATTAATTAAACTAAAGAGCTTCTGCACAGCAAAGGAAACTATCAGCAGAGTGAATAGACAACCTGCAGAATAGGAGAAGATTTTTGCAATCTATACATCTGACAAAGGTCTAATATCCAGAGTTTACAAGGAGCTTCAGCAAATTTACAAGAAAAAAACAAACAACCCCATTAAAAAGTAGGCAAAGGACATGAGCAGACACCTCTCAAAAAAAGACATACATGCAGCCAACAAACATATGAGAAAAGTTGAACATCACTGATAATTAGAGAAATGCAAATAAAAACCACAATGAGATACCAGAGTGGCTATTAATAAGTCAAAAAACGAGATGCTGGTGAAGTCACAGAGAAAAAGCAATGCTTTCACACTGTTGGTGGAAATGTAAATTCGTTCAACCATTGTGGAAGACAGTGTGGTGATTCCTCAAAAACCTAGAGGCAGAAATTGACCTAGCAATCTCATTACTGGATACATACCCAAAGGAATATAAATCATTCTATTATAAAGATATATACACGCATATGTTCATTGCAGCACTATTCACAATAGCAAAGACATGGAATCAACATAAATGCCCATCAATGATAGACTGGATAAAGAAAATGTGGTACATATACAACATGGAATGCGATGCAGCCACATAAAGGAATAAGACCATGTCCTTTGCAGGGACATGAATGGAGTGGGAAGCCATTATCCTCAGCAAACTGACCCAGGAACAGAAAACAAAACACCATGTGTTCTCACTTATAAGTGGGAGCTGAATGATGACAACACATGGATACATGGGGGAGAACAACACACACTGGGGTCTGTTAGAGGGCATGGGGCTGTGGGAGGGAAGCACCAGGAAGAATAGCCAATGGATGTTGGCCTTAATACCTAGGTGATGGGACGATCTCTGCAGCAAACCACCATGGCACACATTTACCTACGTAACAAACCTGCACATTCTGTACATGTACCCCTGAACTTAAAAAAAGGGTGGAGAAAAAAAGATTAAAAAGTTACAGTAAGCTAAGATTAATTTATTATTAAAGAAAGAAAATGATTTTTAAAATTAATTTAGTGTAGCCTAAATGTACAGTGTTTATAAAGTCTAAGTAGTGTATAGTAATGCCCTAGACTTCACATTCACTCGCCACTCACTGACACCCAGAGCAATTTCCAGTCCTGTAAGCTCCATTCATGGTAAGTGCTCTAGACAAATGTGCCAGTTTTTAAAAAATCTTTTAACCACATTTTTGTGGCAAAATTTTGTGGGAAAATTCAAAGTCTTTTTTCTACTGTTCTTACACCCCAACAACTATCAACACAGAAGGCTTCTGCGATGAAACGTAGGGGATTTCTCCCCAAAAACAAGCAAACAATCGGTTCTGTTATGGACGCCAGCTGGGTATCCTCTAACTCAATTCTGACACTATCTCCCTGGAGATAATTTTAGATCCCGCAAGTTGATGGCTCAGTCCTCACGACTGTCACCCTCTCACTTCTGATGACAATCTCAAGCCCCAGATTATTTTGCCTGTGTTGCTAACTCACTGACTATAAATCAGGGTTCCCAAAACCCACCCTCAGGTTTGATTGATTTGCTAGAATGGCTCATAGCATGCCAGGAAACACTTACATACATTAACCAGTTTATTTAAAAGGATATTTTAAAGGATAAAGAGCCACATGAAGAGATAAGAGCCACATGAAGAGATACATAGGGTGAGGTCTGAAAGGGTCTTGAGTGCAGGAGCTTCTGCCCCATGTGTTTGGGAAGTGCTACCCTCCCTGGCACATGTCTGAGTTATTGTTCACCTTCCTATAAGCCTCCCTGTGTTCAGCCATACAGAAGCTCTCTGACTCTTCCCTTTTGGGTTTTGATGGAAGCCATATTTCTTAGGCATGATTCATTACATCATGGCCATCAGCTTAACCTTCAGCCTCTCTTGCCTTCCTGCCAATGGTATAATCCTATGTCTAAAAAAATCTAAAGATGCCACCAAAAAACAATTAGATCCAATAAATAAATTCAGTAAAGTGGCAAGATGCAAAATCAACATGCAAAAATCAATATAATGTCTACACATTAGTAATGAAGTAGCTAAGAAAGAAATTTAAAAGCAGTCCCATTTATGATAGCGACAAAAACCCCCCAGAAAAACAGGAATAAATTTAAGCAAGGAAATGAACAATCTCTTTACAAAAACCTACACAACACTGGGGAGCAGTTCCAAGATGGCCAAATAGGAACAGCTCCAGTCTATAGCTTCCAGCGTGAGCCATGCAGAAGATGGGTGATTTCTGCATATCCAACTGAGGTACCAGGGTCATCTCACTGGGGCTTGTCGGACAGTGGGTGCAGAACAGTGGGTGCAGTGCACCGAGCATAAGCTGAAGCAGGGCAAGGCATCGCCTCACCCAAGAAGCACAAGGGGTCAGGAAATTCCTTTTCCTAGCCAAGCAAAGCTGTGACAGACGGCACCTGGAAAATCGGGTAGCTCCCACCCTAATACTGCGCTTCTCCAATGGTCTGAGCAAATGGCACACCAGGGGATTATATCCTGCACCTGGCTCGGAGGGTCCCAAGCCCATGGAGCCTCCCTCATTGCTAGCACAGCAGTCTGAGATCAAACTGCAAGGTGGCAGCAAGGCTGGGGGAGGGGCGCCCACCATTGCTGAGGCTTGAGTAGGTAAACAAAGCGACTGGGAAGCTTGAACTGGGTGGAACCAACTGCAGCTCAAGGAGGCCTGCCTGCCTCTGTAGACTCCACCGCTGGAGGCAGGGCATAGCCGAACAAAAGGCAGTAGAAACCTCTGCAGACTTAAATGTGCCTGTCTGACAGCTTTGAAGAGGGTAGTGGTTCTTCCGGCATGGAGTTTGAGATCTGAGAATGAACAGACTGCCTCCTCAAGTGGGTCCCTGACCCCTGAGAAGCCTAACTGGGAGGCATCTCCCTGTAGGGGCAGACTGACACCTCACACGGCCAGGTACCCCTCTGAGACAAAACTTCCACAGGAACGATCAGGCAGCAACATTTGCTGTTCAGCAATATTCACTGTTCTGCAGCCTCTGCTGCTGATACCCAGGCAAACAGGGTCTGGAGTGGACCTCCAGCAAACTCCAACAGACCTGCAGCTGAGGGTCCTGACTGTTAGAAGGAAAACTAACAAACAGAAAGAACATCCACACCAAAACCCCATCTGTACGTCACCATCATCAAAGACCAAAGGTAGATAAAACCACAAAGATGGGGAAAAAACAGAGCAGAAAAATTGAAAATTCTAAAACTCAGAGTGCCTCTCCTCCTCCAAAGGAATGCAGCTCCTCACCAGCAACGGAACAAAGCTAGACGGAGAATGACTTTGATGAGCTGAGAGAAGAAGCCTTCAGACGATCAAACTTCTCCAAGCTAAAGGAGGAAGTTCAAACCCATTGCAAAGAAGTTAAAAACCTTGAAACAAGATTAGACGAATGGCTAACTAGAATAACCAATGCAGAGAAGTCCTTAAAGGACCTGATGGAGCTGAAAACCATGGCAGGAGAACTACGTGATGCGTGCACAAGATTCAGTAGCCGATTCAATCAACTGGAAGAAAGGGTAACAGAGATTGAAGATCAAATGAATGAAATGAAGCAAGAAGAGAAGTTTAGAGAAAAAAGAATAAAAAGAAATGAACAAAGCCTCCAAGAAATATGGGACTATGTGAAAAGACCAAATCTACATTGGCTTGGTGTACCTGAAAGTGACAGGGAGAATGGAACCAAGTTGGAAAACACTCTGCAGGATATTATCCAGGAGAACTTCCCCAACCTAGCAAGGCAGACCAACATTCAAATTCAGGAAATGCAGAGAATGCCATAAAGATACTCCGTGAGAAGAGCAACTCCAAGACACATTAATTGTCAGATTCACCAAAGTTGAAATGAAGGAAAAAATGTTAAGGGCAGCCAGAGAGAAAGGTTGGGTTACCCACAAAGGGAAGCCCATCAGACTAACAGCGGATCTCTCAGCAGAAACTCTACAAGCCAGAAGAGACTGGGGGCCAATATTCAACATTCTTAAAGAAAAGAATTTTCAACCCAGAATTTCATATCCAGCCAAACTAAGCTTCATAAGTGAAGGAGAAATAAAATACTTTACAGACAAGCAAATGCTCAGAAATTTTGTCACCTCCAGGCCTGCCCTACGAGAGCTCCTGAAGGAAGCACTAAACATGGAAAGGAACAACTGGTACCAGCCACTGCAAAAACATGCCAAATTGTAAAGACCATCGATGCTAGGAAGAAACTGCATCAACTAACAAGCAAAATAACCAGCTAACATCATAATGACAGGATCAAATTCACACATAACAATATTAACCTTAAATGTAAATGGGCTAAATGCTCCAATTAAAAGACACAGACTGGCAAATTGGATAAAGAGTCAAGACCCATCAGTGTGCTGTATTCAGGAAACCCATCTCATGTGCAGAGACACACATAGGCTCAAAATAAAGGGATGGAGGAAGATCTACCAAGCAAATGGAAAACAAAAAAAGGCAGGGGTTGCAATCCCAGTCTCTGATAAAACAGACTTTAAACCAACAAAGATCAAAAGAGACAA
The DNA here is from genome assembly GCF_000001405.40 of Homo sapiens. Taxonomy (NCBI): domain Eukaryota; kingdom Metazoa; phylum Chordata; class Mammalia; order Primates; family Hominidae; genus Homo; species Homo sapiens. Next base: position 1,687,752 of record NT_167248.2, read on the forward strand.
AGAAGGCCATTACATAATGGTAAAGGGATCAATTCAACAAGAAGAGCTAACTATCCTAAATAGATATGCACCCAATACAGGAGCACCCAGATCCATAAAGCAAGTCCTGAGTGACCTACAAAGAGACTTAGACTCCCACACAATAATAATGGGAGACTTTAACACCCCACTGTCAACATTAGACAGATCAACGAGACAGAAAGTTAGCAAGGATATCCAGGAATTGAACTCAGTTCTGCACCAAGCGGACCTAATAGACATCTACAGAACTCTCCACCCCAAATCAACAGAATGTACATTCTTCTCAGCACCACACCGCACTTATTCCAAAATTGACCACATAGTTGGAAGTAAAGCACTCCTCAGCAAATATAAAAGAACAGAAATTATAACAAACTGTTGCTCAGACCACAGTGCAACCAAACTAGAACTCAGGATTAACAAACTCACTCAAAACCGCTCAACTACATGGAAACTGAACAACCTGCTCCTGAATGACTACTGGGTACATAATGAAATGAAGGCACAAATAAAGATGTTCTTTGAAACCAATGAGAACAAAGACACAGCATACCAGAATCTCTGGGACACATTTAAAGCAATGTGTAGAGGGAAATTTATAGCACTAAATGCCCACAAGAGAAAGCAGGAAAGATCTAAAATTGACACCCTAACATCACGATTAAAAGAACTAGAGAAGCAAGAGCAAACTTTACATTCAAAAGACAGCAGAAGGCAAGAAATAAGTAAGATCAGAGCAGAACTTAAGGAGATAGAGACATAAAAAACCCTTCAAAAAATCAATGAATCCAGGAGGTGGTTTTTTGAAAAGATCAACAAAATTGATAGACCGCTAGCAAGACTAATAAAGAAGAAAAGAGAGAAGAATCAAATAGACACAATAAAAAATGATAAAGGGGATATCACCACCGATCCCACAGATATACAGACTACCATCAGAGAATACTATAAACACCTCTACGCAAATAAACTAGAAAATCTAGAAGAAATGGATAAATTCCTCAACACATACACCCTCCCAAGACTAAACCAGGAAGAAGTTGAATCTCTGAATAGACCAATAACAGGCTCTGAAATTGAGTCAATAATTAATAGCTTACCAACCAAAAAAAGTCCAGGACCAGACGGATTCACAGCCAAATTCTACCAGAGGTACAAGGAGGAGCTGGTACCATTCCTTCTGAAACTATTCCAATCAATAGAAAAAAGGGAATCCTCCCTAACTCATTTTATGAGGCCAGCATCATTCTGATACCAAAGCCTGGCAGAGACACAACAACAAAAAAAAGAATTTTAGACCAATATCCCTGATGAACATCAATGCGAAAATCCTCAATAAAATACTGGCAAACTGAATCCAGCAGCACATCAAAAAGTTTATCCATTGCAATCAAGTTGGCTTTGTCCCTGGGATGCAAGGCTGGTTCAACATATGCAAATCAATAAACATAATCCATCACATAAACTGAACCAATGACAAAAACCACATGATTATCTCAATAGATGCAGAAAAGGCCTTTGACAAAATTCAACAGCCCTTCATGCTAAAAACTCTCAATACACTAGATATTGATGAAACGTATCTCAAAATAATAAGAGCTATTTATGACAAACCCACAGTCAATATCATACTGAATGGGCAAAAACTGGAAGTATTCCCTTTGAAAACTGGCACAAGACAGGGATGCCGTCTCTCGCCACTCCTATTCAACATAATGTTGGAAGTTCTGGCCAGGGCAATCAGGCAAGAGAAAGAAATAAAGGGTATTCAATTAGGAAAAGAGGAAGTCAAATTGTCCCTGTTTGCAGATGACATGATTGTATATCTAGAAAACCCCATCATCTCAGCCCAAAATCTCCTTAAGCTGATAAGCAACTTCAGCAAAGTCTCAGGATATAAAATCAATGTGCAAGAATCACAAGCATTTCTGTACACCAATAACAGACAAACAGAGAGCCAAATCATGAGTGAACTCCCATTCACGATTGCTGCAAAGAGAATAAAATACCTAGGAATCCAACTTACAAAGGATATGAAGGACCTCTTCAAGGAGAACTACAAACCACTGCTCAACAAAATAAAAGAGGACACAAACAAATGGAAGAATATTCCATGCTCATGGATAGGAAAAATCAATATCGTGAAAATGGCCATATTGCCCAAGGTAATTTACACTTTCAATGCCATCCCCATCAAGCTACCAATGACTTTCTTCACAGAATTGGAAAAAGCTACTTTAAAGTTCATATGGAACCAAAAAAAAAGCCTGCATTGCCAATACAATCCTAAGCCAAAAGAACAAAGCTGGAGGCATCACGCTACTTGACTTCAAACTATACTACAAGGCTACAGTAACCACAACAGCATGGTACTGGTACCAAAACAGAGATATAGACCAATGGAACAGAACAGAGGCCTCAGAAATGACACCCCACATCTACAGCCATCTGATCTTTGACAAACCTGACAAAAACAAGAAATGGGGAAATGATTCCGTATTTAATAAATGGTGCTGGGAAAACTGGCTAGCCATATGTAGAAAGCTGAAACAGGATCCCTTCCTTACACCTTATACAAAAATTAATTCAAGATGGATTAAAGAATTAAATGTTAGACCTAAAACCATAAAAACCCTAGAAGAAAACCTAGGCAATACCATTCAGGACATAGGCATGGGCAAGAACTTCATGACTAAAACACCAAAAGCAACGGCAACAAAAGCCAAAATAGACAAATGGGATCTAATTAAACTAAAGAGCTTCTGCACAGTAAAAGAAACTAATATCAGAGTGAACAAGCAACCTATAGAATGGGAGAAAATTTTTGCAATCTACCCATCTGACAAAGGGCTAATATCCAGAATCTACAAAGAACTTAAACAAATTTACAAGAAAGAAACAAACAACCCCATCAAAAAGTGGGCCAAGGATATAAACAGACACTTCTCAAAAGAAGACATTTATGCAGCCAATAGACACATGAAAAAATGCTCATCATCACTGGTCATCAGAGAAATGCAAATCAAAACCACAATGAGATAGCATTCATGCCAGTTAGAATGGTGATATTAAAAAGTCAGGAAACAACAGATACTGGAGAGGGTGTGGAGAAATAGGATCACTTTTACACTGTCAGTGGGAGTGTAAACTAGTTCAACCATTGTACAAGTCAGTGTGGCAATTCCTCAAGGATCTAGAACTAGAAATACCATTTGACCCAGTGATCCCATTACTGGGTATATACCCAAAGGATTATAAATCAGGCTACTATAAAGACACATGCACACATATGTTTATTGTGGCACTATTCACAATAGCAAAGACTTGACACCAACCCAAATGTCCATCAATGATAGACTGGATTAAGAAAATGTGGCACATATACACCATGGAATACTAAGCAGCCATAAAAAAGGATGAGTTCATGTCCTTTGCAGGGACATGGATGAAGTTGGAAACCATCATTCTGAGGAAACTATCACAAGGACAGAAAACCAAACACTGCATGTTCTCACTCATAGGTGGAAACTGAACAATGAGAACACTTGGACACAGGGCGGCGAACATCACACACCGGGGACAGTCATGGAGAGGGGGCTGGGAGAGGGATAGCATTAGGAGAAATACCTAATGTAAATGACGAGTTAATGGGTGCAGCAAACCAACATGTATACCTATGTAACAAACCTGCACATTGTGCACTTGTACTCTAGAACTTAAAGTATAATAAAAATAAATAAATAAAATTAAAAAGGAAAAAATATATATGTAGAATATATATAATATATGTATTTATTTATTTATAGAAAGAGAAATTGAAAAAATTCTGAAAATAAATGATAATGGAAATGCAACATACCAAAACCTAAGGGATACAGTGAAAGTAATACTAAGAGGGAAGTTTATAGCTATAAGTAGCTACATCAAAAAAAAAAGAAAAACTTCAAATAAACAATACAACAATGCATCTTAAATAGCTAGAAAAGCAAGGGAAAACCAAACCCAAAATTAGTAGAAGAAAAGAAATATGAAGATCAGAACAAAAGTAAATGAGTTTGAAATGAAGAAAACAATACCAAAGATCAATGAAACAAAAAGTAAGTTTTTTGAAAAGTTAAACAAAATTGACAAATCATTAGCCAGACTAACAGAAAAAGACAGAAGACCCAAATAAATAAAATCAAACATGAAAAAAGGACATTACAACTGATACTGCAGAAATTCAAAGGATCATCAGTGGCTACTATGGGCAACTACATGCCAATAAATTGGAAAACCTAGAAGAAATGGGTAGATTCCTAGATACATATAACCTACCCAGATTGAATGGTGAACAAAATCCAAAACCTGAACAGACCAATAGCAAGTAATCAGATAAAAGTCATAACAAAAAGTCTCCCAGCAAAGAAAAGCCCTGATGGCTTCACTGCTGAATTCTACCAAACATTTAAAGAAAAACTAATACCAATCCTGTTCAAACTGTTCCAAAAAATTCAGGAAGGAATACTTCCAAAATCATCCTACAAGGGCAGTATTACCCTGATACCAAAACCGGACAAAGACACATCAAAAAAAGGAAGCTATAGGCCAATATTACTGACAAATATTGTTGCAAAAATCCTCAACAAAATACTAGCAAATAAAAATCGACAACACATTAAAAAGATCATTCCTCATGACCAAGTGGGATTTATCCTAGGGATGCAAGGATGGTTCAAAATATGCAAGTCAATCAATGTGATACATCATATTCAACAGAATGAAAGACAAAAACCATATAATCATTTCAATTGATGCTGTAAAAACAGTCAATAAAATTCAACATTCCTTCATGATAAAGACTGTCAAAAAACTGAGTATAGAAGGAACATACCTTAACATAATAAAAGCCATTATGTACAACAAACCCACAGCTAGTATCATACTAAATGAATGGGGAAAAATTGAAGGCCTTTCCTCTAAGATCAGTAACACAACAAGGTTGCCTGCTTTCACCACCGTTATTGACCATAGTATTGGAAACCCTAGCTAGAGCAATCAGACAAGAGAAAGAAATAGAAGTCAAATTATCCTTGTTTGCAGATGATATAATCTTATATTTGGAAAAATCTACAAGACTCCACCAAAGAACTATTAGAACTGATAAACAAATTCAGTAAAGTTGCATAATACAAAATCAACATACAAAAATCAGTAGTAGCCAGGTACAGTGTCTCATGCCTATAATCTCAGCACTTTGGGAGATAGAGGAGGGTGTATCACTTGAGCCTGGAAGTTTAAGACCAGCCTAGGCAACTTAGGGAGACTGCATCTTTACCAAAAAAAAAAAAAAATTGTAATTAGCTGAGTGTGGTGACACGTGCCTGTGGTCCCAACTACTTGGCAGGCTGAGGTTGTAGGTTGAGACTGCAGTAAGTTGTAGTCATGCCACTGCACTCCAGCCTGGGAAATATGGCAGACCCTGTCTCTTAAAAAAGAAAAATTAATAAGGCGTGATAGTGCATACCTGTGGTCCCAGCTGCTCAGGAAGCTGAGGCAGGAGGACCACTTGAGCCCAAGAAGTCAAAGCAGCGGTGAGCTGTGTTCATACCACTGCACTCCAGACTGGGCGACAGAGCAAGACCCTGTCTCAGAAAAAAGGGAAACCCTGGACATTCCTACACCTGAGGCCTCTTCAATGGCTGCTGCCAATGACTTTGGCCACAAGGGATGATGTATGAAGGAAACATGGGCCCTGAAATAAAATTGGTCTGAATTTGAACATGGCCTTTACCATTTTTTTATTACTATGGACAAATTACCCTCATTACTGAGCATTGGTTTCTTAATATATAAACTGGGAGTAATATCCCCAATTAATAACAATGGGACATAGCAGGATGGGGTTGCCCTTTTCACCCTTTTCATCCCTCCTCTCACTCACTGGATGAGAGTTTCTACACAATAATCAATTGGTGCTGTGCTGTGCTGTGTCACTTTGCATCTGCTCATGAGAGGATATTTTGTCTTTAAGATGCCTACTCTAAAGATATGAAGAGCTAGGAAAATGGTAATTGCTGCCCTTAAGCAAGCACTTGGTGCAGTGGCAGAACAAAGTTGGAATTTTGGGGTTGGGGTAGACAAGGAAAGAGGGCTGCAGACTTAGGGAAGAAGAACACCTTGTTGGCCATGTGAGGAGCATCCAGCACTTGCTACAGTTAGTGGGAGCAAAACAGTACAGAGATAGGTAAATCATGCTGTGGACTGTGAGTATATTCTTGATCAGCCAGTGATTATTCCACTCTCTACTGCCTTTAATTGGAGATCTACATTAAGCTACACACACAAACACACACACAGCTTATCTGGGTAGGGATGAATAAGAAAACCGGTCCTTTTCACAAAGATCTGCAGCTGAAATTCACATCATCTGCATGGTCCAAAATGGGAATCCACTGATGCTGTAAGTCCATCCAGCCTAGTGGAGCATAGTGTGGGCTAGATAAGGATGATATGAAATAATGAATGCAAAACACCAGCACAGGAAGCGGAATATGGCACATGTGCAAAACACTGCCCATTCCTTGTAAAGCCAAAATAGTATGTATTTATTTAAAGGACCTGGGTCTTCGAGTCAGACAGACCTGGATATCCTGGGACTGCTCTGATCAGCATGACATACAGAAAGCTATTTGAGGCTTCATAGAGCTCAGTTCTTTGTCTGTAAATACTTTCTTTTGTGTGAAAATTAAATTAAATAGCAATAGGGCTTGTAACACATTTGACACAATTGCTGGTACTGCAATTTGTGGTGCTAATGACAACGTTAGTGATGATGATTTTCTTCTGTAGGGCACCATGTTCTCTAGGGAATGGTGAATTCTAGAGGCCAAGTCTTACCCTAAAGTTCCATGTCACCCTATGAAAAAGCATTTGGGATAAAACAGGCTTTTGAGTCCCTCTAAAAACAGAGCATGTGAGTAGTTGGTATGGGGATCCGAGTTGGGTTGGGGAAAGAGGCAATTATTTTTATTCCCTTCAGTATGTTCTATCCTCTCTGATATTTCTAAATTATCTACACTTTCTCCATCAACATTCCCTTTTTAATTTGTAAATATAACTTTTTCTCATTATAATGTAATATATATTCACTGCAGAAAAATTACCAAATATTTCAAATGATCAATTACAAATTTAAACTATCCCATGATCCTTACAGCAGAGATATGTGGTTTCATTTCCTTCTAGTCAGTTATATATTTTCCTGCTGCTGCCCCATTACTGGATGTGTGCCATTCTCTCTCTCTCTCTCTATCTCTCTCTCTCTCTCTCTCTCTCTCTCTCTCTCTCTCTCCCACCCCCAAAGTTATGACCACAGACCTCAGTGGCCCACAGCCCTGCACTCTCCAAATGCCATCTCCCAGGTCAGTTCACTCTTACAATTCCTCAGGGGGCTGTTTCTCACTTTGTTCTCTGCCCTCACATCCCTCCACTCCTTCCACACTCCCTATTTTTAGGTTATACATTTATTTCTCTTTCACGCAGGAAAAAAAGGAGGACCCAGGTGAGAAATGCATCACCATCCCATTACTATCCCCAAATCTGCACTTGTATCCTCAGCCTTCCCACCAGTGATGATGGATGATCCCCGCTCCTAAGACCACCCCTGCACTCAAGCATAAGATCAATCCTTCCTTCCCCTATATCATCAATTTCCACTCTCTACTGGCCCATCATTTCTACAGGCAGACGTGCTGTAATATCTCCCCCCAAAAAAACAAACAAAACTGGACTAAACAAATCAAAACAAAATCTTCCCATCGAAATTTATCCCTTGATCTCTGATCCCATGTCTCCCTGCAACTACTGCCCTATACTATGGCAGTCTTCATAGGACAATCTCTGAGTCTATTCTTCATGTAGTCTTTTGAAACATTGCATTTTTTGTTGTTTGTTTGTTTGTTTGTTTTTTTGATACGGGGTCTCCTTGTGTTGCCCTGGCTGGTCTTGAACTCCTGGGCTCAAGCAATTCTCTTTCCTTAGCCTCCAAAGCACTAGGATTATAGGCTTGAGCCACCACACTTGGCCTGATAGTATAATGTTCTTACACTTTTTCTTTCTTTTTTGCAAACATTTTTCCATTTTATTATGACTTTTGTCTTCCAAATTATCTAATGAATTGTTCATTTCTATGATTCTGTAATCACATTTTTAATTTCCAGAGCTCGTTCTTGTGTATAATTTTACATAAATGAGTTCCTATTTCATAAATGCCACTTATTTTCTTACATCCTTTATATATTATTGATAATAGTAGCAGGGGACTTGTTGGGTCTCCTTGTTATCTTCTTTCATGATATTATGAAATTTTCTCTCAGAATTCATAAATGTAGTGGTTTCACATTTATCTTGGTAATTTTTGCTAAATGTCCGTCTCTCTCATGACAGTGCAAGCTCCATATCATCAAGATCTTACTTTAGCTCTTCTTCTATCTTCAATGTCTAGCTAATATCTTGATTCACCTTGAAATATACACCGGATGATGGACTTTAGTGTGGTGTGGGCAGTGAAGTCACACATGCCCTTTTGTCCTCCCGAGCTCTAAGCCTAGCAGCTGCCTGTCATAGAATGTTCACGGACATTGAAATGGTTCACTTGCATGGGGTGCAGAGTCACACTCACCTACCTTATGGGCAGAGCATCAACAAAAGATGAGTCAATTAGGTGTCTGAGAGAAGATCTCCTGGCTTCAATCCAGCTTCACCACCTCCTCAACCTCTCTGAGTCACATAGTAGATTCCTGATGGGTTTTCTCTGATGATTAAATTATATATTGTCTATGTATTATACACATTATTACTGACTGAGACATATTAAGTGTCCACAATTCATAGCTAACATCATATTGATTATACTATTTTGGTTGTTTTCATTCTTTTGTTTTATAAACGATAATTCAAGGAATATTCTTGTTATATATTTTTAAAAACGTGTGATTTTCTTCTTAGGCTACATTTTTAGAAGATAAGTTTTTTGCATCAACATGATCTTCTTGAGACATTTTCCAAAAATGCTCTTTAGACACTGGGGTGTTTTTTCTTTGAGATGGAGTCTCACTCTGTTCCTCAGGCTGGAGTGCAGTGGTGTGATCACAGCTCACTGTAGCCTTGACCTCCCCGGCTCAGGCGATCCTCCTGGGACTACAGGAGGGTGCCACCATGCCTAATTTTTTTTGTATTTTTTGTAGAGATGGGGTTTCGCCATGTTGCCCTGGCTGGTCTGGAACTCCTGGACTCAAGCAATCTGCCCACCTCAGCTTCCCAAAGTGCTGGGATTACAGGCATTAAGCCAACATGCCTGACTCTTTAGAAATTGTATGCCAGTATTTAATCCCATCAACTTTTATGACAGTAAATTTCCCCTATTCTCCACTCAATATTATTATCTTTGACTTTCATCTTTGCCAAGCTAAGATATATTAAACTTCCATCCCATTTCCTAATCCACATTTTAATTTTGTTGACATTTACTTATTACTATTATATTTGACACTTGCATTTTCTATGCCAAATTATGCTCTAATATTCATTAATCCTTTTCCAAATGGGACGTAGATATTTTTAAATGTTGAATTTAAGAAAGAAAACAAGAAGCCTCTGATATCTAGGAACTGATCTGACACTTATGGCTGGGACTCCTTGTTATATGAAGCTGGCCCAATGTTCATTGTTAAGCCATGTTATTCTCCTATTGGACCACAATCACCACAAAATACCAACATTAGAAAGTTCACTCTGAGATGATGATAAAGTGAGGAAATACAAGAACACTTCATAATTTTGTCTAAGCACTCTCTCCACTAATACCAGGGGCTGATGCTTGTCTACCAATTACAGCTTTATTCTGCTCTAGTCCACCCTCACTAGAGCTAAGATTTGTTGAGACATTCAATTACAGAATTGCCCCTGCTTCCTGACGAGTACCCAATCTAGAGTGAAGCCCACTTCCTCACCCTCCCCAGGATCACCCAACCAAAGCCCAAATCCTTTAAGAATTTCTTTCTAACACCCTCTTACCAAAACACCACATGGCTCACAGCACCTATTCTTGCACTCAGGAACCAGTAATAAACCCAACTTCTTCACCCACTAGGATATGTTCCTAGTGGACTTTGGAAGAAAGCTTCGGACGCATTATTATTTTGTCTATAAATTTTTTATGTGTCTTTGAGGTTGATTATGAGAAACTGTCTGTATATATCTATGTTTGTGGTTACCAAAGAGAAGTTTTTTAATTTATAAGTACTTAAAACTACCCTCATACTTCTTTATGGTGTTTATTTTTAGGTCATGCTTAGAGAATCCTTCTTCACTGCCCAATTGTAGACACTTCATGTATAGTTCCAGCTAGGTTGTGACAATGAGGAAAGAGGAGTCCAAGGGTGAAGAAAACAAAATTGTTGGAATACAAGGGGAGGAGGGGCAGCAGGTAAAGAATTCTAAGGTTTAAGTCTCTTGTTTTATAATTTAAAAAATATGTCTACAGAGCCTTCAGGATACTTGACATATGTCATATCCAATAGTTTGTCTTGAGAAAAATGGATACTTATCTTCTCCTTGTATTCACCTGGTTAAAGCAAACAATAACAACAGAATTCCAGTGCAATATAGACAATGATTAGCCCTGGCAATGGGCATTTTTGAACACTTAAAATGTTGAGGTGATAAATCATGTTTCGGTTAATGTCTGTACCCTCCACTTATACATATACATATTAATTAGACTTTCGTGGGCTTGCTGTGTTTTAAGGACGTGTCTAAGGCCCATGTGGACAAATCCGTGACTTCTCGATGAAGATAATTTAATATATATTCAATCTGAGAGTCCCACCATATATTTTGGGGGAGATTGAAAACTATGAGCACTCTAGATATGCACTGTTAAATATGGTAACTACTGGGCATACATAGTGTAGGGTTTGTTTTTGTTTGTTTGTTTTCATTATTAGTACAAATCCATTCAATGGGCAAGATAGACCAATCTATTTTAACATAACAGAATACAAATAGTCAATGATAGGGTTTCAGGTTGTATCTAACCTTTAAGAAATTACCACTTGCTAGGACTTCCAGTACTATGTTGAAAGAAGTGGTGAAAGTGGGCGTCCTCGTCTTGTTCCAGTTCTCAGGGGGAATGCTTTCATCTTTTCTCTGTGCAGTATAAGGTTGGCTGTGGGTGTGTCATAAAGGGCTTTTATTACTTTAAGGTATGTCCCTTCTATGCTGATTTTGCTGAGGCTTTTAATCATAAAGGGATGCTGGATTTTATCGAATACTTTTTCTGCATTTTATTGAAACGATTATTTCAGAGAGAGAGAGAGAGAGGGAGGGAGGGAGGGAGAGAGAGAGAGAGAGAGAGATGGGGTGAAGGAACAGGCTGGGAACCTGGGAGGAGACCCGGCCGCAGGCGCGAAGCCTGGAGGCGATGGTGAGCCCTGCCACGCGTGAGTCACGGACCACCCCCGCCGCGCTCTGCACCCCGCCTGGCTCTCTTCTTCCCAGCCCCTCCCTTCCTCCTCCTGCTCCGCTGATCCCTACTCAGGCTTCTTTCGCTTAAGAATTCCAGAAGGGACAGAACTAAGGATGAAGTGTGGCATTTGAACAGGGTTTACGGCTAGATCCTAGGAGGTCATTCTAAGGGTTTACATTGCATCACCGTCTGTGGTTACAAAGAGCTTTCCGGGAGAACTTTCCATTTGTAGGTTTGGTCAGGGAGACCCTGTGATCACCCCAGTGCCCAGAGAAGGAAACTGAAGCCCAGGGTTCTGCAGAGGCTTGCCCAGGCTACACAGATCTTCAGCTAGATTCGAATAGTTAAAAATCCAGGTGATCAAAGGCGGAGCAGCGTCTTCCAAGAGCCCGGAGAGAGAGAACACCCCACTCCTGGACGTTATATTCTGCAGCCCGCTGCTGGGAAATCCCAAGGGGTATGCGACCAGGTTGGAGTATCCTGGGCCCAGGGCCCACGAAAATGGCTTTCACTGTTGGAGGGGATCTTGAATCCAGAATCTGTTCCCAAAAAAGAGAAAGAAAAGCAGATTTGGGTGACCTCAAAAGTTTCAAACTACCTTCCCACGTATCCTAAAAAAAAAAAAAAAAAAAAAAAAAAAAAAAAAAAAAAAAAAAAAACCTTCATTTTTAATATATAAAGACACTGAAAATTCAACAGTTTAAAAAAATCAATAAAATAGGAAAGTGGACAAAACACATGACAAATATTTCTTTTAAAATGATATGTAGATGGGAAGTGAGGACACAAAAATGTGGTCCATATGCGGAGCTTGCAGTGAGCCGAGATCGCGCCACTGCACTCCAGCCGGGGCCACAGAGCGAGACTCCATCTCAAAAAAAAAAAAAAAAAAAAAAATGTGGTCCATATGATTCATCATTGGGGAAATGTAATTAAAACCATTATGAGATATTACTACACCCCTATCAGAATGAATAAAATAAGAAATAGAAATAACACCACATGCTGGATGTGGAGAAAATGGCTGAATCACTCATTGCTGGTGGGAATGTAAAATGGTACAGCCACTCTAGAAACTAGAGTATGGCGAAAAAAAAAAAAAAACTAAACATGCCATTGCACTCTAGGGCATTTATCCCAGAGAAATGAACACTTAAGTTCACACCGAAATCAGCATACAGCATATAAAGGTTCGTAGCAGAGCAGAGACCTGAGCAGGAAAAAAAAAAAAAAAAAAAAAAAACCCACTGTCACAGCCAGACAGAATCAGTTCTGGAAACTCCCAAAAGAACTAGAAGCCACCAAGACCGGCAGCCCACCTTGGGCAGTGACAGTTTCTGCTCAAGGGAGACACAACCTGAAGAAGGAAAACAAGACCAAAATTGAGAAGCAATCTTTTAATCACAGTGTTTGCAAACACATAGCCAGGAAAGAATGTTAGCACAGAGGTCAGAAAGGCAGTCACTCATGGAGCTAGGAAAGGGAAGAGGTGTGATGGGAGGGGGCAAGCAAGGCATTTGTGGGACACTGGACAACTGTGCTTCTTGACCTAGGTGGTGCTTGTGTGGTCATAGTCGCTAGTTAAATATTGTGTACATTTGTAAGTAACTTTTCTGCATATATTTTATATCTCACAAAAAAAGAAAAGAGATCAGACTCCTCCCAGAAAAACAATGAAAGAAGGAGGTGTCACACCAAGATCAGTCAAACCTCCTTCCTACATTTGTAAATCCATCCAAGCACTAGCTCTGTGACCCTCAGTTTCCTCATCTCTATTGAGACTCAGCATCTGCAAGAGTTTAAGAACAAGACCATGGGTAGATCATACTGTCATAAAATAGAATCTGTTTCTTGTGATACAACATGAGGGACCCCACCTCACCCCCCAAAATAGGTACTGAACAAAGGTTCCTATTCCCAGAAACCCCCTCTTCCATCTTTGGATTCATCCCTGAGATTGCAGAATGCTTCTGGCTGAAGGCAAAGCCCCATCTTTATGATTCCCCTCCTCCTTCGTCCACCTCTCCAAGATCTAGGCTTCTCCCTCATGCCTCAGACTCCAGGGCCTGTTCCAGGGTCAGGATCATAGTTCCCTTCTTCAGAGAGGAACTCTTAATGAAGCTGACCCAATTTGCTCTGGAGAGCACTGGAGGCACCTGCTAAGCCTCTCCCTTCAGTGGAGAGAAATTCCAGTGGAATCCCAGAGACCCTTGGCAAACCCACTGCAGACCACCCTGCTGAACCCATCTCCACACTCACCACTGCAAGGAAACTTCAAACTGAGTTCTACTAAAAAGCAATTTCGGCTCTTACACTTCCTCTTTAGTGTTCTTCTAGCTTACTAGGCAAGTAACCACAGTGTGCCTCCATTAATTAATAAATCCCCAAAACACTGGTCTTATGAACAGTGTATTGATCAGGGCTCTCCACAGAAGCAGAATGAATAGGCGACATATATCTCCAGTTGATCTGATGAGGCCCACTCACATTATGGAGGGCAATGTACATTAGTCAATTCCACTGATTTAAATGTAAATCATTTTTCGAACACACTCATGGGAATACCTAGAATAATGTTTGGCCAAATATCTGGGCTCCTTCGTGACCCAGTCATGTTGAGAAATCAAATTAATCCTCACAAGGAACAAATCAGATAATATTCACTTGGATATTAGACTAGAGCCTTGGACATACCAAGTGCTCTGTAAATGTTAGCCTTACAAATGTAAGGTGGTGTTTTAGATTTACAGAACACAGTATATCCTAAGGTATCACAGGCTTGTTGATGAACTCTGTTGGGAAAAATAATACATGGGAAATTTAGTTGTGGAAATTGAATTTTGTTATTTTATTTTTGTCTTTGCTTTTCTGTGTGAGTGAAGGAGTATAAGGCAAATTTCTGAGCACACGGGGCATGCACTAAAGGGGTTTCATTTGGCATTTGGAGCCAGTTTTGTCACACTATAGGAAAACTAAACCGTTATTTAAGAACTTCCCTGCCAGCTCTCACGTTGGGGACTGGCTGGTCCATCTAGCCTGGTTGGTTGATTCCAAAAATATGTGTAGGGAGGTAGAGTGACTAAACGTGAAGAATGGGGAACTCTGGAAGTGCAGAATTGAAGCCCAGAAGGGAACAGAAGCCTCCCTCTACTTCACAGAAGATGACTAGGAGATGCTCATCCCTGGGATAGAAAATCCATTGGACTTGGAGACTCAGTGAGTTGTATTCCCGATCTCACCACTGGAGGGAGGTGGGAGAGGCATATGAGTGAGTGTGGAGGGGCTCAGAAGCCCAGCCAGCTAGTGTGCAGGTTGCCCTGCAGATTCTCACCAGGGCTGCTCTGAAGCCCAGAGGGCACCCCAGAGGAGGAAGGGAATGACAAAGCCTGCCTGGGGTCACAGGAAAAGAGGAGAGAGGCAGACTGAAGGAAGCCCAAGACTACAAAGTGAAAGAAAATGCCTTTTAGTCACTCAAGACATTGTCAGACACAGACTGGGAGCAGTGGCTCACACCTATAATATTAGCACTATGGTAGGCTGAGGTGAGGCCGGGAGTTCAAGACCAGCCTGGACAACAATGCAAGACCCTATCTCTACAAGAAATAAATTAATAAAAGACTTCTTCGGACATGACTAGAACCCAAGAGGTGGGTACCTGGTAGAGTTATATGGGAAGAATGGAGCAATGGGTTTGGCCGTTGGGGTGGGGAAACAGGGAGGAAGGGAATGAAAAAAACTCTTGAGGGTAGATGATGGTGCCAGTCTGAGAATCAAGCACCAGTTCCATTCTACTGTGCATCTAGTCACGTTGGCATAGACTTCCAGGCAGGAGGAGGAGCAAGCGGTGGGATCAGCTACATGTGGGCTTCCAAAGGTAATCCCAGGTGCCACCTCTCCTCCATACTTACTAGGAATCCCAGGCCCTTCCCTGAAGTGACACCATCCTGCATTCTTTGTACCTCTCCTTCCACTTCTTCTCACAGCTTTTCCCTCCCTCCTCCATTCTCCTGGCCAGGACCCACACTCACCCCACCTAACCTCTCTCTTTTGATCAGTCCCATAGTTCAGAAAGGAACAGAAATGCCAGCTGAATAAAAATTTATTTCGTGCTCTCTGGGCATGTATTTGAGAACAATAACATTGTTTCCGGTCTCAATGCACTTTCACCACATCTGATTTTCAGCTATGTGGGGAAGGCCATCTATCTGATCAACCCATCACCCAGTGAAGGAAACTGAGGCCCAGAGCCCTGAGGATGCTTGCCCAAATCACCCTGCCCTTCAGCTAAATCACCCAGAACAGGATCTTGCAAGGGCCCTAAGAGTCAGAGAAGACAGCAGCCCCTCGTGTTGGATTCTCCTGCCTGCCCAGGAAACTGGGTGGGAACCATTCAGATTCTTCCTGCATGAAAAGGGTGACCTGTGTCCTTGGGGATCCTCCAGTGGCCCTAGTTGCTCCTGCTGAGGGTGACCTGTGTCCTTGGGGATCCTCCAGTGGCCCTAGTTGCTCCTGCTGGGGATGACCTCAACTCCTGAATCCAACCCTGTAAAATAAGAAGAAATTCAGACATTGCAAGGCATGAAAAATTTTCTCCCAATAGCAAAGGTGAAGGATGTACTCGGAGAGGAGGGAACATACCAAGAAGAGAAGGAAGGAATATATATTGAAAAGAATACAAAACAAAAATAAACAGACCAAGACGTGGGATGTATAGAATCAGGCATCAACCCATGAAAAGGTGAAAAGGTGAAAAGGCAACAGGACCAGAAAGGAAGAGGGTCGCCTGGGTGGGTGGACAGCACAGCAGAGGGGACGCCATCTCCAAGAAGATGACCTTGACAAGAGCCACCATAAGTTTAAAGGTATGGAGAAGACATTTACTCAACTAAGGGACAGTTGGTGAATTCATTTGTTAAGGTTCATGGAAAGTAAGAAAATGAAAACGCCGGGCAATTATCAATTCTCTGAAAACATCAACATGTATGGAAAGAAAAACTAAGAGAGTTTACCATGTGGCTCAGGTCTGAGTAGCATTCACGTAAGTCAGTAATTTTAACTCTGGCTCTCAATGCACTCAAAATCTCCACCTGCCTACATAAGGAGGATGAAAATGTGTGTGCTGTGGAAGGTACTATGGACTGAAGGGATTTTGAAAAGTCAATACTTAATATCTAAAATGGAAATGTTTGAAGTGGCATAAATGTATATTATCAAGAGACATAAAGATAAAGAACAACATATGAAGTAAAAGGCTTCTATGTGGTTGTTTGCCAGGAAGCTGGTGGCTAGGAAGGATTGAGAGGGAGTAGAGGGGAGACCATGTTTTGTAACAGGGGAAATGAAAGGGAAGCAGGTAGCACCTGGAGCCTGCCTCATGTAGAGAACAGGGTTCCACGCAGTGGTCCAGGATCTCAGGGACTTACTGTGGCTGAGGCCACCTGCCCCCAGGACAAGCCCTTGGCACTGAGTCTACTGAAATGTGGGCAGGGAGAAGAGGAGGCCTTCGGACCTTTTACCTGAGCAGCCTGGTTTACTCTAGGCTCTGTCTTGTTTCCTGTCCAGAGATTAATGCAACAAACTGTCTCCAAATTCATCCAAGGGAGTGGAGTTCCTTCCCCTACTCCCGATCCCCCTCAACACCATCCTTTCTGGAAGTGTTATTCTGAACATGTTCTCGGATTTGTTTTTATCAGTGGAGAAAGAGAGGATAGAAGAGCACTCACCCAACAGAGCCAGAGGGAGGCAGCTCCAAGGACTCCAGTGGCCACCAGAGCCCACCAGGACCCAGGGCTGGAGGTGCATAGTGAGATCCTCAGCGCAGAGGGAGAAATCTCCTAAGGGTAGGAAGGAATAACAGAATTGGGGAGCATTTCCTTACTTCACAGCAAGTGCAAACATGATGGGAAGGCATAGAGAAAAAGGAAGAAATTATAGGGAAATGTGCTTATTTAGGGGGAGGCAATACTGCGGGAGGGGTACAACAGACCCAGCACTGGTGGGGGCTAGGAGAAACAGGTATAATCCTTGACTAGAGAATGGATACTTGAGGTCAGAATAGTTACTAAATGAAGAGGATTACATACATTTTAAGGACGTTGATTTACGTTATACTTTGTCATTGGAATTTAAGGGAAAAGAAAGGAAATTAATAAATAAAAACAGGCTGCATGTGGTAAAATCAATAGTCAGCCCTGGGACTTGTGTTTGCAAAATGCTTTATCCAGGTGCGACACCGCTGACGTCCTGGATTCCCCACCCTCTAGCACCCAGTTCCCTCTCCTGTAATGAGACCGGGGTCAGGAGGAGAGATGGACAGATGAGCCCATGCTGAAGGCAGTCAGTCATCTGTGCCTGCAGATGAGAAACTGCAGTTTGCACCACTAGCCTCCAGCACAGAGATTCCATCCCAGCTCAGTATTTAGTATTTAGAGATGTAGTATTTAGTATTTAGAGATTCCTAAACACTGAGGGGCTCTGCCCAGTCTCCTTCCTCACACTGTGGGGCCTTGGCTTTCCCTCCCAACTCCACACCCCCAAATGCTGGTACAATGCTCAGGTTCATCCTGGACACCGCTCCATCCGACAGGGGAACACTTTTGATCCAGACGCTTTGACAACCTCGTTCAGTCTCCTCTGGAGAGAGCCGCCAAACCCTTTGCTGATGAGCTGAGACTGACCGGGGAACTGTGATCTCGGATGTGGTTGAGGATCAAAATCAAAATTATAGTCGACTCTTAAAGACCAAGTAGGCTCTAACCACGGAATTCCTCTCTACCCACTGATTCCCCCAAAAGAGGAAGAAGCCTCTTCTCTAAGTACACTAAGCTGAAAAACTAAGCTGAAGTACTAAGTACATTCAGCTTTCACTAAGCTGAAACAGCAAAGCGCTGAAACAGCAAACCGCAGGCATAACAGAAAAACCTCAACTTAAATAGTGCTGAGCTGCAACTTGTTTTCCGCGGCTTGTAGTCGAGGAGGAGCCCACGAGGCTTTAGCTGCTGCAAGATCCAAGCGCGCTCCCGCCCAGCGGTGGCCCCGGGCTCAGGGAACCAGCGCTGCTTCTCTCCGAGGCTCGCGGCCTGAGAAACCTTCCGCTCCGAATGCGGGCTGGCCTCTCCGGGAAGCCTTGAAACTCAACTCCTGGGTGGGCCAGGAAGGTTGTCCGAGTTGGGCAGCGCCGGCCGGGGCACCCCTCAGAGCCGAGCTGCTCGCCTCCCTCGAGACCCAGCGCAGCCTGGAGGAGAGACCGGGTCCTCTCAGGTGGGGCACTTGGTGACTAGAGACCCCATGAGCCCCCACCCTCCAGCCTGGGGCGGGATAGCCCAATCGGATGCTGGGGGGTCCGTTTGGAAACCACTCTCTGCTTTGAGGACACGCGCGGAGCTTCCCTGGGAGCAGGAGGCTCTGAAGGAAGAGGGGCAGACGCGAAGCCTCTGGCCAGCCGCGCCTCCGGTCCAGGCCTCCCTGTGTCCACATCAGGTCTCCCGGCTTTTCACAACAGTGACCTTGACAGCGCCCAGAGTCCGCGGCTTCCATCCAGTCCCCTCTTCCCCTGCGAGGCCGAGAGGGTGCAGAGCTGGTGGCTTCAGGAGGTGGCTGTGAGCGCGGGTCTGGGGCCAAGAGCAGAGGACAGGAGAAGACTGCCAAGCCACCACCGGTCCTGCGACATATTCACCAGCTGCCGGCGGCGAGGTCAGACCCCAGATTCGGGTTTGCCCAGCAGGCGCTCGGCGTCCATGCTCGCTCTCCACCTCCCTGCCTCTCTTAAGGAGGACCTGGCCCATTAGGAAGCCCGGGGCGTTCTGTGGACTGGGTGGTCAAAAATGGTGTGTGGAGGAGGGAGTCAATTGAGATTAGACGTGAAAAACGGGGAACCTGGGGACCGCAGGTTGGGGCCCAGGAGAGGACCGAAGCTTCCATCCAAGACTAAGTGAGGAACACTGCGGCAAGAGGAAGGAAGATTGAGTCGCAGTTGACTTGTGGATTTTATCGGTTTTAGTCCCTGTGTGACCGCCAGAAGTCTGCAGCTTTATCCTTGATGAGTTCTGAAGGCCCCTGAGGAGAGCTGAGCCCAAGAGACTTTTTAATTCCACGGAGGTACTTCGCCTGAGGCAGGTCTCTTCTGTGCCCAGGGAAGGAAGGCTGGGAGTGAGGGTATCTGAAAATATTCACATGAGAAAAGGTCAAGTCCATTTTTGCTATCCTGTACTGAACACAGATCAATTAACTGGTCCCAGGATTGATAGCAACAGGCCTATAACTGGTCTCCTGGTTCCTATCCAGCCCTTCCCCCATAAAGTCAGAATCCTGTCTTCTTGGAACAGTGAATCCCCAGCAGAGGACCTCAGCCTGGGCTGCCTGGAACCTGCTACCCTGCCCAGGAGCTGTCAACACCTGGAGCGCAGTGCAGGAAGAATGCAGGGGCGCTTGGTGGGGAGGTGAGTGAGTGCAGAGGGTCTCCGGGAACTCCTTGGGCCTTTGGGGTAGCTCCCTCTCAGGCTGTCCTGCAGGTCCTTACAAGGCCCACTACTGAGCAGGAAGAATGTCCCCAGGAGAGGCAAAGGGTGGGGCAAAGGCGGGTATGGGGTCGCTTGCACTTTGCAGCAAACTGGAGAGTGAGATGACAGGCAAGGAGTACTGGCCCTCACATGGAAACCTATATCACACTGCCCAAAGGGAATAGGAAAGGAACCACAGCGAGGTCCACAGGGGAGGGCTGGGGGAAGCCTTACCCAGGGCGGCGAGTGCAGCCTCAGTGGCAGAAATCCCAGCGGGCCCCCTCCTGCTGCAGACCCCGCTCCTCCTGCGAGGCCCCAGACGAAGCCCGACCCCCAGCTGCCTGCGCAGCCTCCAGGCAGGGGTCGCGGGGTGCTTCGGCGAGAGAGTCTGGGCCAAAGCGCCAAAATCCGCCGCTGTCGCTCAGCCGCAGCCTGTTTGGGGCTGGGGAGCCTCTCCTGGTCGGTGATCGTCGCGGACAATAGACGAGACCAGAAATTAGATTTGGTTCCGGGATCAAGAACCTTTAATCAGGGAATGGAGATGGCAGGGGACGAGGCCTAAGAGATGTAGACAGCAGGTCCTGTCTGCTTAGGTCGCAAAGGGGAAGGAAGGGGCGGGACTCGGGGTCCTGGACTGGGGCTGGGAAGGGTCCGCTCCAGGAGGGTGTGGGTTCCGATGCCTGGGTCCTGGAGGTCCGGGGAGTCGCGGAGGGACCTCCCTCCGGTAACCGACGGATTGGGGACAAATGCTCTGCCCAGTCTGATCCCAGACATCCTTGTAACCCAATATAGTTACAGCTCCGACGCCATGTTCTTCCTGGGTCCAGCTCCAACGCCATGTCCTTCCTGGGTCCCTCCAAAGTAGGGTTGGAGGATCAACTAGTGGATTCCGGCGAGGAGGTATCTTCCTCCCTGGAAGCAGCAGAACAAATTTCAGGGACTCGGGAGTCCAAGGCCTCATTCCAAAAACACTGAGAGATTGGGTACTGGGCGCACAGTATGTCTGTGGGGTCACGCAGACCTGGGAACCAGATCTTAGGGCCTGCAGACCTCCCTCTGCCTTGAGATCAGACTCCACCGCCAGTAACTGGGAGGAAACATCTGTACTCCAGGATTTGGAGACACCGACACGGGAGCAGGGCGCCCCCGTGTGCACAGAGCCCTGTTCTGCAGCTGGAAACCGAACGGGACCCTGTGGAAGTCGCGGGTGGGGAAGCGAAAGGGGAGCTGAGTGTCTGTCCTCAGTCCTTGGGCCACACGGGGGCGCTGCCGCTCTGCGCTCGGATTCTGATGAGCCGCTCTGGAGAGGACGGGGCGGTGGTCTGAGTAAGACACAGATTGTTGATCCAGAAAGGATGTATCAATGAGGTGGGGCTGGGGTTGTCCAGGGGGTGGAAAGGCCTTCTGAGAAGCCCTGGACTGCGCGGGGTTCCGGCTCTGCGGAACAGAGGAGGGCTCTGGAGCTGCCTGTCTCTGAAGTTTCCAACTCCTCCTTGCAAACCCTCCCTCCAGCCTTTTCATGGCAACACTCCAGGAAAATGGAAAGTTGATCATTTTTTTCTTCCACTCCTTAATCCTTTCGTGACTGCTACTTTTAAATAATTTTATTTTAGAAGAGTTTTAAATTTACATAAAAGTTGCAATGGTAGTACAGAGTTGCCATCCGCTCCACAGTTTCCCCTGATGTTAACATCTCTCATTACTATGGTCCATTTGTCACAGCTAATGAAGGCATTTTCATACCTTATTATTACTAAACTGCAGACTTTATTTGGAGTTCATTAGCGTTCCCCTAATGTCCTTTCTGTGTTTCAGGATTCCATGGAGAATATCACACTACATTTAGTCTCCGTCGTGCCTCCGCGGCATCCTCTGGTCTGTGACAGTTCCTGAGATTTTCCTAATTTTTGATGCCCTTCACAATATTGGGAAGTACTGACCAGATATATTGTAAAATGTCCCTCAAACTGAATTTAGTTGGGGTGTAGATCATGGTTAGACTATGGTTATGGGTGTTTAGATGAGGTGAAGTGCTATTCTCCAAACACCTTATCAAGGTTATAGAATATCAATTTCATGTACCACTGTTGATGTTGAAGTTGATCACCTGGTATATTAGCTTCCTGTAGCTGCCACAACAAATGCCCTCAAAGTTGGCAACTTACAACAACAGAAAATTATTCTTTCACAGTTCTGGAGGCCCAAACTGCAAAATCAATATGCAGGGCCTCACTCCCTCTGAAGGCTCTAAGAGCAAATCCATTCCTTGAGTCCTCCAGCTCTGGCAGCTGCAGGGCATTGGTCAGCGTTCTTTGGCTTGTAGCCCCATTGCTCCAGTCTCTGCCTCATTCTTCACATCACCTTCTCCTCTTCTGACTCTCTCTTCTGTGTACCTGTTAGAAAGACACTTGTCATTGGATCTAGAGCCCACCTGGGTCATCTAGGAGGATCTCCTCATTTCAGTATCCTCCGCTTAATTACATCTGCAAAGACCCTTTTTTTCCAAACAACTTGACATTCACAGCTTCTGGGCACTAAGACAGAAACATATCTTTGTGGGGTCCACCATTCAACCCACTACATCTGGCTAAGCTAATATTTCCAGAATGGCAATCCATCAGTGCACCCTAGGTTACAATCCTCATTCTCATTCCCAAATAAACTCAACATATTTGGACATTTCTAATGTCATGTTTTTTAGGTTGAATAATCTAGTGTCAGAAATGATCCTGAAGAAAGATTATCTTTGGAAGAGACTTATACTGAGTTTGTTGCTTGATTTTTCCTCTGCTTCTGAATATCTTTTGAGAGCAAAATTTACTTTCTAAAATGGTAAGGATGAGTCAACTCCTTAAAAGCTGTTTGGGCTGTTGTCACCATTCTATGTGAGCCTTCAGTCTCCCCAAAGAGAAATTTTTTGTTGTCAGGATAAAGTGGTACATGAATAAACAAGATTTCCATTAGGCAGCGTGCCAGTCTCAAGAAAATTCTGGAGAAAATGGTGACAGGATAGACAATTAGATCACAGGCTGCCTGCACATCAAGTAAAAACAAAAATCCTATGCTAGGCACACACTATTAAAAAACAAATCGCTCCAACCCCTACCATTTCCTCACAGAGATTATAGAATTTTTCTTTTGCTGTTGAGAAATTAATAAGAGGCAGAACAGGATGCCAAAACTCCAAAGCATCCAATATAGGCCCTCTTCTGGGACTCCTGTCAGCTATATGTTCAAAAATTATTGTCAGTGGCTCATGCCTGTAATCCCAGCACCTTGGGAGGCCGAGGTGGAAAGATTGCTTAAGCTCATGAGTTTGAAACCATCCTGGGCAACATAGCAAGAGTTCATCTCTATTTTAAAAAATTAAGGCCGGTCGTGGTGCCTCACGCCTGTAATCCCAGCATTTTGGGAGGCCCAGGCAAGCGGATCGCCTGAATTTGGGAGTTGGAGGCCAACCTGACCAACATGGAGAAACCCCGTGTCTAATAAAAATACAAATTCAGCCAGATGTGGTTGCGCATACCTGTAATCCCAGCTACTCGGGAGGCTGCGGCAGGAGTACAGCTTGAACTCGGGAGGCAGAGGTTGCAGTGAGCCGAGATCATGCCATTGCACTCCAGCATGGGAGAAAAGAGGGAAACTTCATGTCAAAAAAAAATAAAAATAAATAAGAAAAGAAAAAAATTAAGGTCGTCTCTTGTGTACTTTTTAAAATCAATGGATAGAGTATAGCAAAGTTAATTTGGATCTTCAATGGCCATCCTTGGGGTCTTTTGAGTTCCCCAAACTTGTCTTTCTTAAAACTAAACTAGGCTGGGCGCGGTGGCTCACGCCGGTAATCCCAGAACTTTGGGAAGTCGAGGCGGGCAGATCACGAGGTCAGGAGATTAAGACCATCCTGGCTTGCACGGTGAAACCTCGTCTCTACTAAAAACACAAAAAATTAGCTGGGCATGGTGGCAGGTGCCTGTAGTCCCAGCTACTCTGGGAGGCTGAGGCAGGAGAATGGTGTGAATCCGGGAGGCGGAGCTTGCAGTGAGCCCAGATCCAGCCACTGCACTACAGCCTGCCGACAGAGTGAGAATCCATCTTAAAAAAAAAAAAAAAGAAAAGAAAAGAAAAGAAAAAAGAAAGAAATTTCTGCATTACCTATGGATGTTAAATCTACTTGAGTAGACTTTAATTCCAAGTTTGTGAATAGCTTTTCTTCAAAACATGCTGAACTTGGTACAAGAGCCAGCAATTTAGGGAAACTATGTGCACTTCTGATCTTGTCCATTTGATAAATCACCTGCCTGTCCCCTTGAGGACCCTACTAAGAAAACTGCTTAAAAACTTTTTTTTAAATTTTTTCTTTTTGAGATGAAGTCTCACTCTGTCACCAGGCTGGAGTGCAGTGGTGCAGTCTCGACTCACTGAAACCTCCACCTCCTGGGTTCAAGCAATTATCCTGCCTCAGCCTCCCGAGTAGCTGGGATTACAGGTGCCCACCACCATGCCCAGCTAATTTTTTGTATTTTTAGTAGAGACGAGGTTTCACCATGTTGGCCAGGCTGGTCTTGAATTCCTGACCTCAGGAATCCCTGACTCTCCAAATGTCCCCACTTGTTATGTCATTCCCACTGACAAAACAAAAATAATGCTATCTTGTGTTAGGCTGTTCTTGCATTGCTATAAAGAATACATGAGACTGGGTAATTTATAAAGAAAAATGAGTTTAATTGGCTCACAGTTCTGCAGGCTTTATGGGAAGCACGGTGCTGGACATCTGATCAGCTTCTGATGAGGTCGCAGGAAGCTTACCATCATGGCAGAAGGCAATAGGGGAGCAGGCACGTCACATAGCGAAAGCAGGAACGAGAGAGAGAGTGGGAGGGGAAGGACGCCACACACTTTTAAACAACCAGCTCTCACTATTTCAAAGACAGCACCAAGGGGACGGTGTTAAACCATTCCTGAGAAATGTGCCCCCATGATCCAATCACCTCCCACCAAGACCCACCTCCAACACTGGGGATTACAATTCAACATGAAATTGGGGTGGGGACAAATATACAAACTACATCACACCCTTTCACTGCTGAATCTAATACCTGTCTCTGTATAGGCAAAACTGTTGATATTGGCAAACTTTATAATATACCTCCTATAAAAATCCAGCTTGATCCATCAAAACCCCTGCCTAATATCAAACAATATCCACTTAAACCAGATGGTGTTATAAGTCATTAAACCTATTACAGAAGGACATAAAAAGCAAGGCCTCATTATTCCATGTACTCATCCTTCTAACACCCTAATTTTACCTATTAAAAACCAAACAACTGGGATTAAAGGTTTGCTCAGGAATTCTGAGCAATAAACTATATAGTGATTCCAAGACATCAGTGGTTCCAAATCCCTATATCTCATTAAACTCACAACCTATTGATAGGAGGTTTTTCACTGTCATTGATCTATGAAGTGCATTCTTCAGTAATCCAGTGGATCAGGCCAGCCAGTATCTTTTTGCCTTTACCTTGGAAGGCCAACAATTCACCTGGACAGTAAAGCCTCTTGCTTTTACTGAAAACCCTTCCTGTGTTTTTCAAATATTAAAGGAACACTTGGAGGAGATAGTTTCTCCTTAAGGTTCCACCTTACTACAATATATAGATGGCCGCCTTCTTTGCTCTGCTTCACAGATAGCCTATGAAAAAAATGGTGTACATCTGTTAAAGCAACTGACTGCTAAAGATCATGAAGTCTCTGACGAAAAACTGCAGCTAGTGAAAACTCAGAAGAAATATTTGGGACACTTAACTTCAGAAAATGGATTACATTTAGACCCAGATTGGCACTTTGTAATTTCTTCAGTCAAGAACCAAGTGCCACAGAAAAACACAGAATATTATAATGCTGTATTTGTGGTGTGTAAACTACTCGTGTCTTAAGTAGAAAGCATAAAAGGTGAACCAATAAAAAATAATAACTACAAGACTTTTCAACACATAGACGGTACAAGGCCAGCTGCAGTGGCTCATGCCTGTAATCCCAGGACATTGAGAGGCTGAAGTGAACAGATCATTTGAACTCAGGAGTTTCAGACTAGCCTGGGCAACATGGCAAAACCCAGTCTCTTTTAAAAAATGGAAAAAATTAGCTGGTTATGGTGGCACTTGTCTGTGGTACCACCTACTTAGGAGGCTGAGGTGAAAGGATTGCTTGTGCTTCGGAGGCAGAGGTTGCAGTGAGCTGAGATTGTGACACTGCACTCCAGGCTGGGTGACACAGTGAGATCCTCATCTAAAAAAAGACATAGATGGTATAAGAAGATATAAATAGAAACAACAAAAAGTTAAAAAGAAAGAGGATGGAGTTAAAGTGTGAATTCTTATTACATATCTTTCGGTTTTTGTTTATACAAGCAGTGTTAAGTTTTTATCAGATTAAAATAATGGTTATAAGATATCTGCAAGCAGCCTGGTGATCTCAAATCATAAAAAATGCAACAGATATACAAAAAATAAACAACAGGAAATTAAATCATATCACCAGAGAATCACCTTCACTAAAAGGAAGACATAAAGGAAGGAAAGAAGGAAGAGAAAACAAGCAAAACAACGAGAAAACAAATAAGAAAATGTCCTTCTTTATCAATAATAACACTGAATGTAAATGGTCTAAACTCTCCAATCAAAAGAAATGGAGTGGTGGAATGAATAAAAAAAAAAAAAAAAAAAAAAAAAAAAACAAAGGACCCAATGATCTGTTGCCTACAAGAAACACACTCACCTATAAACACACACATAGACTGAAAATAAAGGGATGGAAAAAGATTGGTCATGCCAATGGAAATCAAAAAAGTGCAGGAGTAGCTATACCTATATCAGACAAAATAGATTTTAAGATAAAAACTATAAGAAGAGACAAAGAAGGTCACTATATAATGATAAAGGGGTCAATTCAGTAAGATGCTATAACAACTATAAATATACATACCCCAACACTGGAGCACCCAGCTGTATAAAGCAATTATTATTAGAGCTAAAGAGAGAGATAGATCTCAGTACAATCATAGCCAGAGACTTCAGCAGCCCCCGTTTCAGCATAGGACAGATCGTTCAGACAGAAAAGCACCAAAGAAACATTGGACTTGATCTGCACTATACATTAAATGGATCTAATAGATATTTACAGCATATTTCATCCAAGAGCTGCAGAATACACATATTTCTTCTCAGGACATGGATCATTCTCAAAGACAGGCCAAATATTTGGTCACAAAACAAGTCTTAGAACATTCAAAAAATTGAAATAATATCAAACATCTTCTCTGACAACAATGGAATAGAACTGGAAATTAATAACAAGAGGAATTTTGGAAACTATACAAACACATAGAAATTAAACAATATGCTCCTGAATGCCTGGTGGGTCAATGAAGACATTAGGAAAGAAATTTAAAAATTTTTTAGGGAGAGGGGTGGAGCAAGATGGCTAGATAGAAGACTTCACTAACCGTCCCCCTGCAACAAAGATACCAATCTAACAACTATCTACATTTAAAAAAAGACAAAATCACCTTCACTAGAAACAAAAGTTATGTGAGCATTCACAAAACCTGGTTTTTAACTTCATATAACTGAAAGAAACACTGAGAAGGGTAGGATGTTGTCCCGAATTGCCAATGCCGCCCCAGCCCCATCCTCCAGCAGCAGCCCTGCAGTGTGGAGAATCATGCACTTGGGAGAGGGAGAACACAGCGATTGTGACACATTGCGTTGAACTCAGTGGTGCCCTGATATAGAGTTATATTGGAAGAATGGAGCAATGAGTTTGGTGGTTGGGGTGGGGAAACAGGGAGGAAAGGAATGAAACAAACACTCGAGGGTAGAAGATGGTACCAGTCTGAGAATCAGGTGCCAGTTCTTTTCTACTGTGTGTCTAGTCACATTGGTGTAGACGTCCAGGCAGGAGGAGAAGCAAGTTGTAGGATCAGCTACATCTGGGCTTCCAAAGGTAATCTCAGGTGCCACCTCTCCTCCATACTTACTAGGAATCCCAGGCCCTTCCCTGCAGTGACACCATCCTGCATCCTTTGTACCCTGCTTTCCACTTCTTCTCACAGCCTTTCCCTCCCTCCCTCCTTCATTCTCCTGGCCAGGACCCACACTCACCCCACCTAACCTCTCTCTTTTGATCAGTCCCATAGTTTAGAAAAGAACAGAAATGCCAGCTGTGGTCAGGTGTTTTAAAAATTTATTCAGTGCTCTCTGGGCATGCATTTCAGGACAATAACATTGTTTCTGGTCTCAATGCACTTTCACCACATCTGATTTTCAACTATGTGAGTTAGGACACCTATATGGTCAATCAATCAACCAGGGAAAGAAACTAAGGTCCAGAGCCCTAAGGATGCTTGCCCAAATCACCCTGATTTTGGCAGAACAGGATCTTCCAAGGGCCTTAAGAGTCAGAGAAGACCGCAGCCCCTTGTGTTGTATTCTGCTGCATGCCGGGGAAACTGGATGGAAACGATTCAGATTCTTCCTGCATGAAAAGGACAACCTGTGTCCTTGGGAATCCTCCAGTGGCCCCAGTTGTTCCTGCTGGGTGTGACATCGATGCCCGAATCCAACCCTGTAAAATAGGGTGAAATTCAGATATTGCAAGTCATGAAAAATTTTCTCCTGATAGCAAAGTTGAAGGATAACAAAACTGAAGGAGGGAACATACCAAACAGAGGAGGAAGGAATATACAAAAAATAACAACAACAACAACATCAACCAACAACAAGAACAAAAAAAATACCAAGATATGGGATGTATGAAATCAGGCATCAACCCATGAAAAGGTGAAAGGGCAACAGGACCAGAAAGGAAGAGGGTCACCTGGGTGGGTGGACAGCAGAGGGGAAGCCATCTCCAAGAAGATGACCTTGACAACAGCCAACATAAGTTTAAAGGTATTGAGAAGACATTTACTCAACTAAGGAACAGTTGGTGAATTCATTTAAGGTTCACGGAAAGTAAGAAAATGAAAATACTAGGCAATGATCAAATCTTGAAAACTTCAGCATGTGTGGAAAGAAAAACTAAGAGAGTTTACCATGTGGCTCAGGTCTGAGTAGCATTCACGTAAGTCAGTAATTTTAACTCTGGCTCTCAATGCACTCAAAATCTCCACCTGCCTACACGAGGAGGATGAAAATGTGTGTGCTGGGGAAGGTACTATGGACAGAAGGGATATTGAAAAGTCAATACATAATATCTAAAATGGAAACATTTGAAGTGGCATAAATGTATATTATCAAGAGACATAAAGATAAAGAACAAAATATGAAGTAAAAGGCTTCCATGTGGTTGCTTGCCAGGAAGCTGGTGGCTAGGAAGGATTGAGAGAGAGTAGAGGGGAGACCATGTTTTGTAACAGGGGAAATGAAAGGGAAGCAGGTAGCACCTGGAGCCTGCCTCATGCAGAGAACAGGGTTCCACGCAGTGGTCCAGGATCTCAGGGATTTACTGTGGCTGAGGCCACCTGTCCCCAGGACAAGCCCTTGGCACTGAGTCTACTGAAATGTGAGGAGGGAGAAGAGGAGGCCTTCAGATATTTGACCTGAGCAGCCTGGCTTACTCTAGACTCTGTCTTGGCTCCTGGCCAGAGATTAATGTAGCAAATTGTCTCTAAATTCATCCAAGGGAGTGGAGTTCCTTCCCCTACTCCTTATCCCCTTCCACACCATCCTTTCTGGAAGTGTTATTGTGAACATGTTCTCGGATTTGTTTTTATCAGTGGAGAAACAGAAGACAGAAGAGCACTCACCCAGCAGAGCCAGAGGGAGGCAGTTCCAAAGACTCCAGTGGCCACCAGAGCCCACCAGGACCCAGGGCTGGAGGTGCACAGTGAGATCCTCAGCGCAGAGGGAGAAATCTCCTAAGAGTAGGAAGGAATAACAGAATTAGGAAGCGTTTCCTTACTTCACAGTGAGTGCAAACATGATGGGAAGGCATAGAGAAAAAGTAAGAAATTATAGGGAAACGTGCTTATTTAGGGGGAGGCGATACTGCGGGAGGGGTACACCAGACCCAGCACTGCCGTGGGGTAGGAGAAACAGGTATAACCCTTGACTAGAGAATGGATACTTGAGGATCAGTATAGTCACTAGATGAAGAGGACTACATACATTTTAAGGACATTGATGTACATTATAGTGTATCATTGGAAGTTAAGGGAAAAGAAAAGAAACTTCATAAATAAAAACAGGCTGCATGTGGTAAAATCAATAATCAGCCCTGGGACTTGTGTTTTCAAAACGCTTTATCCAGGTGTGACACCTCTGACATCCTGGATTCCCCACCCTCTAGCACCCAGTTCCCTCTCCTGTAATGAGACCAGGGTCAGGAGGAGAGATGGACAGATGGGCCCATGCTGAAGGCAGTCAGTCACCTGTGCCTGCAGATGAGAAACCGCCGCCTAACCTTTCTGAACCTCATGCGGAAAAAATGTTTGCACCACTAGCCTCCAGCACAGAGATTCCATCCCAGCTCAGTATTTAGTATTTAGAGATTTAGTATTTAGTATTTAGAGATTCCTAAATACCGAGGACTCTGCCCAGTCTGGTTTGACCATGCTCCTCCTTCCTCACACTGTGGGGCCCCAGCTTTCCCTCCCAATTCCACACCCCCAGATGCTGGTACCATGCTCAGGTTCATCGTGGACACCACTCCATCCGACATGGCAACACTTTTGATCCAGCCGCTTTGACAACCTCGTTCAGTCTCCTCTGGAGACAGCCACCCAGACCTTTGCTGATGAGCTGGGACTGAGGGGAAAAGGCCTGCGATCTCTGATGGGGTTGGCAATGGACACCAAAGTCGTCTTCTAAAGACCAAGTACGCTCTAACCACGGAAATCGTCTCTAACCACTGACTCCTCCAGAAAAGGAAGAAAGAAGCCTCTCTACACTAAGCTGAAACACTAAATACACTAAGTGTTGATTAAGTAGACTAGGTACACTAAGTGGTAAACTTGGTAAACTTAGAGCACTAAGTACACTAAGTACAATAAATGGTAAACTTGGTAAACTTAGAGCACTAAGTGCACTAAGTTCACTAAGTAATAATATTAGTACTAAGTGGTACACTAAGCTGAAACCGCAAACCGCAGCCATGGCAGAGGAACCTCAGCTTAAATAGTGTGGAGCGGCCACTGGTTTCCGCGGCTCGTAGTCGCGCCCGCGAGGAAACGCCAGGGAGGCTTCCTGCCCCGCCCAGCGGTGGCCCAGGGCACAGGGAACCACGGCTGCTTCTCTCCGAGGTTTGTGGCCTGAGAAACTCTCCGCTGCGAATCTGGGCTGGCCTCTCCGGGAAGCCTTGAAACTCAACTCCCGGGTGGGCCAGGAAGGCTGCCCGACTTGGGCAGCGCCGGCCGGAGCCTTCTTCAAAGCCGAGCTGTTCGCCGCCCTCGAGGCCCAGGCGAGCCTGGAGGAGGGACCGGGTGCGCTCAGATGGGGCCCTTGGTGACTGGCGACCCCATGAGCACCCACCCTCCAGCCTGGGGCGGGATGGCCCAATCGGGCGCTGTGGGGGTCCGTTTGGAAACCGCTCTCTGCTTTGAGGATACGCGGGGAGCTTCCCTGGAAGCTGTGAAGAGGGGCAGACACGAGGCCTCTGGCCAGCCGCGCCTCGGGTCCAGGCCTCCCTGTGTCCACATCTGGTCTCCCGGCTTTTCACAACAGTGACCTTGACAGCGCCCAGAGTCCGCTGCTTCCGTCCAGTCCGCTCTTCCCCTACGTGGCCAAGAGGACGCAGCACTGGCGGCTTCAGGAGGTGGCTGTGAGCGTGGGGCTGGGGCCAAGAGCAGAG
This sequence comes from Homo sapiens, assembly GCF_000001405.40. Taxonomy (NCBI): domain Eukaryota; kingdom Metazoa; phylum Chordata; class Mammalia; order Primates; family Hominidae; genus Homo; species Homo sapiens. Next base: position 1,719,630 of record NT_167248.2, read on the forward strand.
GACCAGAGAGGAGTCTCCAAGCCACCACCGGCCCCGTCACCGGCTACCGGCTAGGTCAGGCCCCAGATTCGGGTTTGCCCAGCAGGCGCTCGGCGTCCACGCTCCCTCTCCACCTTCTTGCCTCTCTAAGGAGGACCTGGCCCACTAGGAAGCCCGGGGCGTTCTGTGAACTGGGTGGTCAAACACGGTGTGTGGGGAAGGGGCCAATTGAGATTAGACGTGAAAAACCGGGAACCTGGGGACCGCAGGGTTGGGGCCCAGGAGGGGCCCGAAGCTTCCATCTAAGACAGGTGACTAAGTGAGGGGCACAGGTGCAACAGAAAGAAAGACTGATTTGCAATTGACTTGTAGGTGTAATCGGTTTTAGTCCCTATTTGACCACCAGAGGTCTGCAGCTCTATCCTTGGTGAGTTCTGAAGGCCCCTGGGGAGAGCTGAGCCCAAGAGACTTTTTAATTCCACAGAAGAACTTCGCCTGAGGCAGGTCTCCTCTGTGCCCAGGGAAGGAAGGCTGGACGTGATGGTTTCTGAAAAAAGTTACACAGAGAAAAGGTCAAGTCCATTTTTGCTATCCTGTACTGAACACAGATCAATTAACTGGTCCCAGGATTGATAGCAACGGGCCTATAACTGGTCTCCTGGTTCCTATCCAGCCCTTCCCCCATAAAGGCAGAATCCTGTCCTCTTGGAACAGTGAATCCCCAGCAGAGGACCTCAGCTCCCAAGCTCCATTCAGCCTGGGCTCCCTGGAACCTGCTACCCTGCCCAGGAGCTGTCAACACCTGGAGTGCAGTGCAGGAAGAATGCAGGGGCGCTTGATGGGGAGGTGAGTGAGTGCAGATGGGGTTCCTGGAACTCCTTGGGCCCTTGGGGTAGCTCCCACTCAGGCTGTCCTGCAGGTCCTCACAAGGCCCACTACTGAGCAGGAAGAATGTCCCCAGGAGAGGCAAGAGGTGGGGCAAGGGCGAGTATGGGGTCCCTTGCATTTGCGGCAAAATGGAGAGGGAGATGAGAGGCAAGGAGTACTGGCCCTCACATGGAAACCTATAGCACACTGCCCAAAGGGAATGGGAAGGGAAACACAGCCACGCACGTCCACAGAAGACTTGGCAGATGGGAGAGGGTAGCTTTGAGGACTGAAATCCCTACTTCACAGGACTCTGGATACTTGGACACTTGCTTCCTCCTGTGCTTCTGTACGAATCTCAGGACTGTGGGACACTCTCTGCACTCTTATTCTTGTAATTCTCTTCTCTCCGGATGGCCTCCTTTCCCTTGGAGTGCAGCAGTGGCCATCAGATTCTTGGGCTGAAGGTCACTGGGTGACTGTGGGATTCTGGGGCCAGTTACTTCCCTTTCTTAGCCACCCCATGCTTTACAGAACTGAGCTCCACAGTCATACTCATCTCTCCCAGTGAAGCTCAAAGGAATTATTAATAAAAAACACAAAAACATAAATGGAATGATGTTTATGGAACCAATTGATTAACGTGGAAAAGTATGGGCTTCCCAGTTTTCTGCCCTTCGTGAGAACTTAATCCTGAAACACTGATCTCATGTCAACCTTCTGCCTTAACTGGGAATTCCTGTGGCCAGTCTGTTCTAAGGGTATCCCGTGAGCCCCTAGGGATGGAGAACAGAAGGCCACTTTTCCTAAACACACACGTGGTTCTGTCCTGGCCAGATCAGTGGACTTCCAGTGTCCTTCCTGAGTCACACCGAGGTGAATTGCATAGACCAGAAACCCACATTTTAAAAAGAATAAAATAAAATAAGTGGCCTGTAGTGTGGGGGCTGGGGTTGGTGCGGGCTTCCGGCTTGGCCGCGGGTGTCTGCATCGTTCAGCCCCGGGGCTTTTGTGTCGGGTCTGGCCTGGCTTTCTGTCCGCAAGTTTTTGCCCTGCTCCGCGGCGCTCCTCCGGGGCGGGAGCCGCGAGGCCCGGGCGAGCTCGGGCGGGACCGGAGGCTGCGAAGGCTGCCGGGAGCGGGACTCGCAGCTCCTGGATATGCCAGCGTTCCTGGAAGACTCCTGGGTCCTGACGAAAGACAAGTTGATGAGTGAGTTGGTCGCCATTAAAGTGAGGCTCCCGGCCCGGAGCAGCGCAGAGACCAGGACGCGCAGCCTCGCCTGCAGCACTCGGCCCTACCTCTACCCCGCCGCTACCTCTACCCCGCCGCGGCGCCGACAGCGAGGGCCCCGCCTCCCCCAGCTGGCTCCAGAGCCAAGCCACCCACAGCAGGAAAGCCACGAAGAAAACAGTTCAACTCAGACCAAAAGATAAAGCTGATCTCGAGGTAACCGCGCTCACTAATGAAGATCTCGTGGACCCGCTTGCGAGGTATAAAGAGAAACCTAGTCCTACTGGAGAACAACCAGGAAGCGATGTGAGAAAAAAACCTTGAAACCGAAGGAACGAGGACGATCTGTCGCCCAGGCTGGCGTGCAGTGGCGCGATCTCGGCTCTCGGCTCACTGCGGCCTCCGCCTCCCGGGTTCAAGAGATTCTCGTGCCTCAGACTCCTGAGTGGCTAGAACCACAGGCATGCGCCACCTCGCCTGGCTACATTTTTTTTTTTTTTTTTTTTTTTTTTTTTGTATTTTTGGTAGGGACGGGCTTTCCCCGTGTTGTCCAGGCTGGTCTCCAACTCCTGAGCTCAAGGGATCTGCCCATCTCGGCGGATTAACAATTTAATCTTCAGCAGAAAATGGAAGGCAGAATTGAAATAAAGGTTCTAATAGATACTGTGACAATGAAGAAGACTAAAGTAAAGATCAAGCTTGAGAAGACAGAACCACTAAAGGGCAGAGCAAAGACTCCAGTAACACTGAAGAAAAGAAGACTTGAGATAGTCAGAGCTATTCTCACGCTGGAATAACTGAGGCTGAACGCACAAGTGGAGCTTCAGAAGGCGGAGCTCTGCAGGCCTGGAGTAGGGAGTCTACCAGAGACCGGAGGAGAAGGCCAAGGAAGAGGGTGGAAACCAGAACATTTTCCAATAGACAGTGCAGTAATTTCAGAGAGTGCTCCCACAGCTGAAACTCTAATGGCTTCAGGACACAAAACCTTCGTTGTCAGTAGGATGACTGGAAATTTCAAGCATGCAGCTCCTATTCTGCAACTCAGTAAATTTTCAAACATACCCCAAACTCCAAAGAGACCACTGGGGTTGGGGGGGAACAGAATAAAGAAGAGTAGAAAGGGATATTCTTAAGGAAATGTTGCCCTATGAAGCATCTACACCAACAGGAATTGCTGCAGACCAGTCAAAGGGGCTACAGGCAGGCCATTAGAACTCACTGAGTTCAGGATGGCAGAATCTTTTTCATCTAAATATGTTCCTAAGTGTGTTCCCTTGGCAGATGTCAAGTCAGAAAAGACAAAAAAAGAATGAGCCATTTCTGTATGGACAAAAATTTTGCTGTTTGTTGTTGTAGTAGGTTTTGTTTGTTTGTTTTTTGGTCTATCAAGCTATAGAAACCAAACAAGGAAATCTTTTCTCTAACGTTCTTCCTGATGACTCTAGAAACCCAACTGAATGGAATCCATCTGGCACATTCAAGTTGGTCTCCTATTTTTAATAACTGTATTGAAAAACACTTGTGTACCCTTGTTGACTTAAATAGCTAAAAAAAAAAAACAGGTGATTTCACCTCAATAAATGTAGTATTCCATGAAAAGCAAACAAAATATATATAAATGAACTTCATTAGAGTGTTTTTGAACTCTGGACTAGCAGGAGATCACTTCATGCCATATGAAAATCTTTTATAGCTCTGAAACTTTTTTGTAGGCTTTTTAAAATTTTTTCTTCTCATTGTCCAAACCCATGCAGGGTTTCTTTAAAATGTGGACACCTGGTTTCCTTTTTGAAAAATGAGATATATATATATATATATACACACACACACACATATATATACATATATACACATATATATACATATATACACACATATACATATATACACATATATACATATATACACATATATACATATATACATATATACACATATACATATATACACATATATACATATATATACATATATATACATATATACATATATATACGTATATATACGTATATATATGAAACAAGAAGGGAAAAACATGGTAATATAGTATGAAGTTACACATTTAAATACTTTGAATTCTTACAGAAAAGAGTGGAAGAATTATCTTCTACTGAATAAAAACTTTACAGACATGGAAGACAATGAAATTTGGTAAGAGAAAAAGTAACATGGTTGTACTTTTTGTAACTGCAACGAAATTTGATGGTGTTTATGAGGAAAACTACAGCAATAATCTCTTCTGTAACTTTTATTAATAGTAATGTTAGACTCAGAAATGGTGGCCTCCATGTTCTTCCGCCCGCTGTTGGTGGCCGCCACCCTTCGGACCACACTGCGGGCTGCTGCTCAGGTTCTGGGAAGTTCTGGATTGTTTAATAACCATGGACTCCAAGTACAGCAGCAACAGCAAAGGAATCTCTCACTACATGAATACATGAGTATGGAATTATTGCAAGAAACTGGTGTCTCTGTTCCCAAAGGATATGTGGCAAAGTGACCAGATGAAGCTTATGCAATTGCCAAAAAATTAGGTTCAAAAGATGTTGTGATGAAGGCACAGGTTTTAGCTGGTGGTAGAGGAAAAGGAACATTTGAAAGTGGCCTCAAAGGAGGAGTGAAGATGGTTTTCTCTCCAGAAGAAGCAAAAGCTGTTCCTTCACAAATGATTAGGAAACAGTTGTTTACCAAGCAAATGGGAGAAAAGGGCAGAATATGCAATCAGGTATTGGTCTGTGAGTGAAAATATCCCAAGAGAGAGTGCTACTTTGCAATAACAATGGAAAGGTCATTTCAAGGTCTTGTATTAATAGGAAGTTTACATAGTGGGGCCAACATTGAAGATGTTGCTGCTGAGACTCCTGAAGCAATAATTAAAGTACCTATTGATATTGTAGAAGGTATCAAAGAGGAATAAGCTCTCCAGCTTGCACAGAAGATGGGATTTCCATCTAATATTGTGGCTTCAGCAGCAGAAAACATGATCAAGCTTTACAGCCTTTTTCTGAAATACGATGCAACCATGATAGAAATAAATTCAATGGTGGAAGATTCAGATGGAGCTGCATTGTGTAAGGATGCAAAGATCAATTTTGACTCTAATTCAGCCTATCGCCAAAAGAAAATGTTTGATCTACAGGACTGGACCCAGGAAGATGAAAGGAACAAAGATGCTGCTAAGGCAGATCTCAACTACACTGGCCTCGATGGAAGTATAGGCTGCCTAGTAAATGGTGCTGGTTTGGCTATGGCCACAATGGATATAATAAAACTTCATGGAGAGACTCCAGCTAATTTCCTTGTTGGTGGTGGTGCTACAGTCCATCAAGTAACAGAAGCATTTAAGCCTATCACTTCAGATAAAAAGGTACTGGCTATTCTGGTCAACATTTGTGGAGGAATCATGCACTGTGATATTACAGCAAAGGGTATAGTCATGGCAGTAAAAAGTTTGGAAATTAAAATACCTGTTGTGGTACAGTTACAAGGTACACAAGTTGATGATGTTAAGGCACTAAAAGCAGACAGTGGACTTAAAATACTTGCTTGTGATGATTTGGTGGAAGCTGCTAGAGTGCTTGTAAAGCTCTCTGAAATAGTGAAGCAAAGCAAGCGCATGTGGATGTGAAATTTCAATTGCCAATATGATCTGAAAACCCAGTGATGGCTGAAGGTGTTAAATGTGCTACAATCATTAAGGATACTGTGTTCTGTGTTATTGTTCTTTTAAGTGTGTGGAGATTGTAGTTGCCATCTAGGCACACAAACATTTAAAAGCATTTGGTTTGCATTTAATTCTACCATTCAGAATGGACTGTTTGTAAGAAGCATGTATAATGCAAATATCTTCTTTATTTCGTCACAGCCAGTCTTTTTTGCTTCTACAAAATGCAACTTGCAATATGACAGTTTATTATTGTTGGATACAAAGTTCTTCATTGATAAGAGACCTACAAATAAAATAAATATGAAGATAAAGCTTTATTCTTCAGTGTTAACATACAGTATATCTAATAACTAGCCTCATTAGTAGACCAGTATATTAAAACACTGTTTTATGTAAAAAGTGTTTATCTTCAGCACCAAATACATAATAAATGTAACAATCACTATTTATAAACAGAGCTTTCAAACACTCCTCAGAAAATCAAAATACTTCTAAGTATTTTGATGAAGTAACTTTGTAATTATGTGAACATTGTTTTAATCATTAGGAAACGCTGATAACTGCAAGAATTCATGATTCCATGGTATTAAGAAGCACCTGTAGGTTTGTTTCAAATAGAGGCATATTAACCAAGGGAAAAAAATAGTAATGTTATTATTGTAGCCCTATCATATTCACTTTTTAAACGACTGGCTTTTAAAAGTATCATGAAAGTCCTACTTCAGTAAAACCCATTTAAGTACAGTTGATGTTTAGCAGGGATCTTTTAGTGCAGCATAAACATGCTTTAGAGAACTGTTGGCTGGCTGTACATGTTTTTAAAAGCTGTTAGCTAGCTATGAGGCTACAGCTGAAAATTACACTTTTTATGAGAAATTGTAAACACTGGTCTTATGTTTCATCTGGATTCCTTATTGCATCATCTTCTGTTAACAAAAACAAATTTTCCCAGTTTTTTTGCCTTGTATTTCCCAGCACAATTTCATTTAAAAGTACAAAAAGTGTTTGCTCTCAAATTGCATCATAAGCAAGTGTTAATACTCTGGGCTTTTTTATGTTTGTTTGTTTGTTTGTTTTTTGAGATGGAGTCTCGCTCTATTGCCCAGGCTGGAGTGCAGTGGTGCTATCTCGGCTCACTGCAAGCTCGGCCTCCCGGGTTCACGCCATTCTCCTGACTCAGCCTCCCAAGTAGCTGGGACTACAGGCGCCCACCACTACGCCCGGCTAATTTTTTGTATTTTTAGTAGAGACGGGGTTTCACCGTTTTAGCCGGGATGGTCTCGATCTCCTGACCTCGTGATCCGCCCGCCTCGGCCTCCCAAAGTGCTGGGATTACAGGCGTGAGCCACCGCGCCCGGCCTGAAGGACACCCTTAGAGAAGTGCAAAATACTATGGCAGGTTTCAACAATAGAATCAAACAACTAGAAGAAAGAACTTCAGAGCTCTAAGACAAGGCTTTCAAATTAACTCTGACAAAAACAAAGAAAAAAGAATCAAATGAACAAAGCCTCCAAGAAGTTTGGGATCATGTTAAATGACCAAACTTAAGAATAATTGATGTTCCTGAGGAAGAAGAGAAATCTGCAAGTTTGAAAATTTTATTTGAGGGAATAATTGAGGAAAACTTCCCTGGCCTTGCTACAGATTTGGACATTCAAATACAAGAAGCTCAAAGAACACCTGGGAAATTCATCTCAAAAAGATCATCACCTAGACACATAGTCATCAGGTTATCTAGGGTCAAGATGAAGGAAAGAATCTTAAGAGTTGTGAGGCAAAGGCATCAAGTAACCTGTAAAGGAAAACCTATCGGATTAACAGCAGATTTATCAGCAGAAACCCTACAAGCTAGAAGGGATTGGGGTCCAATCTTTAGACACTTAAACAAAATAATTATCAACCCAGAATTTTGTATCCAGTAAAAGTGATGAAGGAAAAGATAAAGTATTTTTCTTTTTTTTTTTTTTTGGGACGGAGTCTTGCTGTCACCCAGGCTGGGGTGCAGTGGCACAATCTCAGCTCACTGCAAGCTCCGCCTCCTGGGTTCATGCCATTCTCCTGCCTCAGCCTCCCAAGTAACTGGGACTGCAGGCGCCCACCACCACGCCCAGCTAATTTTTTGTATTTTTAGTAGAGATGGGGTTTCATCATGTTAGCCAGGATGCTCTCCATCTCCTGACCTCATGATCCGCCTGCCTCAGCCTCCCAAAGTGCTAGGATTACAGGCATGAGCCACTGTGCCCAGCGGAAAGATAAAGTATTTTTCATACAAACAAATGCTGAGAGAATTTGCCACTAACAAGCCAGCACTATAAGAACTACTAAAAGATGTTCTAAATCTTGAACCAAAATCTTGAAATATACCAAAATGTGACCTGCTTAAAGCATAAATCTCACAGGGCCTATAAAATAATCACACTACAAAAAAAAAAAAAAGGTATTTAGGCAACAACTAGCATAATGAATAGAATAGTACCTCACATCTCAATACTAACACTCAATGTAAATGGCCTAAATGCTCCACTTGAAAGATATGGAATTGCAAAATGGATAAGAATTCCCCAACTAAGTATTTGCTGTCTTCAAGAGACTCACCTAACACATAAGGACACATACAAACTTAAGATAAAGTGATGGAAAAAGATGTTCCATGCAAATGGGCACCAAAAGCAAACAGGAGTAGCTATTCTTCTATCAGAAAAAATAGACTTTAAAGCAACAACAGTTTAAAAAGACAAAGAGGGACATTATATAATGACAAAAGGACTAGTCTGACAGGAAAATATCACAATCCTAAATATATGTGCACCTAATACTGGAGCTCCTAAATTTATAAAACAATTACTACTAGACTTAAGAAATGAGATAGATGGCAACACAACAATAGTGGGGGATGTTAATACTCTACTGACAGCACTAGACAGGTCATCAAGATAGAAAGTCAACAAAGAAACAATGGACTTAAACTCTACCCTAGAACAAATGGATTTAACAGATATTTATAGAACACTCCACCCAACAACTGCAGAATGTACATTCTATTCATTAGCACATGGAACATTCTCCAAGATAAATCATATGATAGGCCACAAAACAAGTCTTAACAAATTTGAGAAAATTGAAATTATGTCAGGTACTCTCTCAGACCACAGTGGAATAAAATTGGAAATCAACACCAAAAGGAGCCCTCAAAACCATGCACATACGTGGAAATTAAGTAACCTGCTCCTGAATGATCAATGGATCAACAATACAATCAAGATGGAAATACAAAAATTCTTTGAACTGGCCTGTGTGGTGGCTCAATCCTGTAATCCCCACACTTTGGGAGGCCAAGGTGGGTGGATCACCTGAGGTCAGGGATTTGAGAGCAGCCTGACTGATATGGTGAAACCTTGTCTATACTAAAAATACAAAAATTAGCTTGGTGTGGTGGTGGGTACCTGTAGTCCCAGCTACTCAGGAGGCTGAGACAGGAGAATTGCTTTGCTTGAACCCGGGAGGTAGAGATTGCAGTGAGGCGAGATGGTGCCACTGCACTCTAGCCTGGGTGACAGAGCAAGACTCTGTCTCCAAAAAAAAAAAAAAAAAAATTCCTTGAATTGAATGATTATAGTGACCGAACCTATCAAAACCTCTGGGATACAGAAAAAGCAGTGCTAAGAGGAAAGTTCATAGCATTAAATGCCTACATCAAAAAGTCTGAAAGAGCACAAATAAACAATCTAGGGTCGCACCTCCAGGAACTAGAGAAACAAGAACAAACCAAACCCAAATGAGCAGAAGAAAAAAAAATAACCTAGATCGGAGCAAAACTAAATGAAATTGAAACAAAAAATTACAAAAGATAAATGAAACAAAAAGCTGGTTGTTTGAAAAGATAAATCAAATTGATAGACAATTAGTAAGATTAACCAAGAAAAGAAGGAAGAAGATTCAAATAAGCTCAATTAGAAACAAAACAGAAGATATTACAACCAATACCACAGAAATACAAAAGATCATTCAAGGCTACTATGAACACCTTTATGCACATAAACTAGAAAACCTAGAGGACATGGATAAATTCCTGAAAATATACAACCCTCCTAGATTAAACCAGGAAGAAATGGAAACCCTGAACAGGCCAATAACAAGCAGTGAGATTGAAATGGTAATTTAGGCTCTACCTCTCCCCCTCCCCCTCCCCCTCCCCCTCCCTCTCCCTCTCCCCACAGTCTCCCTCTCCCTCTCTTTCCACGGTCTCCCTCTGATGCCGAGCCGAAGCTGGACTGTACTGCTGCCATCTCGGCTCACTGCAACCTCCCTGCCTGATTCTCCTGCCTCAGCCTGCCGAGTGCCTGCAATTGCAGGCGCGCGCCGCCACGCCTGACTAGTTTTCGTATTTTTTTGGTGGAGACGGGGTTTCGCTGTGTTGGCCGGGCTGGTCTCCAGCTCCTAACCGCGAGTGATCTGCCAGCCTCGGCCTCCCAAGGTGCCAGGATTGCAGACAGAGTCTCGTTCACTCAGTGCTCAATGGTGCCCAGGCTGGAGTGCAGTGGCGTGATCTCGGCTCGCTACAACCTCCACCTCCCAGCCGCCTGCCCTGGCCTCCCAAAGTGCTGAGATTGCAGCCTCTGCCCGGCCGCCACCCCATCTGGGAAGTGAGGAGTGTCTCTGCCTGGCCGTCCATCGTCTGGGATGTGAGGAGCCCCTCTGCCTGGCTGCCCAGTCTGGAAAGTGAGGAGCGTCTCTGCCCGGCCGCCATCCCATCTAGGAAGCGAGGAGCGCCTCTTCCCGGCCTCCATCCCCATCTAGGAAGTGAGGAGCGTCTCTGCCCGGCTGCCCATCGTCTGAGATGTGGGGAGCACCTCTGCCCCGCCGCCCCGTCTGGGATGTGAGGAGCGCCTCTGCCCTGCCGCGACCCCGTCTGGGAGGTGAGGAGCGTCTCTGCCCGGCCGCCCCGTCTGAGAAGTGAGGAGACCCTCTGCCTGGCAGCCGCCCCGTCTGGGAAGTGAGGAGCGTCTCCGCCCGGCAGCCACCCTGTCTGGGAGGGAGGTGGGGGTCAGCCCCCGCCAAGCCAGCCGCCCCATCCAGGAGGGAGGTGGGGGTGTCAGCCCCCCGCCCGGCCAGCCGCCCCCTCCGGGAGGGAGGTGAGGGGCTCCTCTGCCTGGCCGCCCCTAATGGGAAGTGAGGAGTCCCTCTGCCCGGCCACCACCCCGTCTGGGAGGTGTACCCAACAGCTCATTGAGAACGGGCCAGGATGACAATCGCGGTTTTGTGGAATAGAAAGAGGGGAAAGGTGGGGAAAAGATTGAGAAATCGGATGGTTGCCGTGTCTGTGTAGAAAGAAGTAGACATGGGAGACTTTTCATTTTGTTCTGTACTAAGAAAAATTCTTCTGCCTTGGGATCCTGTTGATCTGTGACCTTACCCCCAACCCTGTGCTCTCTGAAACATGTGCTGTGTCCACTCAGGGTTAAATGGATTAAGGGTGGTGCAAGATGTGCTTTGTTAAACAGATGCTTGAAGGCAGCATGCTCGTTAAGAGTCATCACCACTCCCTAATCTCAAGTACCCAGGGACACAAACACTGCGGAAGGCCGCAGAGTCCTCTGCCTAGGAAAACCAGAGACCTTTGTTCACTTGTTTATCTGCTGACCTTCCCTCCACTATTGTCCTATGACCCTGCCAAATCCCCCTCTGTGAGAAACACCCAAGAATGATCAATTAAAAAAAAAAAAAAAATGGTAATTTAAAAAATTACCGGCCGGGCGCAGTGGCTCACGCCTGTAGTCCCAGCACTTTGGGAGGCCTAGGCGGGCAGATCACCTGAGGTCGGGAGTTTGAGACCAGCCTGACCAACATGGAGAAACTCCGTCTCTTCTAAAAATACAAAAAAATTAGCCAGGGGTGGTGGTACATGCCTGGAATCCCAGCTACTCGGGAGGCTGAGGCAGGAGAATCACTTGAACCCAGGAAGTGGAGGTTGCAGTGAGCAGAGACCGTGCTATTGCACTCCAGCCTGGGCGACAAGAGTGAAACTCCACCTCAAAGAAAAAAAAAAAGGTACCAACAACAAAAAAAAGCCCAGAACCAGATGGATGCACAGCGGAATTCTATCAGACATTCAAAAAATGGTACCTATACCACTGACACTATTCCAAAAGGTAGAGAAAGAGGGAATCCCCTCTAAATCATTCTATGAAACCAGTATCACCCTAATACCAAAACCAGGAGAGGACATAACAAAAAAAAAACAAAACTACAGGCCAATATACCTAATGAGCATAGATGCAAAAATCCTCAAAACATACTAGTGGCCGGGTGTGGTGGCTCACACCTGTAATCCCAGCACTTTGGGAGGCCAAGGTGGGCTGATCACTTGAGGCCAGGAGTTCAAGACCAGCCTGACCAACATGGAGAAACCCCATCTCTACTAAAAATACAAAATTAGCTGGGCGTAGTGGTGCATGCCTGTAGTCCCAGCTACTTGGGAGGCTGAGGCAGGAGAATCGCTTGAGCCCAAGAGGCGGAGGTTGGGGTGAGCCGAGATCTCGCCATTGCATTCCAGCCTGGGCAACAAGAGCGAAACTCCGTCTGGAAAAAAAAAAAAATGCTAGCTAACAGAATCCAACAGCATATCAAAACAATAATCCACCATGATCAAGTGGGTTTCCTACCAGATATGCAAGGATGGTTTAACATATGAAAGTCAATAAATGTAATACACCACATAAACAGAATTAAAAACAAAAATCACATGATCATCTCAATAGATGCAGAAAAATCATTTCACAAAATCCAGCATCCCTTTATGATTAAAACCCTCAGCAGGGTTGGGCATGGTGGCTAACGCCTTTAATCCCAGCACTTTGGAAGACTGAGGGGGGTGGATCACGAGGTCAGGAGATCAAGACCATACTGGCTAACGTGGTGAAACCCCGTCTCTACAAAAAAAATACAAAAAATTAGCCGGGCGTGGTGGTGGGCGCCTCTAGTCTCAGCTACTTGGGAGGCTGAGGCAGGAGAATGGCGTGAACCCAGGAGGCGGGTGAGCGGAGATCGTGCCACTGCATCCAGCCTGGGCCACAGAGCGAGACTCCATCTCAAAAAAAAAAAAAAAAAAAACCCTCAGCAAAATCAGCATAGAAGGGACATACCTTAAGGAAATAAAAGGCATCTATGACAAACCCAGAGCCAACATTATACTGAACGGGGGAAAGTTGAAACCATTCCCGCTGAGAACTGGGACAAGTCAAGGATTCCCACTTTCACCACTTCTATTCAACATAGTACTGGAAGTCCTAACCAGAGCAATCAGACAAGAGAAAGAAATAAAGTGCATCTAAATTGGTCATAAGGAAGTCAAACTGTCGTTGTTTGCTGATGACATGATTGTATACCTAGAAAACCCTAAGGACTCATCCAAAAGTCTCCTAGAATGGGTGAACAAATTCAGCAGTTTCACGATACAAAATTATTGTACAAAATCAGTACCTCTGCTATACACCAACAGCCACCAAGCTGAGAATCAAATCAAGAACTCAACCCCTTTTACTTTAGCTGTGACAAAAATAAAGTACCTAGGAATATACTTAACCAAGGAGGTGAAAGATCTCTACAAGGAAAACTACAAAACACTGCTGAAAGTAATCACAGATGACACAGACAAATGGAAACACATCCCATGCTCATGAATGGGTTGAATCAATATTGTGAAAATGACCATACTGCCAAAAAAAAACTACAAATTCAATGCAATTTTCATCAAAATACCATCATCATTCTTCACAGAACTAGAAAAAATAATCCTAAAATTCATATGGAACAAAAAAAGACCCTGCATAGCCAAAGTAAGACTAACCAAAAAGAACAAATCTGGAGGCATTACATTACCCAACTTCAAACTATACTATAAGGCTGCAGTCACCAAAACAGCATGGTACTGGTATAAAAATAGGCCTATAGACCAATGGAACAGAATAGAGGACCCAGAAATAAAACCAAGTACTTATAGTCAACCGAACTTCAACAAAGCAAACAAAAACATAAACTGGGGAGAGGACACCGTATTCAACAAATGGTCCTGGGTTAATTGGCAGGCCATATATAGAAGAATGAAACCGGATTCTCTTCTCTCATCCTATACAAAAATCAACTCAAGGTGGATCAAAGACTTAAATCTAAGACATGAAACCATAAAAATTTTAAAAGACAACATAAAAAAATAACCTTCTAGACATTGCCTTAGGCAAAGACTTCATGACCAGGAACCCAAAAGCAAATGCAACAAAAACAAAGATAAATAGATGGGATTTAATTAGACTAAAAGCCTCTGCACAGCAAAGAAACAATCAGCAGGGTAAACAGACAACACACAGAGTGAAAGAAAATCTTTGATCTACACATCCGACAAAGGACTAATATCCAAAATCTACAAAGAATTCAAACAAATCAGAAAGAACAAAACAAACAATCCCATCAAAAAACGCACTAAGGACATGAATAGAAAATTCTCAAAAGAAATATACAAATAGCCAACAAACATATGAAAAAAATGCCCAACATCACTAATGATCAGGGAAAGGCAAATCAAAACCACAATGCAATAACACCTCACTCCTGCAAGAATGACCATAATCAAAATACCAAAAAAAAAATAGATGTTGGCATGGATGTGACGAAAAGGGAACACTTTTACACTGCTGGTGGGAATGTAAACTAGTACAACAATTACGGAAAACAGTATGGAGAATCCTTAAATAACTAAAAGTAGATCTACTGTTTGATCCATCAATCCCACCATTGGATATCTACCCAGAGGAAAAGAAGTCATTATACAAAGAAGATGCCTGCATATACATGTTAATAACAGCACAATTTGCAATTGCAAAAATATGGAACCAGCCCAAATGCCCATAAATCATCGAAAGGATAAAGAAAATGATGTATATGTATACCGTGGAATACTATTGAGCCATAAAAAGGAATGAAATAATGGCATTCGCAGCAACCTGGATGGAAATGGAGACCATTATTCTAAGTGAAGTAACTCAGGAATGGAAAACCAAACATGGTATGTCCTCACTCATAAATGGTAGCTAAGCTATGAGGATGCAAAGGCATAAGAATGATAAAATGGACTTTGAGGACTCAGGGGAAGAGGGGTAGGGAGGTGAGAGATAAAAGACTACACATTGGGTACTTTGTATGCTGCTCAAGTGATGGGTGCACCAAAATCTCAGAAATCAACACTGAAGAACTTATTCATGTAACCAAACACCACCTGTTCTCCCAAAAACCTATTGAAATAAAAAAAAATAAAAAACAAAACAACCCCACCCCCAAAAAAAGAAATAAAGAAGACATAAATAAGGGCGGAGAAATACTATGTTCAAAGATTGGAATATTCAGTATTGTTGAGGTACCAAGTCTCCCACAACTGACCTGTGGATTAAGTGCAATTCCAATCAAAATCATGGCAGGGCTGAACCTAAAAGTTTAAAAAAATAAAAAATAAAAATAAATCCTGGCAGGTTTTTTTTAAAAAGAAATTACCAAGCTGATTTGTCAATTTATATGGAAATCTGAAGGACTTTGAATATCCACAATAATTTTTAAAAAGAAGAAACTTGGAAAATACACACTACCTGATTACAAGACTTACTATAAAGCTCCAGGAATCAAGGTTGTGTTACTGGCATAAGGATAGCCATGAATCGGTGGAATAGAATAAAGAGTAGATGAATAAAACCACACATATATGTCTCTGAAAAATGCTTTAAGGGGAAAGGATAGTGTTTTCAACAAATGGTGCTGGAAAAAAAAATGACAAGAAATAAGAGGAACACCATATCCAAAAACTCATTTGATATAAATCATAGATATAAACATAAGAGCTAAAGTTGCCAGCCTTCTAAAACAGTGCTACGCAATAGGCTATAATATGAGTCACAAATGTGAGCCACATCGGTAATCTTTAATTTTCTGGTAGCCACATTTTAAAAAGTAAAAAGTAATCAATGAAATTATTTTTAACAATGTTTTATTTAACCCAATACATCCAAAATATAATTTTAGCATGGAATCAGTATAAAAGATTATTGGCATATTTAACATTTTTTTCTCATACTTAGTCTTTCTTGAAATTATTCCTTAGAGCCTCCAGGGCTTAGAAATTCCTTAATTTTACATCCTGCCATGTCAAGATTTCTTCCAGTTCCGGGGATTCTAGGATTTGCAGAAGACATCAGTACCACTTACATTTCCAACTCTGGGTCCCGGAAAGAAAGAGTACAGAGACACAGTCGAGGCTGGCACCCACCTTAGCCTCCTCCTCTCCCAGCCTTCCTCCACACACCAGGCAACTCACCCTGCCGGCAAGCTCGGGGTTTCATGAAGTGCCAGGCACTGGTGGGAAGTGGTCAGGAGATAACACAAACCCTGATCTCCGCAACCAGCCTCAGGAAGTCCTTCTGAAACCTACCCAGCCCCATTCCTGCCGCAGCCTGGGTGCTTTCCCCGGCGGAGCCACACGTCTGCAGAGGGTGATTCTAGAACACCCTTCCTCCCAATAACCCAGGGCTTCCTCCTTCATCTGCTTCAGGACTCAGCTCGCATGGCACCTCTCGGGAAATCTCACTCTCATGATAATAACTTCAAATTGCACCTGGCTCCTTTCATCTTCCGTGCCTTGCTTTTCTCTTAATCATCCTTTATTTTCGGACACCCCTGTAGTTGACTTCAGTGACTTTTTATTGGCCACGTCTTTCAACCGAAGGTAAATTCCTTGAGAGCCATGATTTGTGCCTGTTTGGATTTGACCCAAGCGCCTAGAATAGCGCCTGACGAAAAGTAGATGCTCAACCAACAGTTAGGGGCTGAATAAATCTAGAGACCAGAACCTCTTAAAGTTGAGTCTGGGGCTGACAGGTCGGTATTTTCCCAATATATGATTTTTGAGGTCCACAGGGGAGCGGTGGGGAGAGGCTTACCCAGGGTGGTGAGCGCAGCCTCAGTGGCAGAAATCCCCGTGCGCCCCCTCCTGCCGCAGAGGAAGACAGACCCCTACGGAGCCTCCAGGGCGCAGTCTCCAGGGCGGAGTCCCGGGGCGCTTCGGGCAGGGAGTCTGGGCCAAAGCGCCAAAATCCGCCGCTGTCGCTCAGCTGCAGCACGTTTCGCGCTGGGGAGCCTCTCCTGGTGGGCGACCGTCATGGACAATCGACAAGACCAGAAATTAGATTTGAGTCCAGAATCAAGGACCTTTAAGCAGGGATTGGAGATGGCAGGGGGCCAGGATTAAGGGATATAGACAGCAGGTCCTGTCTGCTTAGGTTGCAAATGGGAAGAAGAGGCCGGATGCCAGGGTCCTGGACTCTCAGGGTTCGGGTGGGGCCAGAATCCTGGACTCTCAAGGCTGGGGAGGGGCCGCCCTCCAGGATCCAATAGGGTATAGGTTCAGATGCCTGGGTCCTGGAGGTCCGGGTAGTGGCGGAGGAACCGCCCTCGGGTTCCCGATGGATTGGGGACAAATGCTCAGCCCAGTCTGATTCCAGAAATCCTTGTAACCCAATATAGTCTCCAGCTCCGATGCCATGTCCTTCCCGGGTCCCAACGTGCTGGGGCTGGAGACTCATCTAGGGGATTCCGGGGAGGAGGGATCTTCCTCTCTGGAAGCAGCAGAACAAATTTCAGGGACTCAGGAGTCCAAGGCCTCATTCCAAAAACACTGAGAGGCTGCGTACTGGGAGCACAGTATGTCTGTGGGGTCCACCCAGACCTGGGAACCAGGTCTTAGGGCCTGCAGACCTCCCTCTGCCTTGAGGTCAGAGTCCACTGCCACTAACTGGGAGGAAACACCTGTCGCGGGACGGGGTCGCCCGCATGTGCACAGAGCCCTGTTCTGCCGAGATCCGAAGGGGAACCTGGGGAGGTCCCAGATGGGGAAGGGACAGGAGAGCTGGGTGTCTCTCCTCAGTCCTTCGGCCACACGGGGCCGCTGCCGCTCTACGCTTGGGTTCTGATGAGCTGCTCTGGAGAGGACGGGGCGGTGGTCTGAGTAAGACACAGATTGTTGATCCAGAAAGGATGTATCAATGAGGTGGGGCTGGGGTTGTCCAGGGGGTGGAAAGGCCTTCTGAGAAGCCCTGGACTGCGCGGGGTTCCGGCTCTGCGGAACAGAGGAGGGCTCTGGAGCTGCCTGTCTCTGAGGTTTCCAACTCCTCCTTGCAAACCCTCCCTCCAGCCTTTTCATGGCAACACTCCAGGAAAATGGAAAGTTGATCATTTTTTTCTTCCACTCCTTAATCCTTTCCTGACTGCTACTTTTAGATAATTTTATTTTAGAAGAGTTTTAAATTTACATAAAAGTTGCAATGGTAGTACAGAGTTGCCATCCGCTCCACAGTCAGTTTCCCCTGATGTTAACATCTCTCATTACTATGGTCCATTTGTCACAGCTAATGAAGCCATTTTCATACCTTATTATTACTAAACTGCAGACTTTATTTGGAGTTCATTAGCGTTCCCCTAATGTCCTTTCTGTGTTTCAGGATTCCATGGAGAATATCACACTACATTTAGTCTCTGTCGTGCCTCCACGGCATCCTCTGGTCTGTGACAATTCCTGAGATTTTCCTAATTTTTGATGCCTTTCACAATATCGGGAAGTACTGACCAGATATATTGTAAAATATCCCTCAAACTGAATTTAGTTGGGGTGTAGATCATGGTTAGACTATGGTTATGGATGTTTAGATGAGGTGAAGTGCTGTTCTCCAAACACATTATCAAGATTATATCAATTTGATGTACCACTGTTGATGTTGAAGTTGACCATCCATATTTTTACTTCCTGTAGCTGCCACAAAAATGCCCTCAAAGTTGGCAACTTACAACAACAGAAAATTATTCTTTCACAGTTCTGGAGGCCCAGGGCATTGGTCAGCGTTCTTTGGCTTGTAGCCCCATTGCTCCAGTCTCTGCCTCCTTCTTCACATTGCCTTCTCCTCTTCTGACTCTCTCTTCTGTGTACCTGTTAGGAAGACACTTTTCATTGGATTTAGGGCCCACCTAGGTCATCCAGGAGGATCTCCTCATTTCAATATCCTCAGCTTAATTACATCTGCAAAGACCCTTTTTTTCCAAACAACTTGAAATTCACAGCTTCTGGGGACTAGGACAGAAACATATCTTTGTGGGGACAACCATTCAACCCACTACATCTGGCTAAGCTAATATTTCCCAGAGTGGCAATCCACCAGTGCACCCCAGGTTACAATCCTCATTCTAATTCCCAAATAAACTCAACATATTTGGACATTTCTTTAATGTCTTTTTTTTTTTAGGTTGAAAAATCTGGTATCAGAAGTGATCCTGAAGAAAGATTACCTTTGGAAGAGACTTATGCTGAGTTCATTGCTTGATTTCTTGCCTCTGTTTCTGAACATCTTTTGAGAGCAAAATTTACTTTCTAAAAAGATGGGTATGTGTCGACCCTTTAAAAGCTGTTTGGGCTATTGTCGCCATTCAATGAGAAACTTCAGTCTCCCCAAAGAGAAATTATCTGTTGTCAGGATAAACTGGTACATGAATAAACAAAATTGCCATTAGGGGTCGCACCAGTCTCAAGAAAAATCTGGAGAAAATGGTCACAGGATGGACAATTAGATCACAGGCTGCCCACTAAGTAAAAACAAAAATCCTATACTAGGCACACTATTAAAAAACAAATCGCTCCAGCCTCTACCATTTCCTCACAGGGATTATGGAATTTTTCTTTTGCTGTCGAGAAATTAATAAGAGGCAGAACAGGATGCCAAAATTCCAAAGCATCCAATATAGGCCGTCTTCTGGGACTCCTGTCAGCTATATGGTCAAAATTTATGGTCGGTGGCTCATGCCTATAATCCCAGCACCTTGGGAGACCAAGGTGGAAGGATCACTTGAGCTCATGAGTTTGAAACCATCCTGGGCAACATAGCAAGAGCTCATCTCTATTTTTAAAAATTAAAATAAATAAGGAAAGAAAAAAAAATTAAGGTCCTCTCCTGTGTACGTTTTGAAATCAATGGGTAGAGTACGCCAAAGTTAATTTGGATCTTCAATGGCCATCCTTGGGGCCTTTTGAGTTCCCCAAACTTGTCTTCCTTAAAACAAAACTAGAAGACCATGGTCCTAAAATTAAACAATGTGAATGGGAGGCTTAGTTTACTTGGTACTTCAAAGTTTCATAATGCATTCGGGATTCAAACATTGCCTCCCTCTAAGATTCTATCACAAAATTAACTGAGACCAGCAAACAGTTAAGGAAGGACAACAAGGCTTTAGGGCCCCAGATTCTTTCCTCTCCAGAGGAGAGATTTCCTGTTCTCTTTCCTCTGTTCTTCTGTATCCACCTTTGGCTGAATTACCTTTCCCTCCAATTCCTCAGCTTCCACTACCCTTGAACCTGGACTGTTAAAACTTATCCCCTTAATGGCCGGGCACCATAGCTCACGCCTGTAATCCCAGCACTTTGGGAGGCTGAGGCAGGCAGATCACGAGGTCAGGAGATCGAGACCATCCTGGCTAACACGATGAAACCCCGTCTTTACTAAAAATACAAAAAATTAGCCGGGCGTGGTGGCAGGTGCCTGTGGTCCCAGCTACTCAGGAGGCTGAGGCAGGAGAATGGCGTCAACCAGGAGGTGGAGGTGGCAGTGAGCCGAGATCACGCCACTGCACTCCAGCCTGGGTGACAGAGCGAGACTCCGTCTCAAAAAAAAAAAAAAAAGAAAAGAAAAGAAAAGAAAAAAGAAGAAGATACTTGAACAAGCATATTGATAGCAGCACAATTGGTGATTGCAAAAATATGGAACCAGCCCAAATGCCCATCAATCAATGAATGGATAAAGAAAATGTAATTTTATATATATCTATATCTATATATATCTATATCTATATATAGATATATAGATATATAATGGAATACTACACAGTCATAAAAAGAAAGGAAATAATGGCATTCAAAGCAACCTGGATGGAGCTGGAGACCATTATTCTGAGTGAATTAACTCCGGAATGGAAAACCAAGCATTGTATGTTCTCACTTATAAATGGGAGCTAAGCTATGAGAACACAAAGGCTTAAGAATGATACAATGGACTTTGGGAACTGGCGGGGGAAGGGTGGGAGGGAGCTGAGGGATACAAGACTACACATTGTGTACAGTGTACACTAATCAGGTGCTGGATGCGCCAAAATCTTGGAAATCACCACTAAAGAACTTATCCATGTAAACAAACACCACCTGTTCCCCCAAAACTATTGAAATTTAAAAATGTTTTAAATAAATAAAATTTAAAAGGATTAAAAATGGATTATTTGCTTTCAAAAAAAAAGAAATCACCACTTGCACAGTTTTTATGTAATGTGAAATATGAATATCCACAATTACATGAAAAGCTGTTAAAAATAATCCTCCCAGTCCGGGCATGGTAGCTCACACATGTTGTTCCAGCTACTGGGAAGGCTGAGGTGAGAGAATCCCTTGAGCCCAGGAGTTCTAGGCTGCAGTGAGCTATTATGGTGCCACTGCACTCCAGCCTGGGTGACAGAGCGAGACCCTGTCTCTAAACAACAGCAATAATAATCCTTCCTTCCTGAGTCAGACGGGCATGGAGACGCTTCTGGAAGGAACACCGCAATGGCTGCGCAGGGACAGCCCCAGGTCCAGTTCAAACTTGTATTGGTTGGTGATGGTGGTACTGGAAAAACGACTTTCGTGAAACATCATTTGACTGGTGAATTTGAGAAGAAGTATGTAGCCACCTTGGGTGTTGAGGTTCATCCCCTAGTGTTCCATACCAACAGAGGACCTGTTAAGTTCAATGTATGGGACACAGCCGGCCTGGAGAAATTCAGTGGACTGAGAGATGGCTATTATATCCAAGCCCAGAGTACCATCATAGTGTTTGATGTAACATCGAGAGTTACTTACAAGAATGTGCCTAACTGGCATAGAGATCTGGTATGAGTGTGTGAAAACACCCCCACTGTGTTGAGTGGCAACAAAGTGGATATTAAGGACAGGAAAGTGAAGGCGAAATCCATTGTCTTCCACCGAAAGAAGAATCTTCAGTACTACGACATTTCTGCCAAAAGTAACTATAACTTTGAAAAGCCCTTCCTCTGGCTTGCTAGGAAGCTCATTGGAGACCCTAACTTGGAATTTGTTGCCATGCCTGCTCTCGCCCCACCAGAAGTTGTCATGGACCCAGCTTTGGCAGCACAGTATGAGCACGACTTAGAGGTTGCTCAGACAACTGCTCTCCCGGACGAGGATGATGACCTGTGAGAATGAAGCTGGAGCCCAGCGTCAGAAGTCTAGTTTTATAGGCAGCTGTCCTGTGATGTCAGTTGTGCAGCGTGTGTGCCACCTCATTATTATCTAGCTAAGCGGAACATGTGCTTCATCTGTGGGATGCTGAAGGAGATGAGTGGGCTTCGCAGTGAATGTGGCAGTTCAAAAAATACCTTCATTGTTTGGACCTGCATATTTAGCTGTTTTGGAACACAGTTGATTCCTTGAGTTTCAAATATAGACTGCTACAGTCACATCACAATATTCAGCGGTGAAATCTTGTTTGTTACTGTCATTCCCATTCCTTTTCGTTTAGAATCAGAATAAAGTTGTATTTCAAATATCTAAAAACAAAAAATCCTTCCTTTTTCAACTCAATATTTGTGTAAGGCTAGATTTTTTAACATATACACTTCAATCAAAGTAAGAAAATGGCTGGGATGCAGCTGGAGGCCATAATCCTAAGTGAATTAATGCAGGAACAGAAAACCAAATACTGCATCTTCTCACTTATAATTGGGAGCTAAACACTGAGCACACATAGACATAAACATGTGTATAACAGACACTGTAGACGACTAGAGTGGAGAGGGTGGGGACGTGGGTTGAAAAACTACCTGTGGGTACTATGTTCACTACCTGAGTGACAGGATCCATACCCCAAACCTCAGCATCAGACAACATACCCATGTAACAAACCGGCACATGTAACCCCTGTATCTATTTTTTTCTGGTTTTTTTTTTTTTTTTTTGAGACAATTTCACTCTTGTTGCTCAGGCTGGAGCGCAATGGCGTGATCTCGGCTCATCGCAACCTCTGCCTCCCGGGTTCAAGCGATTCTCCTGCCTCAGCCTCCTGAGTAGGTGGGATTACAGGTATGCGCCACCACCTCCAGCTAATTTTGTATTTTTAGTAGACATGGGGTTTCTCCATATTGATAAGGCTGGTCTCGAACTCCCGACTGGGATTACAGGCGTGAGCCACCGCGCCTGGCCACCCCCTGTATCTAAAATAAAAGTTAAAAATTTAAAAATAAGTACATAAGAGAATGTATGCTATGAGCCAAGAATGATGCTTGCAAAATTTTGCAAGAACAACACTTATGAAAATGAAAAATAATCACTCTTCTTGTTACCAAAAATCTTGGTAGCTGCAGAAGGTGGGATCTTTCCTCACTGGGAGTCGCAGAGCCAATACATGAAACCAAAAGTGAGCCTTAAGCAGAGCAAGCTTTATTTCCTGCACAGGACTTGTAAAGAGGAGAGCAGCTCTGCCAAGTCAACTTCTCCACTAGTGAGGCGGCTAGTGAGGGGTGAGGGGGCTAAAATGTAGGATTGCTCTAATGAAGGGGTTGGGCATTAAAAGTGAGGGGGAGGAATATTCATATGTTTTATGGGAACAGGCAGTGAACTTCTCCAAACTGGTAATACCGCTTTCCTTTTGGTCCTTTTAGGACTTCTTCTACTCATCGTCATGGAGATCGTCAACTGTCATGGCATGGATGGGAGCGCAATTTAGCCTGGAAACGGGATTACAATGAAGCATGAGGTCTTTTTGAAGTCATTTGGCCGGCTCTCTTGGTTGTAACGAGTCTCAGCTGGTTTGACTACAAAGGCAACTTCTTGAAGCAGATCCTGTTTTTTTGTTTTTGTTTTTGTTTTTTGTTTCTTGTTTTTTCCCCCTAGACATCTCACTCTGTCGCCCAGGCTGGAGTGCAGTGGTGTGATCTCGGCTCACTGCAACCACCACCTCTCGGGTTCAAGCAATTCTCCTATCTCAGCCTCCAGAGTTGCTGGAATTACAGGCGCGCACCACCACACCCGGCTAATTTTTGTATTGTTAGTAGAGACAGGGTTTCATCATGTTGGCCAGGTTAGTCTTGAACTCCTGACCTCGTGATCTGCCTGCCTCGGCCTACCAAAATGCTGCGATTACAGGCGTGAGCCACCGTTCCCGGCCTATACGTTGTTTATTTTGGAAAAATTAAAAATTAAGTTTTTTTTCATTAAAGATATGTTATTTCCGATCAAGAGATCAAGACCATCCTGGCCAACATGGTGAAACCCCGTCTCTACTAAAAACACAAAAATTAGCTGGGTGTGGTGGCACACGCCTGTAGTTCCAGTTACTGGGGAGGCTGAGGCAGGAGAATCGCTTGAACCCGGGAGAAGGAGGTTGCAGTGAGCCGAGATCATGCCACTGCACTCCAGCCTGGGGACAGAGCAAGACTCTGACTCAAAAAAAAAAAAAGTTGTTTCTATTAACATGTAATGGGTTATTAATATTCTCTTAAATGAATTAATATTTTTAATATTTTGTTTTAATATCTTTTAATTTATATATGATAAAAATTGATACAATCCACAGAAACAAAATTTATTTGGGTCCTCACTAATTTCTTTTTTCTTGTTGCCCAGGCTGGAGGGCAATGGCACGATCTTGGCTCACCGCAACCTCCTCCTCCTGGGTTCAAGTGATTCTCCTGCCTCAGCCTCCCAAGTAGCCAGGATTACAGCCATGCGCCACCACGCCGGCTAATTTTTTGGACTTTTAGTAGAGACAGGGTTTCTCCATATTGGTCGGGCTGGTCTCGAACTCCCAACCTCAGGTGATCAGCCCGCCTTGGCCTCCCAAAGTGCTGAGATTACAGGCGTGAGCCACCGCGCCCAGCCAGGACTAATTTCTAAGAGTGTGCAGAGATACCGAAACCTAAAAGTTTAAGAACTGCTGATTGCTGGGAAACTCTGCAGTTTCCCGTTCCTCTCGTAACCTGGTCATGTGTCCTTCTTCCTGGATACTCATGACGCAGACTCAGTTCTCATTCCCAATGGGTGTCGGGTTTCTAGAGAAGCCAATCAGCGTCGCCACGACTCCCGACTATAAAGTCCCCATCCGGACTCAAGAAGTTCTCAGGACTCAGAGGCTGGGATCATGGTAGATGGAACCCTCCTTTTACTCCTCTCGGAGGCCCTGGCCCTTACCCAGACCTGGGCGGGTGAGTGCGGGGTCGGGATGGAAACGGCCTCTACCGGGAGTAGAGAGGGGCCGGCCCGGCGGGGGCGAAGGACTCGGGGAGCCGCGCCGGGAGGAGGGTCGGGCCGATCTCAGCCCCTCCTCGCCCCCAGGCTCCCACTCCTTGAAGTATTTCCACACTTCCGTGTCCCGGCCCGGCCGCGGGGAGCCCCGCTTCATCTCTGTGGGCTACGTGGACGACACCCAGTTCGTGCGCTTCGACAACGACGCCGCGAGTCCGAGGATGGTGCCGCGGGCGCCGTGGATGGAGCAGGAGGGGTCAGAGTATTGGGACCGGGAGACACGGAGCGCCAGGGACACCGCACAGATTTTCCGAGTGAACCTGCGGACGCTGCGCGGCTACTACAATCAGAGCGAGGCCGGTGAGTGACCCCGGCCAGGGGAGCAGGTCACGACCCCTCCCCATCCCCCACGGACGGCGCGGGTCCCCTCGAATCTTCGGGTCCCAGATTCACCCCAAGGCTGCGGAACCCGCCCAGACCCTAGACCGGGGAGAGTCTCAGGCGCCTTTACCCGGTTCTTTTTCAGTTTAGGCCAAAATGCCCACAGGGTGGTGGCGACGGGGGCGGGGCTTGGTGGGCGGGACTGACTAAGGGGCGGGGCCAGGGTCTCACACCCTGCAGTGGATGCATGGCTGCGAGCTGGGGCCCGACAGGCGCTTCCTCCGCGGGTATGAACAGTTCGCCTACGACGGCAAGGATTATCTCACCCTGAATGAGGACCTGCGCTCCTGGACCGCGGTGGACACGGCGGCTCAGATCTCCGAGCAAAAGTCAAATGATGCCTCTGAGGCGGAGCACCAGAGAGCCTACCTGGAAGACACATGCGTGGAGTGGCTCCACAAATACCTGGAGAAGGGGAAGGAGACGCTGCTTCACCTGGGTAAGAGGGTCCACAGGGCTACTCTCCCATCTCCTTCTTGGGCTAGGACTGTGCCCACAGCTGACAGACCTCAAACAGTAGAAGAAACAGGGATGGAGGCCAGAATACCACTCCTCCCTTGGATCAGGAGAGGGAGCTGTCACCTGAGGTACAGGAGATCCTATACCACAGAGTGACTCTCTTAAAGGGCCAGACCTCTCTCAGGGGCAATTAAGGAATCTAGTCTCGCTGGAGATTCCATCCTTCAGATGAACTGATGAGCAGTTCTCTTTGACTCCCAGTATTAGGAATCACGGGGGAGTTTCTCTCGTGCCTGATTCTCAGCCCCACACCAAGAGTTTTTGGAGGTCTGACTCCAGCTTTTCTCAGTCACTCAGCATCCACACAGGCCAGGACCAGAAATCCCTTTTCACCTTCTACCCTGGGCTAGCTCATCCCGATTCTAGAACTTTCCAAGGAATAAGAGGCTATCCCAGATCCCTAAGTCCAGGCTGGTGTCAAGGTTTTGTCCTCTTCTCCTACTATAATTGTCCTCTTCCTTCTCAGGATGGTCACATGGGTGCTGCTGGAGTGTCCCATGAGAGATACAAAGTGCCTGAATTTTCTGACTCTTCCCCTCAGAGCCCCCAAAGACACACGTGACTCACCACCCCATCTCTGACCATGAGGCCACCCTGAGGTGCTGGGCCCTGGGCTTCTACCCTGCGGAGATCACACTGACCTGGCAGCAGGATGGGGAGGGCCATACCCAGGACACGGAGCTCGTGGAGACCAGGCCTGCAGGGGATGGAACCTTCCAGAAGTGGGCAGCTGTGGTGGTGCCTTCTGGAGAGGAGCAGAGATACACGTGCCATGTGCAGCATGAGGGGCTACCCGAGCCCGTCACCCTGAGATGGAGTAAGGAGGGGGATGGGAGGTCATGTCTCTTCTCAGGGAAAGCGGGAGCCCTTCTGGAGCCCTTCCGCAGGGTCAGGGCTGAGGCCTGGGGGTCAGGGCCCCTTACGTTCCCCTCTTTTCCCAGAGCCGGCTTCCCAGCCCACCATCCCCATCGTGGGCATCATTGCTGGCCTGGTTCTCCTTGGATCTGTGGTCTCTGGAGCTGTGGTTGCTGCTGTGATATGGAGGAAGAAGAGCTCAGGTGGGGAAGGGAGAAGGGTGGGGTCTGAGTTTTCTTGTCCCACTGGGTGTTTCAAGCCCTAGGTAAAAGTGTGTCCTGCCTCGTTACTGGGAAGCACCATCCACACACACGAGCCTACCCAGCCTGGGGCCCTGTGTGCCAGCACCTACTCTTTTTTTTTGAGACGGAGTCTTGGCTCTGTCACCCAGGCTGGAGTGCAATGGCGTGGTTTCAGCTCACTGCAACCTCCGCCTCCCAGGTTCAAGCAATTCTCCTGCCTCAGCCTCCCTAGTAGCTGGGACTACACATGCGTGCCACCACACCTGGCTAATTTTTTTTTTTGTATTTTTAGTGGAGATGGGGTTTCACTATGTTGGCCAGGCTGGTCTCGAACTCCTGACTTTGTGATCTGCCTGCCTCGGCCTCCCAAAGTGCTGGGATTACAGTCGTGAGCCACCGCACCCAGCCGCACCTACTCTTTTGTAAAGCACCTGTGACAATGAAGGACAGATTTATCACCTTGACGATTGTGGTGATGGGGACCTGATCCCAGCAGTCACAGGTCACAGGGGAAGGTCCCTGCTGAAGACAGACCTCAGAAGGGCAGTTGATCCAGGACCCACACCTGCTTTCTTCACGTTTCCTGATCCTGCCCTGGGTCTGCAGTCACAGTTCAGGAAACTTCTCTGGGATCCAAAACTAGGAGGTTCCTCTAGGACCTTATGGCCCTGCCTCCTCCCTGGCCCCTCACAGGACATTTTCTTCCAACAGGTGGAAAAGGAGGGAGCTACTCTAAGGCTGAGTGTAAGTGCGGGGCGGGAGCGTGGAGGAGCTCGCCCACCCTATAATTCCTCCTGCACCACATCTCCTGTGGGCTCTGACCAGGTCTTGTTTTTGTTCTACCCCAGGGAGCGACAGTGCCCAGGGGTCTGAGTCTCACAGCTTGTAAAGGTGAGATTCTGGGGGTCTGAAGTGGGTGGAGGGTGGGGCAGAGGGGACAGGACTGGGTTGTGGGGATTTTTTGATTCAGAATTTTTGAGTGTGTGGTGGGCTGTTCAGAGTGTCATCACTTACCGTGACTGACCTGAATTTGTTCATGACTATTTTCTTCTGTAGCCTGAGACAGCTGCCTTGTGTGCGACTGAGATGCACAGCTGCCTTGTGTGCGACTGAGATGCAGGATTTCCTCACGCCTCCCCTATGTGTCTTAGGGGACTCTGGCTTCTCTTTTTGCAAGGGCCTCTGAATCTGTCTGTGTCCCTGTTAGCACAATGTGAGGAGGTAGAGAAACAGTCCACCTCTGTGTCTACCATGACCCCCTTCCTCACACTGACCTGTGTTCCTTCCCTGTTCTCTTTTCTATTAAAAATAAGAACCTGGGCAGAGTGCGGCAGCTCATGCCTGTAATCCCAGCACTTAGGGAGGCCGAGGAGGGCAGATCACGAGGTCAGGAGATCGAAACCATCCTGGCTAACACGGTGAAACCCCGTCTCTACTAAAAAATACAAAAAATTAGCTGGGCGCAGAGGCACGGGCCTGTAGTCCCAGCTACTCAGGAGGCGGAGGCAGGAGAATGGCGTCAACCCGGGAGGCGGAGGTTGCAGTGAGCCAGGATTGTGCGACTGCACTCCAGCCTGGGTGACAGGGTGAAACGCCATCTCAAAAAATAAAAATTAAAAAATAAAAAAAGAACCTGGATCTCAATTTAATTTTTCATATTCTTGCAATGAAATGGACTTGAGGAAGCTAAGATCATAGCTAGAAATACAGATAATTCCACAGCACATCTCTAGCAAATTTAGCCTATTCCTATTCTCTAGCCTATTCCTTACCACCTGTAATCTTGACCATATACCTTGGAGTTGAATATTGTTTTCATACTGCTGTGGTTTGAATGTTCCCTCCAACACTCATGTTGAGACTTAATCCCTAATGTGGCAATACTGAAAGGTGGGGCCTTTGAGATGTGATTGGATCGTAAGGCTGTGCCTTCATTCATGGGTTAATGGATTAATGGGTTATCACAGGAATGGGACTGGTGGCTTTATAAGAAGAGGAAAAGAGAACTGAGCTAGCATGCCCAGCCCACAGAGAGCCTCCACTAGAGTGATGCTAAGTGGAAATGTGAGGTGCAGCTGCCACAGAGGGCCCCCACCAGGGAAATGTCTAGTGTCTAGTGGATCCAGGCCACAGGAGAGAGTGCCTTGTGGAGCGCTGGGAGCAGGACCTGACCACCACCAGGACCCCAGAACTGTGGAGTCAGTGGCAGCATGCAGCGCCCCCTTGGGAAAGCTTTAGGCACCAGCCTGCAACCCATTCGAGCAGCCACGTAGGCTGCACCCAGCAAAGCCACAGGCACGGGGCTACCTGAGGCCTTGGGGGCCCAATCCCTGCTCCAGTGTGTCCGTGAGGCAGCACACGAAGTCAAAAGAGATTATTCTCTTCCCACAGATACCTTTTCTCTCCCATGACCCTTTAACAGCATCTGCTTCATTCCCCTCACCTTCCCAGGCTGATCTGAGGTAAACTTTGAAGTAAAATAAAAGCTGTGTTTGAGCATCATTTGTATTTCATTTGTGCGTTTTGTGCCTTGTTGTTTTAATTTTTTAACCACATTCAAGCTATCCTTTGGCTTCCAATGCCATGGTCCACCCAGAACTGCATTCACTGGCCCGTGTTCTAGTTCTGGTCATGCCGACTTTCCCGTTTTCCTGGTGAATCCCTGTAATCACCTGAGTCTCATTCTGTCAGGTGATATCCAGTAAGAAGGCAACATGTGCGGTGAGAAAGCCCAGGGAGTCCTGGGTGTGAATTTTTACTTTGCCATTTCTTCCTGTGTGACACGCGGTGGGGCTTCACCTGTCTGAGCTCCAGTTCCTCATCTTGTACGTGGCACTGTTTTCTTGGGAGAGTCATTATAAAGCTAATATAAAGTACCTGTACTGTGGTTTGAATGTGTCCTCCAAAAAGCGTGTGTTGGAAACTGAATCCACAATGCAACCATATCGGGAAGTGAATCCTAATGGCTGGCTGGCCATGGAGGTTCCAACTTTATGAATGGATTAATACTGATTATAAAAGGGCTTGAGGTTGAGGCAAGTTCAACCTCTTGCCCTCACTCACCCACTTGCCTTTACCAAGAGATGATACAGCAAAAAGACTCACCAAATGCCGGGATCTTGATATTAGACTTCTTATCCTCCAGAACCATGAAATAGGCTGCTTTGCTTTATAAATTACTCAGTCTGCGTATTATATTACAGCAACACAAGATGGGCAACCTGATACTTAGGTTTCAGTTAGTGGTAGATATTTTTATTTCAAGCATTCCTACTGGAGTATTAGTTTCTTCATAAGCCCAGAATCTTTGCATTTTAGCAACAACAAATAAGTCTTTTTTTTTTTTTTTTTTTTTGAGACTGAGTTTCACTCTTGTCACCCAGGCTAGAGTGCAATGGCATGACCTTGGCTCACTGCAAACTTGGCCTCCCAGGTTTAAGTGATTCTCCTGCTTCAGCCTCCCAAGTAGCTGGGATTACAGGCGCCTGCTACCACGCCCAGCTAATTTTTGTATTTTTAGTAGAGACAGAGTTTCATCATGTTGGCCAGCTGGTCTCGAACTCCTGATCTCAGGTGATCCACCCACCTTGGCCTCCCAAAGTGCTGGGATTATAGGCATGAGCCACCACGTTCCACCAGAAGTCTTAATTAATGCAAAGAAAATCAATCTATAGATTTGATGGAAATTTGGACTCCTATATCCTACTTTTTATCCCACTCCTATATACTACTCCTTATTAGTGTCCCAGAAAGATGAACTATTTTCCTTCTCTACTTGGTCTGCCCATTTCTACTTCCTGCCATATCGGCAGGCTATGTTTGCCTCACCTCAAAGATCTGCCTTCCTCAGTTTTAGATCTTAAATCTTTTTAAGCCAGACTCCAAGGGATCTTTAACAAATATTTATCGAACCCTTCCTGTGTTCAAAGAATGTTGTGAGGTCCAGGGTGGGACTAGGGGGCGAGAAAGGTTCCTGCGCTGAAGGAATCTAAGATTTAGTAACAATGAATAAACAGACTTGAAGATAACTATTGTGGTTAGCGCTGAAAGAAACGTACAAAATGCCAAAAGTCAAGGAGGAAACTATGTTTTCTAGGACAGTGGTTCCCAACATTTTTGGCATCAGGGACCGGTTTCATGGAAGACAATTTTTCGGAGGGGTGGTTTTGGGATGATTCAAGCGCGTTACCTGTATTGTGGACTTTATTTCTATTATTACATTATAATACATAATGAAATAATTATACAACTCACCATAATGTAGAGTCAGTAGGAGCCCTGAGCTTGTTTTCCTGCAACTAGACAGTCCCATCTGAGGGTGATGGGAGACACTGACAGGTCATCAGGCATTAGATTCTCATAGGAGCGAGCAACCTAGATCCCTCGCATGCACAGTTCACAATAAGATTCACACTCCTATGAGAATCTAACCCCACTGCTGATCTGACAGGAGGCAGAGCTCAGGCGCTAATGCTTGGTCACCTGCCACTCACCTCCTGCTGTGCAGCCCAGTTCCTAACAGGCCATGGACCGGTACCAGTCCATGGCCCAGGGCTTGGGAACCCCTGTTTTAGGAGACTTAGGTTTTTCTAAAGGAAAAAATGTTTGAGTTATGCTTTGAAAAATGTAAGACACCACTGTAGATGTTTTAATCAGGGAATTGGGTTATTACCAAAAAAAAATGTTGGAAGATGAAAGAGCAGGTTCTTTATGCCTCCTGGCTTGACCCTGGAACAATTTAGAACCAGCCCAGTGAGGCATGTACTCCCCATGAGGCCACACAAGAGCTGTGCTTTCTTAGATCTGGATCCCACTACCACATAGGGGTTCCTGGGCACCTGGACACCAGGGAAGAGGGGTCAACCAGGTCCCACTCCTCTGGCATGACACTCAGTGATTCAGTCAAGATACTGTTGGGAAAACAGCCCATGCCATGGGACTTCCCCATGGTCGGAAAAGTCTTGAATAGCTAAAAGCAAAACAGGATAGTTAGGCTGCATTATGTAGATAATGGTGACTCATGGGCAGGCCCTGCCTCCTTGGGCCATTGTATGTGAACAGATCTTTGTGTGATTATGGGATAATTCTGGGTTCTTTTCTCCATGTGCCTGTTCTTAATTGGCCCAGGAGAGGGAACCCAAGGGAAGGAGGAACCCGAGTGATCTTGTCCTCTTTTGACATCTCATTTCTAGCCACAAGGTTATGAATCATAGATCTCCAGAAGTCAGTGGTCCTAGAGGAAAAAAGCATCTGCCATAGCAGCAGAATGACAGGGAGACAGCTATTCCTATTACTAGAGTTTTAACAGCCCCTCTCAGCCAGCTAGCCCAGACTAGGATCTTAACGGGGGCTGGGACTTACTTCCATATATTGTAAATGATGTAACCTTGTCTTCATGATGACCTTAAATATATCTTGATGAACAGTATAAGAAAGCAAATGAAGCCTGGGCGCGGTGGCTCACGCCTGTAATCCCAGCACTTTGGGAGGCTGAGGCGGGTTGATCACCTGAGGTTGGGAGTTCAAGACCAGCCTGACCAACACGGAGAAACCCTGTCTCTACTAAAAATAAAAAATTAGCTGGGCGTGGTGGCGCATGCCTGTAATCCTAGCTACTCAGGAGGCTGAGGCAGGAGAATCGCTTGAACCCAGGAGGCTGAGGTTGTGCAGTGAGCCAAGATCACACCATTGCACTCCAGCCTGAGCAAGAAGAGCGAAACTGCGCTTCGAAAAGAAAGAAAGAGAGAGAGGGAGGGAGGGAGGAAGGAAGGAAGGAGAGAGAAAGAAAGAAAGAGAGAGAGAAAGAAAGAAAGGAAAGAAGGAAAGAAGGAAAGAAAGGAAGAAAGGAAGAAAGAAAGAAAGGCAAATGATCACTTAGAGGATTTTGTTTGGTAGTTAAAACCATTTTGAAACAGAGGGAGGGAAGAAATCACCTATGCTTCCTCAGTGGTAAAGAGACTGGGAACCACCACGCCAGAGTTAGAAAATATGAGGCAACAGAAGGGCTGTTATATGTAGTGAAAATTTCCAAACCCGGTCCCCTGGAGGGAATACCTGGTGACTGGGCCTTAGAGGAAAGAGATGCTTGTCCAGCCCATTGCCTGTGTGTCCAGGAGAGACTGTGCCCACCTTGAGAGACTGAGAGAAGACCCTAGTGAGGAGAAGCCCCCAGGCCAGCCGTCAGCACAGGGCATTGGAGGTCCCCAACCAGCTCCAAGTCCTGAACAGAGCACAGCCTCCAGAGGTTTGTACTGTTCATACCCAGCAGAGGCTGTGTGCCAGCCCTCCCCATGCAAATCAGCGTCCCTGCAGGGTATGTAAAGGACCTCTACCTATGCTTTCTATGGGGGAACAAATATCCCATGGGACACTGAAAGACTATGGAACATTGTAGAACATGTATTTACCAAACTGTGTCCAACTCAGAGCCTAAATTGTTTATTGGTGCTGTTTCAACCAGTACACGTGATTCTTTTTTTTTTTTTTTTTTTTAGTATTTATTGATCATTCTTGAGTGTTTCTCGGAGAGGGGGATTTAGCAGGGTCATAGGACAATAGTGGAGGGAAGGTCAGCAGATAAACATGTGAACAAAGGTCTCTGGTTTTCCTAGGCAGAGGACCCTGCGGCCTTCTGCAGTGTTTGTGTCCCTGGGTACTTGAGATTAGGGAGCGGTGATGACTCTTAATGAGGATGCTGCCTTCAAGCATCTGTTTAACAAAGCACATCTTGCACCGCCCTTAATCCATTTAACCCTGAGTGGACACAGCACATGTTTCAGAGAGCACGGGGTTGGGGGTAAGGCTATAGATCAACAGCATCCCAAGGCAGAAGAACCTCTCCCAGTACAGAACAAAATGGAGTCTCCCATGTCCACCTCTTTCCACACAGACACAGTAACAATCTGATCTCTCTTTCTTTTCCCCACATTTCCCCCTTTTCTATTCGACAAAACCGCCATCGTCATCATGGCCCGTTCTCAATGAGCTGTTGGGTACACCTCCCAGACGGGGTGGCGGCCGGGCAGAGGGGCTCCTCACTTCCCAGACTGGCCGGGCAGAGGCGCCCCCCACCTCCCGAACGGGGCGGCTGGCAGGGCGGGGGCTGCCCCCCACCTCCTGGACGGGGCGGCTGCCGGGCAGAGACGCTCCTCACTTCCCAGACGGGGCGGCTGCCGGGCGGAGGGGCTCCTCACTTCTCAGACAGGGCGGCCCGGCAGAGACGCCCCTCACCTCCCAGACGGGGTGGCGGTCGGGCACAGACACTCCTCAGTTCCCAGACGGGGTCGCCGCCGGACAGAGGCGCTCCGCACATCCCAGACGGGGCGGCGGGGCAGAGGCGCTCCCCACATCTCAGACGATGGGCGGCCGGGCAGAGACGCTCCTCACTTCCTAGATGGGGTGGTGGCCGGGCAGAGGCTGCAATCTCGGCACTTTGGGAGGCCAAGGCAGGCGGCTAGGAGGTGGAGGCTGTAGCGAGCCGAGATCACGCCACTGCACTCCAGCCTGGGCAAGATTGAGCACTGAGTGAGCGAGACTCCGTCTGCAATCCCGGCACCTCGGGAGGCCGAGGTGGGCAGATCACTCGCGGTCAGGAGCTGGAGACCAGCCCTGCCAACACGGGGAAACCCCATCTCCACCAAAAAATACAAAAACAAAAAAAAACAAAAAAAAAAACCAAGTGATTCTTTCTGCAGAGGACATCTTGGCTCTTGGCACTCCACCACAGACTTGGTATGAGATCCTGGTTGAGCACTTTTTTTTTTTTTTTTTTTTTTTTTGAGACAGAGTTTCGCTCTTGTTTCCCAGGCTGGAGTGCAGTGGCATGATCTTGGCTCACTGCAACCTCCGCCTCCTGGATTCAAGCGATTCTCCTGCCTCAGCCTACGGAGTAGCTGGGATTACAGGCATGTGCCATCACGCCCTGGCTGATTTTGTACCTTTAGTAAAGACGGGGTTTCTCCATGTTGGTCAGGCTGGTCTCGAACTCCCGACCTCAGGTGATCCACACACCTTGGCCTCCCAAAGTGCTGGGATTACAGGCGTGAGCCAACGCACCCAGCCTGGCTGAGCACTTTCAAGTCTCATTCCTAACATCTGTCAGTTAAGCTGGGATAACAATTATCTGACTGACTGCACGGAATTCTGAATGAATTGAATTGGATAATACATGTAAATCCTTGTGGTGGGAATTTGGGTGCCATTTTCTTTGCATTATGAAAATCCAGGTCAACTCTTCTTTCTTCTCCCAATTGTTTTTATTGCACATCTATAAAAACAAGAAAAGAATTTTCTTGCTTTTCTTTTTTTTGAGACACAGTCTCGCACTGTCGCCCAGGCTGGAGTGCAATGGCACAACCTCTGCTCACTGCAAACTCTGCCTCCTGGGTTCATGCCATTCTCCTGCCTCAGCCTCCTGAGTAGCTGGGATTACAGGTGCATGCCACCACGCCCAGAAAATTTTTTGTATTTTTAGTAGAGACAAGGTTTCACCGTGTTAGCCAGGATGGTCTCAATCTCCTGTCCTCATGATCTGCCCACCTCCGGCTCCCAAAGTGCTGGGATTACAGTCATGAGCCACCGCGCCTGGCCAAGAATTTTCTAATAAACAAGAAAAACCTCACCTGTAATCCCACTACTTGGTACAATAATCATACTTATTTTTCTTTATTTCCTTCCAGTGTGAGCAAGGACAATTTAGCTTTGGGAACCCACAAAGAAACCATTTCAATTAAAAGCACAGGAAGCCCCACCAGTCCCATGAGGTTTTTGCCACCCCTAAGTAGTTCCATATGAGAAATTAAGAGTAGCGATGCTTGCTTTGAGGAATTGGAGGGAAAACTAAAATGAAAGTTGAATTTGGATAAGAGAAAAATCAAGGGCACTCACTCTTCCCAACCCCAGCCTGTCTGACTCTCTCCCCATCATCCTCCTCACTACTTTCAGGCAGGGTGGAGATAGCACCAGGGGGAGATTCTGGGAGACAGGGCACTACTGCAAGAACAGCAGGACAGCCCCACTGGTGGCTGTGGGATGCTCCGTGGCCCTGCCTACTGCTGTTCTGGAGGATGCACCGCCTCGCTTTCCTTTCTGGTGTTAGAGCCAGGTGACTCTGTCCAAAGAGTAGGTTCTTTTTCCCCACAGAGGCAAACAGGAAACGTTTCCTTTCCTAACTAGCTCTGCCTAGTGCCTGGAATCTTACTGAGTCAGTCCCGCAGTAAGTCAGCAGCTCAGGAAATCTACCCTCTCTGAGCCTCCCTGCAGTTCAAGCTGCTTAGGGAACTTGATATTTTCAAGACATCTGTCTACACATGGGCAGCCCAGCCGCCGAGTTAGTGGTGGCAACCAAAGCGAACAGAGGACTTGGCTTCCTGAAAACAGAGGCAAAGAAGTATAGCTATCCAACCTTCTGAGTCTTGTCTCTATATGGAGATGCCCATATGGACAAATAGGGTCTGGACAAGGGGAAGGGTTAACATGAGAAAGTCACATGATTTCTGCTATGCTATTCCTCTGTGCGCTTACCCTTTCTGTTTCTAAATATTTCAGCTAAAAGACAATAAATACTGCAACCCTTACATTCCTTCAGCCCTGCTTTCACTTGTCCTGGGTGTCCTGACTGTCATCTTCATTCATTTATATCAAACACCATTCAATCAATACTTACTACAAGCAAACTATATGTGAGATCAAGAGTACTATTCAAAATAGTTGACAGCTGGTATGGTAATGGAAATTAATATATAAATAAAATTTTCCCAATTATGCTATTTTTCTGTCCTAACTAAATGATTATAAAACTACTTACCAAGTGACACAGTTGAAATATAAATAATTTCTTAAATAGTTATAACAATTTCCAAATTATTTATTGATTTTTAAACATTTTTTGCATTTCTTAGGTGGTAATTATTGGTTAAGTGATATATGCCTATGTTAGCCATGATTTGACAAAAGAGCCTTGTATAAGCTTCTGATAATTTCCCCATTAAATTGTTTGTATATTATGACGTATGTAATCAACTATATTGTTCATGGTGCCAAATCCTCTCTCACTTTAGCAGCTATGTTAAAGATTTTTTAGCCCTTGAACTGCTGTCTGAAATTCTTTTTCTTTCTTTTTTTTTTTTCTTTTTTTGAGACAGTCTCACTCTGTCGCCCAGGCTGGAGTGCAGTGGTGCGATCTTGGCTCACTGCAACCTCCACCTCCCCGGTTCAAGCAATTCTCCTGCCTCAGCCTCCCGAGTAGCTGGGATTGCAGGCACATGCCACCACGCCCAGCTACTTTTTGTATTTTTAGTAAAGAGGGGGTTTCACCACGTAGGCCAAGCTGGTCTCAAACTCCTGACCTCAAATGATCCACCTGCCTCGGCCTCCCAAAGTGCTGGGATTACAGGCATGAGCCACCACGCCTGGCCTAGAAATTCTTTTTTTTTTTTTGAGACGGAGTCTCCTGTCGCCCAGGCTGGAGTGCGGTGGCGCGATCTCAGCTCACTGCAAGCTCCTCCTCCCGGGTTCACGCCATTCTCCTGCCTCAGCCTCCTGAGTAGCTGGGACTACAGGCGCCTGCCACCATGCCTGGCTCATTTTTTGTATTTTTAGTAGAGACGGGGTTTCACCATGTTAGCCAGGATGGTCTCGATCTCCTAACCTTGTGATCTGCCCGCCTCGGCCTCCCAAAGTGCTGGGATTACAGGCATGAGCCACCGCGCCCGGCCTAGAAATTCTTATTATTTAATATCTCCGTTCACTCCACCACAAAAATCAATTAATAAAAGCCATCTTTAATAAGTAGGCTTAATTGTATTGATTAAATTAAAAATTGTCTTGATTTAATAGGTTACATCTATGAAGCTTTGTAAACATCCTTCATGGTTGACTTAATTTAAAAATTTTAAGTTCTTAATATATTTTACTTTTGTCATCAAACTACAATTGCAATCACATAAATTATTAGATAATCTAATTGACTTTTTCTCTTGAAGTTGACATTTTTCTTTCAAATGGTATATCATATTTTTAAACAATACTATCTACTTTTTCCCCTTTGCTTTATGTATTTAATTTTATATATTAACTGATTCTTATTTTTCTACAATTAATCCAGCTTCTGTAATTTTTAATATTTCCTCTGGAAAGGATAAAGATAACATTGACATCTCTGTTAATATATAAGTTATTAACGTCAAATTTCTGGGAAAAAAAGTTTATGTCCTAAACACTTACTACTCCCATTTCACAACTTCTATTAAAGTGAATATAAAAGGTTTGGTACAATTCCCTAATGCTCTTGGCATCCCACTATTACAGAGTGCCCAAATATGCTTTCTAGTTTCATGACTTCAATTCCAGTATCTTTAGAAATATTTTTAATTTTCCCAAATGCTTATTTCATATGTAGTTGTGAATATAAAGTTTAGTGAGGCAAATATTTGAAGTAATTTTTCATTTAAACATTTTACTGCATCATCCTGACATCACTGAATACAGTAACTTATATAGTACCAATTTAAAATATAAAGAGACTTTTTTTTTTTTTTTTTTGAGACAGATTGTCGCTCTGTCACCAGGCTGGAGTGCAGTGGCATAATCTCTGCTCACTGCAAACTCTGCCTCCCAGGTTCAAGCGATTCTCCTGCCTCAGCCTCCCAAGCAGCTAGGACTATAGGTACATGCCACCACACCCAGCTAATTTTTGTATTTTTTGTAGAGACAGGGTTTCACCATGTTGGCCAGGATGGTCTCAATCTCTTGACCTCGTGATCTGCCTGCCTTGGCCTCCCAAAGTGCTGGGATTACAGGCATGAGCCATTGTGCCTGGCCATATAGAGACTTCTCTAAAACTTTGGCTTCTCTGAACTTTCTCTGTGACATATACTAGAACCATCTGTAGCATTGTGTAACCATTTCACATCAAAACCACTTTTCTTGAGCACTGATGAGTAAGTAAGCTTGATACATCATTTCAGTTCCTCAGATGAGCAAAAATCATTAGTTTTATATCATCAGTTTTATAAGTCTGAAATTTAGTATTTAAGTCACTAATAAAAACACGTTTTTGTGGCCGGGCGTGGTGGCTCACACCTGTAATCCCAGCACTTTGAGAGGCCAAGGTGTGCGGATCACGAGGTCAGGAGATCAAGACCATCCTGGCTAACACAGTGAAACCCCGTCTCTACTAAAAATACAAAAAATTAGCCGGGCATGGTGGCAGGCGCCTGTAGTCCCAGCTGCTCGGGAGGCTGAGGCAGGAGAATGGTGTGAACCTGGGAGGTGGAGCTTGCAGTGAACCGAGATCGCGCCACTGCACTCCAGCCTAGGTGACAGAGTGAGACTCCGTCTCAAAAAAAAAAAATTTTTTTTTGTTACATAATTGAAGCTTTCTTGGTGATGATTGATTGCCTAGATTTATAAATTTACTAAAAAGTTGTCTCATCATGGTAGATATACGTTTTGTGACCATTGTAACCATTAATGTAGACTGCAATGATATGCACTATTTACAACCTTTTTTAAGACTCTATTTAGCAGTAGACTAATTACACAGTAGGTAATATTAGCATTCTAATGGTACTTTTTCAATGTTTTGTTCTTTTTATGATACAAAGTATTTCAGGGGATTTATTATTTCAAAGACTTCATTATGTGAAGCTCATTCATAATATTCTTCAAATTCTTCTTATTACTAGTTTTTCCCTGAATTCTGAGCACCGACAATATGCTAGAACATTCACCTTTTCACACATCCACAAGATGTGTGCTTTGCATATCGTTTTCATTTAATATTTACATTTCAAGCAATAATCAGCTACCTGTGAGTTTTGTCAAAATTATCAGGGGTTTTTTGTTTGTTTGTTTTTTGACATGGAGTTTTGCTCTTGTTGCCCAGGCTGGAGTGCAATGGCGCCATCTCAGCTCACTGCAACCTCCACCTCCTGGGTTCAAATGATTATCCTGCCTCAGCCTCCCCAGTAGCTAGGATTACAGGCATGCACCACCACACCTGGCTAATTTTATATTTTTAGTAGAGACAGGGTTTCTCCATGTTGGTCAGGCTGGTCTCGAACTCCCAACCTCAGGTGATTCACTCACCTTGAGCTCCCAAAGTGCTGGGATTACAGGCATGAGCCAATACACCTGGCCAATTATCAGGTTTTTAATTAAATTTTAGAAATGTGAATTATTGTTTCCTTTGAACTGAATCTTATGCAATACTGAAAGCATTCCCACCTGCCATAATCTTTGCATATCAGTTGTTCCAGGCTGTGATTCAATATTAATACCATTGGTTTCATGATTTGTCTCAGATTCAGAAGAGTCATGTTTACAGTATCTAAAAGCAATGTTTAAAATGTATGTAGGCCTGGCACTGTGGCTTATGCCTGTAATCCCAGCACTTTGGGAGGCTGAAGCTGATGGATCACCTGAGGTCAGGAGTTTGAAACCAGCTTGGCCAACATGACGAAACCCCATCTCTACTAAAAATACAAAAATCGGCTGGGCGCGGTGGCTCATGCCTGTAATCCCAGCACTTTGGGAGGCCAAGGCAGGTGGCTCACCTGAAGTCAGGAGTTCAAGACCAGCCTGACCAACATCGTGAAACTCCGTCTCCACTAAAATACAAAAAATTAGCCAGGCATGGTGGTACATGCCTGTAGTCCCAGCTACTTGGGAGGCTGAGGCAGGAGAATTGCTTGAACCCGGGAGGCAGAGGTTGCAGTGAGCTGAGATTTCGCCATTGCACTCCAGCCTGGGCAACAAAAGTGAAACTCTGTCTCAAAAAAAAAAAAAAAAAAACCCTTCTGTCTCAAAAAAAAAAAAAACAAAAACCCTTCTGTCTCAAAAAAAATAAAATAAAACAAAAATATAAAAATTTGGTGGGTGTGGTGGCACACACCTGTAGTCCCAGCTACTCAGGAGACTGAGGCAGGAAGATCGCTTGAACCTGGGAGACAGAAGTTGCAGTGAGCCGAGATCACACCACTGCACTCCAGCCTGGGCAACAGAGTAAGACTCTTATCTCAGAAAATAAGTAAATAGATAAATAAATAAAATGTATTTAAACTTTGTCACTTCACTCTTACTGTTTACTATTCTAAGTTCTTGAATTTATAGATATCAAAACACTGCACAGTTATTATTTCCAGATGAATAATAACACAATAACAATAGAAACAAGGAAAAGCCAAACAAATATACTATTTATAAGTTACAGCATGTGAGGATAACAATTAACTGATGATTTTCCTAAACCACAAAACAATGAATGTACAATGGTGACATGGCTGAACCAGCCGGTGGTGCCATAAATGATTCTCAGATGCTGCAGTGCAGGAGACCCATCCATTGATGATCACTGTGATAGACTAAGACAAATAGTTAATTAGTTAATGAGATATTAGAATTTCTAGTACTTATTAATTTTACCACCTATCACGATAACCATTCTATTTTCTGTAACAATCAGTATTGGCTGTACTAGTGCACACTGGCTGGATGCCAGTGTGTAAGACAATGCCATAAAGGGCTATATGAGCATTAGCTACTATGCTATGACTTTTAACATTGAGTTGATTAGGTTCAAGGGTCAGGTGGGGCACTTTTAGAAATTACAGTAACAGAGGCCCTCAGGAGGTAGGATTCCCTTTTCTTTTTGGAGACAGAGTCTTACGCTGTCACCCAGGCTGGAGTGCAATGGCGGGATATCGGCTCACTGCAACCTCCGCCTCCCAAGTTCAAGCAATCCTCCCACCTCAGCCTCTTGAGTAGCAGGGATTACAGGCATCTGCCACCACGCCTGGCTAATTTTTGTATTTTTATTTTTATTTTTGTTTTGAGATGGAGTTTCATTCTTGTTGCCCAGGCTGGAGTGCAATAGCGCAATCTTGGTTCACCGCAACCTCCACCTCCGAGGTT
Organism: Homo sapiens; assembly: GCF_000001405.40. NCBI lineage: Eukaryota > Metazoa > Chordata > Mammalia > Primates > Hominidae > Homo > Homo sapiens. Next base: position 1,761,702 of record NT_167248.2, read on the forward strand.
CAAGCAATTCCTGCCTCAGCCTCCTAGGTAGCTGGGATTACAGGGATGTGCCACCACACCTCGCTAATTTTGTATTTTTAGTAGAGACGGGTTTTCTTTTTTTCTTTTTTTTTTTTTTTGGGATGGAGTCTGGCTCTGTCGCCCAGGCTGGAGTGCAGTGGCACAATCTCGTGAGGATGGCTCACTGCAAACTCCATCACCCGGGTTCAAGGGATTCTTCTGCCTCAGCCTCCCAAGTAGCTGAGATTACAGGCGTCTGCCACTGTGCCTGGCTAATTTTTATATTTTTGATAGAGACGGGGTTTCACCATGTTGGCCAGGCTGGTCTCAAACTCCTGACCTCAGGTGATCAGCCCACCTTGGCCTCCCAAAGGGCTGGGATTACAGGCGTGAGCCACCGTGCCCGGCCAAGGCAGGGTTTCTCCATGTTGGTCAGTCCGGTCTTGAACTCCCGACCTCAGGTGATCCACCCACCTCGGCCTCCCAAAGTGCTGGGATTACAGGTGTGAGCCACTGCGCCCGGCCTAATTTTTGTATTTTTAGTAGAGTAGAGCTGTGATCATGCCACTGTACTCTAGCCTGGGTGACAGAGTGAGATGAGACCCTGTCTCTTAAAAAAAAAAAAATGGCCAGGCGCCATGGCTTATGCCTGTAATCCCAACACTTTGGGAGGCTGAGGCAGGTGGATCACTTGAGGTCAGGAGTTTGAGACCAGCCTGGCCAACATAGTGAAACCCTGTCTCTACTAAAAATACAAAACTTGCCGGGCGTGGTAGAGGGCGTCAGTAATTCCAACTACTTGGGAGGATGAGGCAGGAGAATCGCTTGAAGCCAGGAGGCGGAGGTTGTAGTGAGCCAAGATCCCCCCATTGCACTCCAGCCTGGGCAACAGAGCAAGACTCCGTCTCAAAAAAAAAGAAAGAAAGAAAAGAAAAGAAAAGGAAATATGCAGTCTATTTAGGAAAGAATGCATGAGTTTGTTCATAAAGCATAACAGTGGGCGTGGGTAACCAATGAAGACTGCTCGGGATATCCATTAAGCACAAATTCCTGCGAAAATACATAAGACCACAGGCACCAGATTCCACAACAAAGTGTGTGTGTGTGTCGACATGCATGTGTGTGTGTGTGCACGCACATGCATGTGTGTGGGGGGTGTGCCTGTGTGTTTGTGTGCACATGGGTGTGTATGTGTGCTGGTGTGGAGAAAACCTGATTAATAATGTCCAAGCCACACTCCAAGACCTCTTCCACTCAGGCTGGGGTCCCAGGAGCAGATGGTGGGCAAAGGGCAGGAATAACCTGTGCCTCAAGCTGCAAACAGGATCCACAAAATAGCCAAAAGACAGTGTTCGGGGTGTAACTAAACTTATGAGGCAAAGAGGAGAGACTGGGAGAGGACTGAGAGGAAAACCAGGTGTGAGGCTGTCATGCAAAGCAGGTCCCTTGGGGTCACCACCTGTTGTTCACCAGGGCTCAGGATAAAAGCCAGAATATCGCATGCTATGGGTTAAGAAATAGGCTTTTGAGGGAATTTTCAATTCAGTGTCAGCAAGTAAAGAGAAAGCATGAGTCCAATTCCTTTTATTTTTCCATAGAAGAGCAAACCAGGCACACTACTGGACATGCAGGTGGAGGGGAGGGATGCGGCAGTGTGTTATTGCTCTCCATTATGAGTCAAGCATGAGAGCAGCCTTATCAATGAAGAGGCACACAAACAGCGTAGGCACCTAGCACTCTTGATTAGAGTGTCAGTTATTGACAGGTTGTGCTAACCTGACTTCTAAGATGGTCTCTAATGATCCCCCATCTTAGTATTCGAGTCTTTGTGGAATCCTTCCCACCTTGAGTTTGGTATGGACCTTGTCACTTAATTCTAACCAATGGAATATGACAAAGGTGAAAGTCTATCATATCCATGAGTAGACAATAAGAGTTTGTGGCTTTTATCTTGCTAGCAGACTCATTTACTGACTCAAGTAATCAAGCTGCCATGTTAAGGAGGTCCATGTGGTGAGGAACTGAGAGTGCTCTCAACTCAACATTCAAGAGGAACCAAACCTTCAGTCCTACCACCCTTCGTGCTTCCTACCAACAACTAAGTTAGTGAGCTTGGAAGCTCATCCTTTCCTAGTTGAGTCTTCAGGGAAGACCCCAACTATGATTGCAGCCTTGAGGGGCCCTGAAGAGAGGACCCAGCTATGCTGTATTGAATTGCTGTCCTTCAAATATTGTGAGATAATAAGGGTGTGTTGTTTTAAGCCACTTATTTTAGGACAATTTTTATGCTGTAATGATAACTAATATACAGGAGATGTTCAAAAATACAAGCTACCCAGGAACTGGAGACCTAGGGGCCCATGGCTAGTCACACGTCCCTCTGCCAGGAGTGAGAAAAACACCCCTGGTTCCACTGGATTCTAACTTTTGGAAACCCCACTCACTGGAAGAAGAGGGAGCCCCAGGTTCTAATGAGTTTGTTTTTCAGGCAACCCAGAATGACCTCCCAGCATCATTTCCAGACAGTGTGGCTCCTGACATCACAAATATAGTAGAATAACACCAAACTGAGTAAATAGGACAGTAGGCTGCAGACCCCCTCATGTGCCAATGATCTTTATAAAGACTTAAAACCTCACTATGCATAGAGTTGATAAAGGCACCAAATGAACCAGAGAAAGGAGACTCAAGTCAAGAAAATGTATCTCAACTAGGAAATGTTTTTGTGACCACAAAGGGGAGGAACCAGGAAGTTGTGGTAAACTGTAGCGGAAGTTAAAGCTAAAAAAAAAAATGAGAGAGAACCAGTGAATTTAAAAATACTTAACAGACATAATGACAAAAAGTAATAAGTACATCTCTTTGGATCATGAGAAAGAAGATCAGGAACGAAAGATCTAGCTGGGCCTTCCCCCACCCTCCCCAGCCTTGGTTCCCTGATTAGTGCTCCAGGCCTCTCCAGGGCCTGACACTCAATCTTCTCTTGGGAACTAATTATGGCAATGTACCACGAGGTACTGTTCCTCAGACTAAACGTGGTTTTTTGTTTGTTTGTTTGTTTTTTAGACAGGCTCTCACTCTGTCACCCAGGCTGGAGTGCAGTGGCACAATCTCAGCTCACTGCAACCTCTGCCTCCCCAGTTAAAGCAATTCTCCCACCCACTTCAGCCTCCCCAGTAGCTGGGACTACAGGTGCACGCCACCATGCCCTGCTTTATTTTTATTATTATTATTATTATTATTATTTGTATTTTTGGTAGAGACGAGGTTTCACCATGTTGGCCAGGCTGGTCTCAAACTCCTGGGCTCAAGTGGTCTGCCCACCTCAGATTCCCAAAGTGCTGGGATTACAGGCATGAGCCACTGTGCCCAGCGTAAACGTGGTTTCTTATGTTTTTAAATTCCCCTTGAAAATATTCTCTTGTGACCAAAAAAGACCCTTGGGTGTACAGAGAATAGGTTTTGTCATAACTGTAACTAATGTGAGCTTCCACTAAAAACCCAAGATACAAATATATTCACAACTTTATTTTTCCAGTGATCCATTCTAATACCTCTTGAGGCTTCCTGTGAAATGTCTAAGCACCCCACAGCCAAAGGGTACACTCGTAGTCCCCTTCAGTGCTAAGAACAGAAAAGAAGCTGTTGCTTTTCTCTGCTATAGGTGTTGCTGTTGAAAATTCATCCCACACAATTGATGGAGATAATTTTCACTGCTTTAGTCACCTAAACAGGCCTTGCTGATCCACATTCCTGTTCAGATTACTAGGATTCTCTAAGGGAGGGATGATTGTTGAAGCTGAGTGATGGAAACACTTTGCTATTCTTTCTAATTTTTTATAAATTTTAAGTTTTCAATAATAAAAAGTTAAAAACCAAAAATTAAAAGAATCTGACAGGCCAGATATGGTGGTTCACGCCTGTAATACTAGCACTTTGGGAGGCTGAGGCAGGAGGATCGCTTGAGGCCAGGATTTCGAGGCTAGCCTGGGCAACATAGTGAGACACTATCTCTACACAAAAAAAATTTAAATTGAAAACAAAACGGCATTCCGGCTCCTTGGAGAAACGGTCGATTCTAGGACTGGGGCATCCTATGATGTCAGAAAGTATTTACATGCTCGATTAAAAGGTGAGAACCATATCAAAGGGACACAGGAGCCAACTGGAAATAATTCCAATAGTTAAAATGGAAACAATTTGAGCAACAAAATAAGTAATAATGGAATTGGATTATAACCCATAGAATAAAATAAGTATCCATTAGCCCATATTGATAAAAGAAATTCTTAAATAAATAAATGGGAAGATGTGGCAGTACTTTTTCACAGAAGAATTCATTAGCAAAGCCTAACGGTGTGGCTAGCCTGCGTCATGACAATGGTTGGGAGAAGCAGCAAAATAGCAGACTAGCCAGAAATTTAAAAGGGAAATCAAAGGAACAAAACAGACAAAGAATGCCTTAGTAAAATACCATTTAACTTTGGTAGTTTAAAAAGCTATGTGCAGCACACAGGGTTATAACTGCTTAGAAGAGAGACTTGAGAAGGCTATAGGAAGCTACTCCTCCCTGCAACTAAATATGAGGTCTCAGAAATAAAGAGAAAGCCATGGCTCACTTGTAAACTCTCTGAACTTTGAAAGTACCCTCCAAATCACACACAGCTCCAACAGCAGGGTTAGAAGCCTTACTGGCTTAAGGCATTTAAGCACAAACTCTAACAGATCACTGGCTGACCATTAAGCTATGCTGATCCAGGGGCAACCCCTAAGAATTCAGGCTTAAAAATAAACATAAGAATTAAAAAAGGACGGGAGGCTGAGGCAGGAGAATCGCTTGAACCCAGGAGGCAGAGGTTGCAGTGAGCCGAGATCACGCCGTTGCACTCTAGCCTGGGCAACAAGAGTGAAGCTCTGTCTCAAAAACAAAAAGGAACCTGAGCAGAAATATCTGAGCAGAAATATCTGAAGCCTCATACTGCATACTGCAAGGGAAAAGGACTCCACTGAATTAGTACAGGCAAGTCACTATAAAAATATCTGAACCCTCATACTGCAAGGGAAAGGGACTCCACAGAATTAGTACAGGCAAGTCACTATAAAAACAAACAAAACAACAACCACCTTCACCCCCAAGAGAAAGAAATTGGAATCCAGAGCTAGCATATATTGTCTAAAATTTTCAGTTTTCCAAAAAAGTTACAAAAGGGCAAAGAAATAGGAAAATGCAATCCATTTGCAGGGAGAAACAGTCAATAGAAATTGTCGGCCAGGCACGGTGGCTCATGCCTGTAATCCCTGCACTTTGGGAGGCTGAGGTGTGTGGATCATTTGAGGTCAGGAGTTCGAGACCAGCCTGGCCAACATGGTGAAATCTGTCTCAATAAAAATACAAAAATTAGCTGGGCATGGTGATGCACACCTGTAATCCCAGCTACTCGGGAGGCTGAGGCAGGAGAATTGCTTGAACCACGGAGTCAGAGGTTGCAATGAGCTAATATCATGCCACTATACTCCAGCCCTGGAAATGGAGTGAGACTCTGTCTCAAAAAAAAAAAAAAAATTGATTCACACCTAAACATTAATATATTATACTGAAACTATTACCAGCCAAAAATAGAAATGACATCTTAAAAGCAATGAGAAAAAACTCATCTCATACAAATACACTCATACACACAGACACAATAATCTTAATAGCTAACCTCATCAGTAACAATGGAGGTTAGAAGGCTGTAACATGGGCTGGGTGCCGTGGCTCATGTCTATAATCCCAGCACTTTGGGAGGCTGAGGCAGGCAGATCACGAGGTCAAGAGTTCAAGACCAGCCTGGCCAACATGGTGAAACCCCATCTCTACTAAGAATATAAAAATTAGCTGGGTGTGGTGGTACATGCCTGTAATCCCAGCTACTCGGGAGGCTGAGGCAGGAGAATTGCTTGAACCCGGGAGGCGGAGGCTGCAGTGAGCCAAGATTGTGCCACTGCACTCCAGCCTGGGCAACAGAGCAAGACTCTGTCTCAAAAAAAAAAAAAATTAAAGAAGACAGTAACATATGCAAATTTGGGGGTTAGTGGGGAGAAGCTAGCAATCAAGAATTTTACATCAAGAAAAATTATCCTTCAAAACTGAAGACCGGTACAGGGACAGTGGTTTGCACCCATAATCCCAGCACTTTGGGAGGCCAAGGTGGGAGGATCGCTTGAACCCAGGAGTTCAAGACCAGCCTGGGCAACAAAGTAAGACCCTGTCTCTGCAAAAAAAAAAAAAAAAAAAATTTAGCCATGTGTGGTAGTGCACACCTGTAGTCCTAGCTACTCAGGAGGCTGAGGCAGGAGGCTCTCTTAGGCCCGAGAGATTGAGGTTGCAATGAGACATGATCATGCCACTACACTCCGGCCTGGGCAACAGAGCGAGACCCTGTCTCCAAAACCAAAATTTATTCTAAAGAAAACAAAAAGAGAAGCCAACATGAACATATTCTTAGATAAACAAAGACTAGGGAGATTTATCTCTTGCAGATATGTCTTACAAGAAACACTAATGTAATACTAAAGTAAGTTCTTCAGACTGAGAAGAAATGACACCAGATAATAATCCCAATCCAATGAAAAACAATTATTGTATGTCAATTAAAGATAAAACTTGTAGCTAGGCACAGTGGCGCACACCTGTAATCCCAGCTACTTGGGAGGCTGAGGCACAAGAATCACTTGAACCCAGCAGGTGGAGTCTGCAGTGAGCCAAGATCACACCACTGTAGTCCAGCCTGGGCAACAGAGCAAGACTCCATCTCAAAAATATTACATTAAAAAAAGTAAAATTTGTAAAAGAAACAAACAGCATCAGAAAAAATAATATGTTGGTAATTATTTTTTAAAAACTAAAAACTAAAAACTACAAATCTCTTTTTTTTCTTTTTCTTTTTTGAGAGACAAGGTCTCACTCTCTCACCCAGGATGGAGTGCAGTGGTTTGACCATCGCTCACTGCAGCCTCAAATCCTGGACTCAAGTGATCCCCTCACCTCAGCCTCCTCCTGAGTAGCTGGGACTACAGATGCACACCGCCATGCCTGGCTCCTTTTCATTTCTTAACTGTTTTAAAAGAAATTACATAAAACAACAATTATAAAATTACAGTGTTGGGTTTGTAACATCTAAAGATAATGTGTGTGTATATATGCACTCACACACATATGACAATAATGGTACAAAGGATAGGGAAAAGATGGAGTTACATTGAAACAAAGGAACCACATCAGATTGTAAGTCCAATCCACAAGAACAAATCATCAGAAACACTAAATAAGTTTCATACGAAAAACTTTAAGTGTATTTTACTAATTTCTTCTCTTAATTTTTTAAAAGACGTAGAATTTGGCTGGGCACAGTGGCTGACGCCTGTATTCCCAGCACTTTGGGAGGCCGAGGTGGGTGGATCACCTGAGTTCAGGAGTTCCAGACCAGCCTGGGAAACAGGGCAAAACCCCGTCTCTACTAAAAATACAAAAATTAGCTGGGCATGGTTGTGCTCACCTGAAATCCCAGTTACTCAGGAGGCTGAGTTGGGAGGATCTCTTGAGCCTAGAAAGCAGACGTTGCAGTGAGCCGAGATCATGCCACTTCACTCCAGCCTGGAGTACATCCCTACACCCCCTCAGGTTCAGTCTGAACTGAACAGGGGATACCTGTGAAAGGAAAATAAATCTTGGGGCCCGAAAATCACTAAGCTAAAGGGAAAAGTCAAGTTGGGAACTGCTGAGAGCAAACCTACGTCTCATTCTATTCGGTCACTCCTCTGCTTACTGAGATAAATGCTATCTGATTGCCTCCTTTGGAGAGGCTAATCAGAAACTCAAAAGAGGCCGGGCACAGTGGCTCACACCTGTAATCCTAGCACTTTGGGAGGCCGAGGCGGGTGGATCACCCGAGGCCAGGAGTTCGAGACCAGCCTGGCCAACATGGTGAAACCCCGTCTCTACTAAAAATACAAAAATTAGCTCAGCGTGGTGGCACATGCCTGTAATCCCAGCTATTCGGGAGGCTGAGGAATGAGAATCGCTTGAACCTGGGAGGTGGAGGTTGCAACAAGCCAAGATCGCACCACTGCACTCCAGCCTGTGCAACAGGAGCGAGCCTCCATCTCAAAAAAAAAGAAACTCAAAAGAAAGTAACCATTTGTCTCTTATCTACCTATGACCTGGAAGCCCCCTCGCCACTTGGAGTTGTCCCACCATTGCTTCAAGTTGTCCCGCCTTTCCAGACCGAACCAATGTTAATCTTACATATGTTGATTGATGTCTCATGTCTCCCTAAAATGTATAAAACCAAGCTGTGCCCTGACAACTTGGGCACATGTCATCAGGACTTCCTAAGGCTGTGTCACCGACACACATCCTCAACCCTGACAACATAAACTTTCTAAATTAACTGAGACCTGTCTCAGATATTCAGGGTTCACACTCCCCTGGACCCCCTGACTTTCTTCAGGGCACTGGCCACTTTCTTGTCTGTCTTTGGACACTCTCCTCTAGAAGTCTTTGAAATTCTTGAGGCAGGAAGGACCAATTCCCAGCCCTGAATCTTGCATAAAGTGGGTCTTTTTTAAATGGAAATACGGCTACTCCTCAAAGGAAGGCTAGGAATTTTGCTCTGTGTGACCCTAGTCGTAGTTCTTCACAGAGGGCTCCATTTCACTTGCCTTTCCTTCTGCTTTTTTCTTCACTCGTTTCCCCACAGAGCAAGACAAAAGAAGCCGGCAAGGATGGCTCTGGTCAGGGTCTGCCTTCAGCCACCCAAATGGGATTGCAAAGAGGAGGACAGGGATGGAAAGGGGAAAGTTTGATTTGGTTTGGTTTGCTTAGTCTTTCTATTGGTACCACTTCCTTATCCCAACCTCATCATCTTCCCCGATCCCTACCAACCCACTGCAGGCATATGAGCCCTAAAATCTGGGAAAGGCTTTTTTCCCTAGGGGCCCTGGCCTCACAGACTTGCCCAGGGGGGTAAATTCTCAGTGGCTCAGTGGCACGTGCCTCACGTCCTCACCGGCAGCCTAGATAGATAGATAGATAGATAGATAGATAGATAGATAGATGATAGATAGATATATAGTTTTTTTTTTTTTTTTTTTTTTTTTGAGACGGAGTTTCGCTCTTGCCGCTGCCCAGGCTATAGTGCAATGGCGCCATCTCGGCTCACCGCAACTTCCGCCTCCCAGGTTCAAGCGATTCTCCTGCCTCAGCCTCCCGAGTAGCTTGTATTACAGGCATGCGCCACCACACCCAGCTAATTTTGTATTTTTAGTAGAGAGGGGGTTTCTCCATGTTGTTCAGGCTGGTCTCGAACTCCCAACCTCAGGTGATCCGCCTGTCTTGGCCTCTCAAGTGCTGGGATTACAGGGGTGAGCCACCGCGCCCAGCCGGGAGCCCCTATTTTAAGGACGCTATTGCTGTGGAGGAGTAACCCCACTTTTAGGAATCCTTTTCCGTGCGAAAGGCTGTTTGAGATCAGGCGCAACAACTTCTCCCGCTCAGGTTACCCTCAGAAAGGCTATGGACCCCGGACTCCGCCCCAGATTGCATAACAACTGAGGGGTGGGTCCCTATTTCCTCTCTGGGATCTGTAGCCAATCATTCACGAGGTAAACAGAACGACCGAGTTTCTCTCAGCCGAGAACTGTGGCTGCCCCTCCGGTGAAAACAGAGGAAGTGGGAGCGGCAGGAAGCGCTTTGGGACCAGGGCGACCCCTGAAGCGTAGAGGAACCAGGTCACAAGCATACGTGAATGCTCACATTCCATAGTTATCAAATGTATTCAGGTTTAAATTTTACTTTTCTAGAAAAAATGTAAATAATCCGTTGAGAATATTTAATGAAAAATGTTGGTCGTATCTTTATCTGGTCTGCGGCTCTGTCCCTGTTTCCTGGATAGGAGACTACGTCTGTATCTTGTATCACAGGAGGCACCTTCTTCCTGTTTCCTGGCACAGACTTGTAAGTGAATTTCCTGCCCGCCTCCGCCCACAGCGTAAGCCGCGCTGGAACAGCTCACTTATTGCCCCAGATGTATGTGGAGTAACCGCCTTCAGTTTCCTGGTTCTGAGTTTCCGTGTTACTCAAGCAATGCTTCTGCTGAATTTGTCTTTTTTTTTTTTTTTTTGAGACAGAGTCTTGCTTTGTCGCCCAGACTGGAGTGCAATGGCGTGGTCTCGGCTCACTGCAGCCTCCACCTCCTGGGTTCAAGCGAGTCTCCTGCCTCAGCCTCCTGAGTGTGCAACTTATCTTTTTATTTTATTTATTTATAATTTTTTGGCTAATTTTGGCTATTTTGTGTCTGTGTGTGTATTTTTAGTAGACATGGGGTTTCACCATGTTGGGCAGGCTGGTCTCGAACTCCTGACCTCAGGTGATCCGCCCACCTCGGCCTCCCAAAGTGCTGGAATTACAGGCGTGAGCCACCGCACCTGGCCTATTTATTTATTTATTTATTTGTGACTGAGTCTCGCTCTGTCACCCAAGCTGGAATGCAATGGCGTGATCTCGGCTCACTGCTACCTCCACGCCCCAAGTTTAAGCAATTCTCCTGCCTCAGACTCCCGAGTAGCTGGGACTACAGGTGTGCACCACCACATCCAGCTAATTTTTTGTATTTTTAGTAGAGATGGGGTTTCACCATGTTGGTCAGGCTGGTCTCGAACTCCTGACCTCAAGCGATCCACCCACCTTGGCCTCCCAAAGTGTTGGGATACAGGCGTGAGCCACTGCACCTGGTTGAATTTCTCCTTTTAATTGGAGGTTTCATTTTATTTTTCTTTATTTATTTTTTTGAGACGAAGTTGCACTCTTGTTGCCCAGGCTAGAGTGCAGTGGCGCGATCTGGGTTCACTGCAACCTCTGCCTCCCAGATGCAAGTGATTCTCCTGCCTCAGCCTCCTGAGTAGCTGGGAATACAAGCACCCACCACCATGCCCAGCTAATTTTTGTACTTTTAGTAGAGACAAGGTTTTGCCATGTTGGCCAGGGTGGTCTCAAACTCCTGAGCTCGTGATCTGCCCACCTCAGCCTCCCAAAGTGCTGGGATTACAGGCGTGAGCCACCGTGCCTGGTCTCTTTCTTTATTTTTTATTTTATTTTTTGACACCAGATCTGCTCTGTTACTCAGGCTAGAGTGCAGTGGCATTGAGAGGTGACAACCTGCTAGCAGCCCTTGCTTGCTCTTGGCGCCTCCTCGGCCTCGGTGTCTGCTCTGGCCGGGCTCGAGGAGCCCTTCAGCCCACTGCTGTGCTGTGGGGGCCCCTCTCTGGGGCTGGCTGAGGCCGGAGCCGTCTCCCTCTGCTTGGGGGGAGGTGTGGAGGGAGAGACGCCAGTGGGAACAGGGGCTGCGCGTGGTGCTCCCGGGCCAGTGGTGTTCCGGGTGGGTGCGGGCTAGGCAGGCCCTGCACTGGGGGCAAGGTTGGCGTCGCCTGCTGGGCTTGATGGGGGGGTGGGGGAGGAGCGCCCTCTGGGCTGCCGGAGTGCCCCACTAGGCGCGGCAAAGTCCCAGGAGTGCCATTGAGAGGTGAAGCCAGCTGGGCTTCTGGGTCGGGTGGGGACTTGGAGAACTTTTGTGTCTAGCTAAAGGATTGTAAATGCACCAATCAGCACTCTGTGTCTAGCTAAAGGATTGTAAACGCACCAATCAGCACTCTGTGTCTAGGTAAAGGATTGTAAACGCACCAATCAGCACTCTGTGTCTAGCTAAAAGTTTGTAAATGCACCAATCACCACTCTGTGTCTAGCTAATCTGGTGGGGATTTAGAGAACTTTTGTGTCTAGCTAAAGGATTGTAAACTCACCAATCAGCACTCTGTGTCTAGCTAAAGGATTGTAAACACACCAATAAGCACTCTGTCAAAACGGACCAATCAGCTTTCTGTAAAATGAACCAATCAGCTCTCCGTAAAATGGACCAATCAGCTCTCTGTAAAATAGAACAATCAGCAGGATGTGGGTGGGGCCGGATGGGGGAATAAAAGCAGGCCACCCAAGCCAGCGGCGGCAACATGCTCGGGTCCTCTTCCACACTGTAAAAGCTGCTTTGTTCTTTTGCTTTTTGCAGTAAATCTTAGTGCTCCTCACTCTTTGCGTCTACGCTGCTTTTATGAACTGTTAACACTCACTGTGAAGGTCTGCAGCTTCACTCCTTAAGCCAGCGAGACCACAAACCCACTGGGAGGGATAAACAACTCCAGACGGGAGGAACAAACAACTTCGGGTGCACCACCTTTATGAACTGTAGCACTCACTGCGAAGGTCTGCAGCTTCACTCCTGAGGCCAGCAAGACCACGAACCCACCAGAAGGAACGAACAACTCCAGATATGCCACCTTTAAGGGCTATAACACTCACCGCGGAAGTCTGCAGCTTCACTCCTGAAGTCAGTGAGACCATGAACCCACCAGAAGGAAGAAACTCTGGACACATCTGAACATCTGAAGGAACAAACTCTGGACACACCATCTTTAAGAACTGTAACACTCACCGCGAGGGTACACGGCTTCATTCTTGAAGTCAGCGAGACTAAGAACCCAACAATTCCGGACACAGCATGATCTTGGTTCACTACAACCTGGATCTCCCAGAGTCAAGCAATCCTCTCGTCTCAGTCTCCCAAGTAGCTGGAACTACAGGTGTGTGCCACCATGCCCCACTAATTTTTGTATTTATTGTAGAGACGGTTTCAGCATGTTGCCCAGGCTGGTCTCCAACTCCTGGACTCAAGTGATCCTCTCCACCTAGGCCTCCCACAGTGCTGGGATTACAGGAATGAGCCACCACGCCCGGCCTAATTGGAAGTTTTAGAGTGCAGTGGGGATCACGTGCGTAGAGGTTACTGCTGCCTTAATTAAAGGAGACAACATGTTTCATAAAACTTGGAAATTGTAGAGGGTGTGGGGAACCACTCAAATTCAGAATATCAAAACAGAACTTTATTTTTTGTGTATTTGTTGCCAATCTTTTTCCCTACATATGTAATGTTTGTTTGTTTGACATGACTACCATTTCTGTTTTCATAATATGTTTAATACTTTTCCTCCACTTAACAAACATGGCTACGATTTGCCAAGTTGCTGATCATCCTTTTTTTTTTTTTTCGAGACAGAGTTTCACCCTTGTTGCCCAGGCTGGAGTGCAGTGGCAGATCTCAGCTCACTACAACCTCTGCCTGCTGGGTTCAAGTGATTCTCCAGCCTCAGCCTCCCAAGTAGCTGGGATTACAGGTACCCGCCACCACTCCTGGCTAACTTTTGTATTTTTAGTAGAGACAGAGTTTTGTCAGGTTGGCCAGGCTGGTCTCAAACTCCTGACCTCCAGAGATCCACCCGCTTCAGCCTCCCAAAGTGCTGGGATAACAGGCGTGAGCCACTGAACCTGGCCCAGATCATCCTTTTAAGTGTTCTTTTTCATTTGTAGGTTTAACATTGGCTTTGGGGTGAGAAAGAAACCAAGACTCACCCAGAGTCATAAGCCCAACAAGAGAATGGGTCTGTCTGGGCTAGCCCTGGGCTACTGGATGAGCAGGGTTGGCCTTTTCATTCTCTGAGTCTTCGTTTCTCTGGCCTTTACATTTCTCTGGAGGGACTTTTCATTTTCTCTGGAAACCAACTCCAAGTGCACTTTTCCAGAAGGCATTTTTGTAATGCCTGGTTGGCTGCATGCGACCTCTGGTTTTCCTCCTTCACCCTTTCCTGCTCAGTCACTGCATTTTCTGTTCTCAAAAGAACCCTCTCATATAGCACGTGCAGAGAGCAGTAGCGAGTCAGGCTGTCCCGCGGTGTGTGTCCGGACTCCTGTGTGCTCTGGCAGTGGGGCCAGTGGGCTGGGAAGAGTTGCAGGAGAAACCCAGTGGGAGAGAAAGACTCCAACCTGGGAACCTCGGGGCATCTGGTAGCGCCAGAATGACTTTCCAAAATTTTGGTTGGGGCAGTCACAGGCCCCTGCTCGCCACGGTGGCCTCTGGCAAAGAAACACATGTGGGGCAGACAAGAGGGATGCTCGCCAATCTCCTCTGAATTTTGCAACCCTGTGTGTTAAAAACAGGTATTTCTGGTCTTTAAAGACACTTGGAAAAGACAGACTTGTTGAATACTTAGAAAGGCCAAGCCACAGCCAGAAGCTTGGTGTCTGGGATCCATCATCTCTAAGGTTTTAAAAGCATCTTGCTGGAATAGGAACAGCTCCGGTCTGCAGCTCTCAGCAAGACCAACACAGAAGATGGGTGATTTCTGCATTTCCAGCTGAGGTACCTGGTTCATCTCATTGGGACTAGTTGGACAGTGGGTGCAGCCCATGGAGGGCGAGCCAAAGCAGGGCAGGGCATCGCCTCACCTGGGAAGTGCAAGGGGTCAGGGGATTTCCCTTTCCTAGCCAAGGGAAGCCGTGACAGACTGTACCTGGAGGAACAGTACACTCCTGCCCAAATACTGGGCTTTTCCCATGGTCTTCACAACTGACAGACCAGGAGATTCCCTCCCGTGCCTGGCTCGGTGGGGCTCATGCCCATGGATCCTTGCTTACTGCCAGTGCAGCAGTCTTAAGATTGGCCTGGCATGCTGCAGCTTGTTGGGGGGGTGGGAGGGCGTCCGCCATTCCTGAGGCTTGAGTAGGCAGTTTTATGCTCACAGTGTAAACAGGCCGGGAAGCTTGAACTGGGTGGAGCCCACTGCAGCTCAGCAAGGCCTACTGCCTCTCTAGATTCCACCTCTGTGGGCAGGGCATGTCAGAACAAAAGGCAGCAGACAGCTTTGGCAGACCTAAACGCCCCTGTCTGACAGTTCTGAAGAGAGCAGTGGTTCTCCCAGCATGGCATTTGAGCTCCGAAAATGGACAGACTGCCTCCTCAAGTCGGTCCTTGACCCCCGTGTACCCTGACTGGGAGACACCTCCCAGTAGGGGCCAACAGACACCTCACACAGGCAGGTGCACCTCTGGAACAAAGCTTCCAGAGGAAGGATCAGGCAGCAATATTTGCTGTTCTGCAGCCTCCGCTAGTGATATCCAGGCAAACAGGGTCTGGAGTGGACCTCCAGCAAATTCCAACAGACCTGCAGCTGAGGGTCCTGACTGTTAGAAGGAAAACTAACAAACAGAAAGGAATAGCATCAACACCAACAAAAAGGACATCCACACCAAAACCCCATCTGTAGGTCACCAACATCAAAGACCAAAGGTAGAAAAAACCACAAAGATGGGAAGAAACCAGAGCAGAAAAGCTGAAAATTCCAAAAACCAGATTGCCTCTTCTCCTCCAAAGGATCACAGCTCCTCACCAGCAAGGGAACAAAACTGGATGGAGAATGAGTTTGACAAGTTGACAGAAGTAGGCTTCAGAAGGTTGGTAACAAACTTCTCCGAGCTAAAGGAGGATGTTCAAACCCATCGCAAGGAAGCTGAAAACCTTGAAAAAAGGTTAGACAAATGGCTAACTAGAATAAACGGTATAGAGAAGACCTTAAATGACCTGATGGAGCTGAAACCCATGGCACGAGAACTACATGACTCATGCACAAGCTTCAGTAGCTGATTCAATCAAGTGGAAGAAAGGGTATCAGTGATTGAAGATCAACTCAATGAAATAGAGCAAGAAGACAAGATTAGAGAAAAAAGAATGAAAAGAAATGAACAAAGCCTCCAAGAAATATGGGACTATGTGAAAAGACCAAATCTACATTTGACTGGTGTACCTGAAAGTGACGGGGAGAATGGAACCAAGTTACAAAATACTCTTCAGGATGTTATCCAGGAGAACTTCCCTAACCTAGCAAGGCAGGAAAACATTCAAATTTAGGAAATACAAAGAACACCACAAAGATACTTCTTAAGAAGAGCAACTCCAAGACACACAATTGTCAGATTCACCAAGGATGAAATGAAGGAAAAAATGTTAAGGGCAGCCAGAGAGAAAGGTCGGGTCACCCACAAAGGGGAGCCCATCAGACTAACAGCAGATCTCTCAGCAGAAACCTTACAAGCCAGAAGAGAGTGGGGGCCAATATTCAACATTTTTAAGAAAAGAATTTTCAAACCAGAATTTCATATCCAGCCAAACTAAGCTTCATAAGTGAAGGAGAAATAAAATCCTTTACAGACAAGCAAATGTTGAGAGATTTTGTCACCACCAGGCCTGCTTTACAAGAGCTCCTGAAGGAAGCACTAACCATGGAAAGGAACAACTGGTATCAGCCACTGCCACTGCAAAAACATGCCAAAGTGTAAAGACCATTGACACTATGAAGAAACTGCATCAATTAATGGGCAAAATAACCAGCTAACATCATAGTGACAGGATCAAATTCACCCATAACAATATTAATCTTAAATGTAAATAGGCTAAATGCCCCAACTGAAAAACAGACTGACAAATTGGATAAAAAGTCAAGACCCATCGTTGTACTGTATTCAGGAGACCCATTTCATGTGCAAAGATACAAATAGGCTCAAAATAAAGGGATGGAGGAAGATCTACCGAGCAAATGGAAAGCAAAAAAAAAATCAGGGGTTGCAATCCTCGTTTCTGACTAAAAAAAAAAAAAAAGATTTCAAACCAACAAAGATCAAAAGAGAGAAAGAAGGGCATTACATAATGGTAAAGGGATCAATTCAATAAGAAGAACTAACTATCCTAAATACATATGCACCCCAAACAGGAGCACCCAGATTCATAAAGCAAGTCCTTAGAGACCTACAAAGAGATTTAGACTCCCACACAGTAATAATGGGAGACTTTAATACCCCACTGTCAATATTAGACAGATCAATGAGACAGAAGGTTAACAAGCATATCCAGGACTTGAACTCAGCTCTGGACCAAGGGGACCGAATAGACATCTACAGAACTCTCCACCCCAAATCAACAGAATATACATTCTTCTCAGCACCACATCGCGCTTATTCTAAAATTGACCACATAATTGGAAGTAAAACACTCCTCAGCAAATATAAAAGAACAGAAATCACAACAAACTGTCTGTCAGACCACAGTGCAATCAAATTAGAACTCAGGATTAAGATTCACTCAAAACTGCACAACTACATGGAAATTGAACTACCTGCTCCTGAATGACTACTGGGTAAATAATGAAATGAAGGCAGAAATAAAGATGTTGTTTGAAACCAATGAGAACAAAGACACAACATACCAGAATCTCTGGGACACATTTAAAGCAGTGTGTAGAGGGAAATTTAGAGCACTAAATGCCCACAAGAGAAAGCAGGAAAGATCTAAAATCAACACCCTAACATCACAATTAAAAGAACTAGAGAAGCAAGAGCAAACACATTCAAAAGCTAGCAGAAGGCAAGAAATTACTAAGATCAGAGCAGAACTGATGGAGATAGAGACACAAAAAACCCTTCCAAAAAATCAGTGAATCTAGGAGCTGGTTTTTTGAAAAGATCAACAAAATTGATAGACTGCTAGCAAGACTAATAAAGAAGAAAAGAGAGAAGAATCAAATAGACACAATAAAAAATGATAAAGGGGACATCACCACCAATCCCTCAGAAATACAAACTACCATCAGGAATACTATAAACACCTCTACACGAATAAACTAGAAAATCTAGAAGAAATGAATAAATTCCTGGACACATACACCCTCCCAAGACTAAACCAGGAAGAAGTTGAATCCCTGAATAGACCAATAACAGGCTCTGAAATTGAGGCAATAATTAATAGCCTACCAACCAAAAAAAGTCCAGGACCAGACGGATTCACAGCCAAATTCTACTGGAGGTACAAAGAGGAGTTGGTACCATTCCTTCGGAAACTATTCCAATCAATAGAAAAAGAGAGAATCCTCCCTAACTCATTTCATGAGAACAGCATCATCCTGATACCAAAGCCTGGCAGAGACACAACAAAAAAAGAAAATTTAAGCCAATATCCCTGATGAACATCAATGCAAAAATCCTCAATAAAATACTGGCAAACGAAATCCAGCAGCACATCAAAAAGCTTATCCACCATGATCAAGCCGGCTTCATCCCTGGGATTCAAGGCTGGTTCAACATATGCAAATCAATAAATGTAATCCATCACATAAACAGAACCAACGACAAAAACCACATGATTATCTCAATAGATGTAGAAAAGGCCTTCGACAAAAATTCAACAACCCTTCATGCTAAAAACTCTCAATAAACTATGTATTGATGACGTATTTCAAAATAATAAGAGCTATTTATGACAAACCCACAGTCAATATCATACTGAATGGGCAAAAACTGGAAGCATTCCCTTTGAAAATTGGCACAAGACAAGGTTGCCCTCTCTCACCACTCCTAGTCAACATAGTGGTGGAAGTTCTGGCCAGGGCAATCAAGCAAGAGAAAGAAATAAAGGGTATTCAATTAGGAAAAGAGGAAGTCAAATTGTCTCTGTTTGCAGATGACATGACTGTATATTTAGAAAACACCATCATCTCAGCCCAAAATCTCCTTAAGCTGATAAGCAACTTCAGCAAAGTCTCAGGACACAAAATCATTGCACAAAAATCACAAGTATTCCTATATACCAATAACAGACAAACAGAGAGCCAAATCATGAATGGACTCCCATTCACAATTACTACAAAGAAAATAAAATACCTAGGAATCCAACTTACAAGGGATGTGAAGGACCTCTTCAAGGAGAACTACAAACCACTGCTCAACAAAATAAAAGAGGACAAACAAACGGAAGAACATTCTATGCTCATGGATAGGAAGAATCAATATCGTGAAAATGGCCATACTGCCCAAGGTAATTTATAGATTCAATGCCATCCCCATCAAGCTACCAATGACTTTCTTCACAGAATTGGAAAAAACTACTTTAAAGTTCATATGGAACAAAAAAAGAGCCCACATTGCCAAGACAATCCTAAGCAAAAAGAACAAAGCTGGAGGCAGCACGCTACCTGACTTCAAACTATAGTACAAGACTACAGTAACCAAAACAGCATGGTAGTGGTACCAAAACAGATATATAGACAAATGGAACAGAACAGAGGCCGCAGAAATAACACCACACATCTACAACCATCTGATCTTTGACAAACCTGATAAAAACAAGCATGGGGAAAGGATTTCCTGTTTAATAAATGGTGCTGGGAAAACTGGCTAGCCATATGTAGAAAGCTGAAACAGGATCCCTTCCTTACACTTTATACAAAAATTAACTCAAGATGTATTAAAGACTTAAACATAAGACCTAAAACCATAAAAACCCTAGAAGAAAACCTAGGCAATACCATTCAGGACATAGGCATGGATAAATGCTTCATGACTAAAACACCAAAAGCAATGGCAACAAAAGCCAAAATAGACAAATGGGATCTAATTAAACTAAAGAGCTTCTGCACAGCAAAAGAAACTATCATCACAGTGAACAGGCAACCTACAGAATGGGGAAAAATTTTGCAATCTACCCATCTGGCAAAGGGCTAATATCCAGAAGCTACAAAGAACTTAAACAAATTTACAACAAAAAAATCAAACAACCCCATCAACAAGTGGGCGAAGGATATGAACAGACACTTCTCAAAAGAAGACATTTATGCAGCCAAAAGACATATGAAAAAATGCTCATCATCACTGGTCACCAGAGAAATGCAAATCAAAACCACAATGAGATGCCATCTCACGCCAGTTAGAATGGTGATCATTAAAAAGTCAGGAAACAACAGATGCTGGAGAGGATGTGGAGAAATAACACTTTTACACTGTTGGTGGGAGTGTAAATCAGTTCAACCATTGTGGAAGACAATGCAGCGATTCCTCAAGGATCTAGAACTAGAAATACCATTTGACCCAGCCATCCCATTACTGGGTATATACCCAAAGGATTATAAATCATGATAAGGACACATGCACATGTATGTTTATTGCGGCACTAGTCACAGTAGCAAAGACTTGGAACCAACCCAGATGTCCATCAATGATAGACTGGATTAAGAAAATGTGGCACATATACACCGTGGAATACTATGCAGCCATAAAAAAGGATGAGTTCATGTCCTTTGCAGGGACATGGATGAAGCTGGAAACCATCATTCTCAGCAAACTATCACAAGGACAGAAAACCAAACACTACATGTTCTCACTCATAAGTGGGAGTTGAACAATGAGAATACACAGACACAGGGCAGGGAACATCACACACCGAGGCCTGTGGGGGGGTTGGGGGTTAGGGAAGGGATAGCATTAGGAGAACTACCTAATGTAAATCACGAGTTGATGGGTGCAGCAAACCACCATGGCACAGGTATACCTATGTAACAAACATGCATGTTGTGCACATGTACCCCAGATCTTAAAGTATAATAAAATAAAAAATAAAAAAAATCTTCCCTACTTTTTAAACTGTATGTTGCTTTGTAGCAATACATTATGCACATTATAAAGTGTTTTAATTAGAAATTTTAGAAGATATGATAAAGAAAAATAATTTAAATAACAATTTTTATTCAAAATACAAATAATAGGGCTGGGCGCGGTGGCTGACGCCTGTAATCCTAGCACTTTGGCAGGCCGAGGCGGGCAGATCACGAGGTCAGGAGTTCAAGACCAGCCTGGCCAACATGGTGAAACCCTGTCTCTACTAAAAATACAAAAAATTAGCTGGGCGTAGTGGCGGATGCCTGTAATCCCAGCTACTCGGGAGACTAAGGCACAAGAATCGCTTGAACCCGGGAGGCGGAGGTTGCAGTGAGCCGAGATCGCACCACTGCACTCCAGCCTAGGCGACAGAGTGAGACTGTGTCTCAAAAAAGAAAAAAAAAGAAAAGAAAAGAAAAAGAAAAAAGAATATTTTGCCCTTATAACATTATTAATTATATACTTTCAAGTGAGAGCAATATGACTAATTATGCTTAATTATTTTTGAAAATGATGCTTTAACAATTTGTAATGCAGACATTTGATGGTCTGGTTCTATGTTGAGTTCATGTTGATACTTGGTCTTAAGGACAGTTAGAGCTGATAAAAATAACTTGTGCATAGACCAGGCGCGGTGGCTCACGCCTGTAATACCAGCACTTTGGGAGTCTGAGGCGGGCGGATCACGAGATCAGGAGATGGAGACCATCCTGGCTAACACGGTGAAGCCCCGTCTCTATTAAAAATACAAAAAAAATTAGCCAGGTGCGGTGGCAGGCACCTGTAGTCCCAGCTACTTGGAAGGCTGAGGCAGGAGAATGGTGTGAACCTTGCAGTGAGCCGAGATCACGCCACTGCACTACAGCCTGGGCAACAGAGCGAAACCCCGTCTCAAAAAAAAAAAAAAAAAGAAAAAAAAAAAGAAATAACTTCTGCACACATCATAACGTTCATACATAATGAATCATTGATATACTCATTAAAATGTGACTCATCCAGGAAAATCCCATCCCTAAATTATTTAAAGTTTTTGTTTTCCCTCAGCTACTATATTTCTGTTCTACCTTATGCAAACTAATGAGAAACCATTGTCCCAAGACTGGTGGCCTCCTGGCATGGTTGTGCAACAGCTGTTGTCAAACTCCAGAGTCTAAAGTGCACCACGAAAGCCAGATGGCAGGCCAGATCCAGCCTCCCTGCTAAATGAAATGTTCACTGGCCAGGGAGAAACAACCACGTGGAAAATTAAATAAACCCATGACATTTGTAGCCAGCAGCTCGGGTGTTTTGTAGGGTTTTCCCTGAGAAGTGGGGACTAATCGCATGAATCACTTTTTTTTTCTTTTTAGAGTCTTATCTATTTGTGAGTAAATGTTTCCAATTAAAGCATTGCTACTAAGCCTCAGTTTTCTCACCTCTACCATGGAGTTAAAATGTCTACTTCACACTGTCCATAAAAGAATTAAGATGGCCGGGCGCGGTGGCTCACGCCTGTAATCCCAGCACTTTGGGAGGCCGAGGCGGACGGATCACGAGGTCAGGAGATCGAGACCATCCTGGCTAACACAGTGAAACCCCGTCTCTACTAAAAATATGAAAAACTAGCCTGGCGTGGTGGTGGACGCCTGTAGTCCCAGCTACTCAGGAGGCTAAGGCAGGAGAATGGCGTGAACCCAGGAGGCGGAGCTTGCAGTGAGCCTAGATTGTGCCACTGCACTCCAGCCTGGGCGACAGAGCAAGACTCCGTCTCAAAAAAAAAAAAAAAAAAAAAAAAAAAAAAAAAAAGCCAGGCATGGTTGGTGGCTCACACCTGTAATCTCAGAACTTTGGGAAACAGGCAGGATCACTTCAGCCCAGAAGTGTGGGACCAGTCTGGGCAACATAGTGAGATCCTGTCTCTTAAAAAAAAAAGAAAAGAATCAAAATAAAACAAGAAAACAAAAACACAGAACAAGTGCATCATCATAGTGGTGACAATTTTTAGGAAACTTTTTTTGTTTTTTTCTGTGTGAACCTAACTGATCTAATAAGGGAGTGTGTGAACATTTCCATGTTGGTCCATTTTTTATGTGCCTAAATGGACAAATTCACCCAGGACCTGGCTGCTGGACTCATCCTTAGGAAGAATAAAGAAAAAGGAAGTTTATCTCTAGCATCTTTCTCTTGCCCTTGTTTTCTTCCTGGCCACAGTCATGCCCTGGATTTCAGTGTCTCTAAACATCTAGCAGCCTCTCACCCAGCATAACCCCTGTTGAGGTCCAGGGCACGATGGTGGGAGTGGGTGCAGAAGAGACAGAGAGACCACTGGTTTGAGTGTCTAGGGTTTGGGTCCTCAGGAAGAACTTGGCCCGGCGCGGTGGCTCACGCCTGTAATCCAAGCACTTCGGAGACCGAGGCGGTTGGATCACCTGAGGTCAGGAGTTTGAGACCAGCCTGGCCAACATGGTGAAACAACGTCTCTACTAAAAATACAAAAAATTAGCCAGGCGTGGTGGCAGGCACCTGTAATCCCAGCTACTCAGGAGCTTGAGGCAGGAGAATCACCTGAACTCGGGCCGCGGAGGTTGCAGTGAGCCGAGATTGCGCCAGTGCACTCCACCCTGGGCAACAAGAGTGAAACTCCGTCTCAAAAAAAGAAAAAAAAAGAAGAACTTCTTGACTTGACTCAGCAGGACTTTTTCCATGGGTCTAGAGCTAGGTGTGAAGAGAGTGAGCTCGTGGTGAGAGGAACTTGTTCATCAAAAGGAGTCCATGCCCAGTGGCAGAAGTGGAGAGGTGGGTATGGGACACACAGGGAAGCTGCTCTCTTCTGTTGTCTGTGGCTTCTGTTGGAGGATGTGCTGTGGGAATGCAAGGAGGAGATGGAAGGAAGGTGTCAATATAGCTTTAACAAAGGAAAAAAAAATGAAAACACCGAAACCACCCTTGCAAAAATTGTAACAGTGAGAAAATTATGACATTGAAAGATATCCAATCTAACCCAACTCCTTCTTGCCTTTAACCTCCAAATTGCACTTAGTCATTCCTGAGCAAAGGCCAAGCTAACTTTGGGAGAAATTTCGTTTACAGTTTAAATGATAATAGCCCTTCCCAAAACTAACCTGTCTTTGTAAAAATGATGAAAGGCCACCAGGTTAGGGAGGATGAGAGGGGCCTGAATGCAGGCTTAGATAAACAATTACCCGCCATTGTTTCAGAGGTCACAAGATTTGTAACTTCCCCAATTAGTCCTGTAAAATGATATCACTGTGGCCTTTTGAGATGTCTTTGCAGTTATTTTTTGTTTTGTTTGCTTTGAGACAAGGTCTTGCTCTGTCACCAAGGCTGGAGTGCAGTGATCATAGCTCACTGCAGTCTCTATCTCCTGGGCTCAAGTGAACCTTCCACCTCAGCCTTCCAAGTAGCTGGGACTGCAGGTGCATGCCACCATGCCTGGCCAGTTTTGTTGTTTTTTGGTTCTGGGGTGTTTTTTGCTTGTTTGTTTGTTTTGTTTTTGTATTTTTAGTAGACATGATGTCTGGCTCTGTTGTTCAGGCTGGTCTCAAACTCCTGGACTCAAGCGATCCTCCTGCCTCAGCCTCCCAAACTGCTGGGGTTACAGGCACGAGCCACCTTGCCCAGCTCAGGCTTTTCCATTTTGGAAAACCAGATGACTCCACCCAGATCCAAGACCGGTCCTATGGCCCCACTCAGAAGTGGACTCAGTGCACGAGGACCATTTTCCACATCCCTATGATTGCATCCCAATCAATCAGCAGCACCCATTCCCTAGCCACCTGCCCAGCAAACTATCTTTTTTTTTCTTTTTTTCTTGAGACTCTGTCGCCCAGGCTGTAGTGCAGTGGTGCAATCATGGCTCACAGCAGCTTCAACCTCCCTGGCCCAGCCTCCCAAGTCACTGGGACTACAGGTGTACACCACCACACCTGGCTAATTTTTAAATTTTTTGTAGAGATGGTGTCTTGCTGTGTTGTCCAGGCTGATCTCAAACTCAAGGACTCAAGCAATCCTCCTACCTCAGACTCGAAAAGTGCTGGGATTACAGGTGTAAGCTGCCATGCCCAATCCAAACTATCTTGAAAAAGCCTTCAAATTTGAGAGGAGGCTGATATAAGTAATAATAAGACTTCAGTCTCCTGTTTAACTGGCTCTATGTATATAAAACTCTTTCTCTATTGCAATTCCCCTGTCTTCATAAATTGGCTCTATCTGAGCAGCAGGCAAAATGAACCAATTGGGTGGTTACAACAGTATCAGCATATACAGTAGAATTGTAATATCCATCATATACCAACTGCAAATTAATTTTAAAAGATATATTGTTAAAAGCATATAAGTGATATAAGTAATTTACAGAAGAATAAATTCAATTGAACAATAAATATGAAATTATTTTCAACCCCTCCAGTCATATAGTAAAAGTAAATTAAAACTTTTTTTTTTTTTAGACAGAGTCTCACTCTGTCGCCCAGGGTGGAGTGCAGTGGCGCGATCTCAGCCCACCGAAACCTCTGCCTCCTGGGTTCAAGCGATTCTCCTGCCTCAGCCTCCTGAGTAGCTGGGATTACAGGCGCCCGCCACCATGCCCGGCTAATTTTTGTATTTTTAGTAGAGACGAGGTTCCACCATGTTGGCCAGGCTGGTCTCGAACTCCTGATCTCAAGTGATCCATCAACCTTGGCCTCCCAAAATGCTGGGATTACAGGCATGAGCCACTGCACCCAGCTTAAAACAATGTTTTAACCTCTTGTTGATAAGAGTGTAAACTTATCACCTTTGGGGGAAGTAATTTAGTACCTATTAATATTAAACATTTTCATAACCTTTGATTTAGCATTTCCACTTAAATTAGTGCCTTAGTTAGTTTGGGCTGCTATAACAACACCACAGCCTGGATGGCTTATAGACAACAGAGGTTTATTTTTCACAGTTCTTGGGGCTGGGAAGTTCAGGTATCAAGGCACTGGCAGTTAAGGTGCTTGGTGAAGGTCCTTTTTCTGTTCCCAGTTCACAGATGTCCCACCTTCATTTTCTTTCTTTTCCTTCTTTTTCTTTCTTTCTTTTTCTCTTTCTCTTTCTTTCTTTCTCTCTGTCTTTCTTCCTTCTTTCTTCTTTCTTTCTTTTTTTTTTTTTTTTTAACAGATGAGGGTTTTCTCTGTCACCCAGGTGGCTGGAGTGCAATGGTGTAAGCTTGGCTCACTGCAGCCTCAACCTCCTGGGCTCAACTGATCTTCCCACCTCAGCCGCCCGAGTAGCTGGGACTACAGGTGCATGCCACCAGGCCCAGCTAAATTTTTGTAATTTTGTAGAGACGAGGTCTCATTATGTTGCCCAGGCTGGTCTTGAACTCCTGGGCTGAAGCAGTCCTCCCACCTCGGCCTCCCAGATGCTGGGATTACAGACGTGAGCCACCACACCCGGCCCATCCCACCGCCTTGCTGTGGCAGGGAGAGCAATAGCCTCTCTTCATCTCTTTATAAGGGCACCAATCCCATTATGCCCCCATGACTTTATCCAAACCTCATTATAGCCCAGGCCCCACCTCCAAAGACTATCACATTGGGAATTAGAGAGCTTCAACATACAGTTTGAGGGGACTACAAACATTCCATTCATGGCAACTAGGAATTTATAGAAACACTCCCTCTAGTGTGCAAAAAAGTAAGTACAAGAATTTTTGGGGTTTTTTTGTTTTTTGTTTTGTTTTGTTTTGTTTTGTTTTCTGAGACAGGGTCTTGCTGTCACCCAGGCATGGTACAGTAGCATAATCACAGCTCATTGAAGCCTCAACTTCCCAGGCTCAAGCAATCCTCCCCGCTCAGCTTCCCGAATAGCTAGGACTATAGGCATACACCACCACACCCAGCTAATTTTTTTTTTTTTTTTTTGAGATGGAGTCTCGCTCTGTCACCCAGGCTGGAGTGCAATGGCACGATCTCAGCTCATGGCAACCTCCGCCTCCTGGATTCAAGCAGTTCTCCTGCCTCAGCCTCCTGAGTAGCTGGGACTACAGGCGCATGCCACCACACCCAGCTAATTTTCATACTTTTAGAAGAGACAGGGTTTCACCATGTTGGCCAGGCTGGTCTCGAACTCCTGACCTCGTGATCCACCTGCCTCAGCCTCCCAAAGTGCTGGGATTACAGGTGTGAGCCACCGCGCCCAGCCTAATTTTTGTATTTTTTGTAGAGATAGGGTTTCACCATGTTGCCCAGGCTGGTTTCCAATATCTGGGTTCAAGCAATCTGCCCGCCTCAGCCTCCCAAAGTGCTGGGATTAGAGATGTGAGCCACGGCACCCACCCAAGAATGTTTTTTTGAGGCATTATGTCTACTAGTGAATAATGGGGGGGGGCCGTGGGGGGAGTACCAGAATAGTTAAAGTAGGCTGTGTATATACAATGAAATATCACAGTATCATTTTGTAAAGATCTATATGTATTGACATGGGAAAATGAGCACATCATAAATAAATAATAAAAGTTGCAGAACAATATAAACTGGAAGAAACATTTTTTTCAATCTTCCCCTCCATCCATCTTTGCTGATATATAAACAGGAAAAAGTTGGGGGAGAGAATACAGGAACACGGAACAAACAGTAAACAATGGTTATCTCATAGACGTGATTGGCGGCATTTTTGGTTTTGGTTTTCTTTTTGAGACAGAGTTTCGCTCTCTCACCCAGGCTGGAGTGAAGTGGCACGTTTTTGGCTCCCTGCAACCTCCGCCCCCCAGGTTCAAGCGATTCTCCTGCCTCAGCCTCCTAAGTAGCTGGGATTATAGGCACCTGCCACCATGCCGGGCTAATTTTTGTGTGTGTGTGTTTTTTTCAGTAGAGACGGAGTTTCACTATGTTGGCCAGGCTGGTCTTGAACTCCTGACCTCAGGTGATCTGCCCGCCTCGGCCTCCCAAAGTGCTACGATTACGGGCATGAGCCACTGCACCCTGCCATAGAGGGCATTTTTGCTTTCTGAGTTAGTCAGGGTTCTCCAGAGAAATAGAATATACATACATACGTACATACATACATACTTGCAGAGAGAGAAAGAGAGAGTGTGACTTATTTTAAGGAATTAGTTCACAAAATTGTGGAGGCTTGGTGAGTCCAAAGTCTGATAGGAGAGCCCAGCAGGCTGGAGACACAGGAAAGAGTTGCAGTTCAAGTCCAAAGGTGGTGTGCTGGAAACTTCTGACCAGAACAAAAGAGAGAGGACAGCCTTTTGTTCTAACCAGGTCTTCAACTGATTGGATGAAGCCCACCCTCATTACATTTAAAGTTCACCAATTTAAATGTAAATCTCATCCAAAAACACCTTCACAGAAACATCCAGAATAATGTTTGACTAAATATCTGGACACCATGGCCCAGACAAGTTGACACATAAAATTAAACATCGTAATGAGATCTGCTGCTATCTATGAATTTATGTTTCTAGTGTATTTGTAAGGTACATGGATCATTCCTTTATTTCTCTCTCTATATATATAGATATATATATACTTTTTATAATCATAAATATGTGTATGCATGCATATGTATGTATAAGAAAATATATATACATATAGACATAAAATTATGCATTTGTGCTAGGTACTTGTGATGGTTAATTTTATTTGTCAACTTGGCTAAGCCATGGTATTCAGATATTTGGTCAAACATTGTGGATGGTTTTGTGAGGGTATTTTGGATGTTTCAAATTGGTGCATTTTGAATAAAGCAGACTGCCCTCCACAATGTGAGTGGGCCTCATCCAATCATTCAAAGGCCTAAGACAAAAAGACTGAGGTCCCTGAGGAAGAGGGAATTCTGCCTCCACACCGCCTTTGGACCTGAGCTGTAACATCAACTCTTTGCTGCTGGCCTGCCTGCTCTGCAGATTTTGGATTTGCCAACCCCTATGATAGCATGAAACAGTTCTTTCATCTGATTGGTTCTAACTCTCTGGAACACCCTAACTAATACAGTGCTGTTATAGGTACTGAGAATAGAGTGATCAACAGGGAAGAAAACGTGCTGTCTTGGGGCCTTGCTGGCGGGTGGATGGTAGACACTCAATTGTGTGAGGCTCATTGGCCATAGAGGAACTCATGCAGGAGAAACTCACCTTGCCTAGGTTGAAAGGAGGGGAATCAGGCACATATTCCCCTCTGAGGAATATGTCAGCAGAGACTGGATGTGGCAAGACTACAGGTGGCGGGTAGGTGGGACAGAGTATTCCAGACCAGGGAACAAAAAGGGATAAAAGTCTTGGGGTGGAAAGGACATGTTTGAGAAACAGAAATAAGACCAGGTGCTGGGACCAGGAGTCCTACACTCATCACACTCAGTTACTCATGGGGTGACTTCAGAAGCCCTAAAAGATTTTGTTTCCCAATTTTTTTTTTTTTTTTGACAAGATCTTGCTCTGTTGCCCAGGCTAGAGTGCAGTGGCACGATCATAGCTCACAGCAGCCTCAATCTCTCGGGCTCAAGTGATCCACCCACCTCAGCCTCCTGAGTAGCTGGGACTACAGATGAATGCATCATGCCCAGCCGATTTCTTTTGTTTGTTTGAGATGGAGTCTCGCTCTGTCACCCCGAGTGGAGTGCAGTGGCATAATCTTGGCTCACTGCAACCTCCACTTCCCAAGTTCAAGCTATTCTCCTGCCTCAGCCTCCCTAGTAGCTGGGATTACAGATGCCCACCACCACACCCAGCTAATTTTTGTATTTTGAGTAGGGACGGGGTTTTGCCATGTTGGCCAGGCTGGTCTCGAACTACTGACCTCAAGTGATAACGCCCGCCTCAGCCTCCCAAAATGCTGGGATTACAGGCATGAGCCACTGTGCCTGGCCCAATGCAATTTTAAGATGATTTTATGTATATTGTAGGAGAGAAAAATAGGTAAATATATTAAGAGTATTAAGAGCCAAGGCTTTCGATTGCCCTGATAAAAGATATACAAATACAAAGTCCAAGAAGAGGGAAAAACCTATAATGTACAATTTGAATTGGAAATACCAATATGAATTCATGATTTTTTTTAAACCCTAAATGTGACTTAAAGCGATGACACCTCTGTAGCAACGAGCTCTCCCAGCACTAAAGACCATTCCTCACTAAAACGAATCAATGTTCCTTAGAAAGATGGCTGATTTTGGCCGGGTGCAGTGGCTCACGCCTGTAATCCCAGCACTTTGGGAGGCCGAGGCGGGCAGATCACAAGGTCAGGAGATCGAGACCATCCTGGCGAACACAGTGAGACCCTGTCTCTACTAAAAATACAAAAAAGTAGACAGGCATGGTGGTGGGCACCTGTAGTCCCAGCTACTTGGGAGGCTGAGGCAGGAGAATGGCATGAACCTGGGGACAGAGCTTGCAGTGCGCTGAGATCACGCCACTGCATTCCAGCCTGGGCGACAGAGCAAGACTCGGCCTCAAAAAAAAAAAAAAAAAAAAAAAAAGATGGCTGATTTTGGCCAAGTGCAGTGGCTCATGCCTGTAATCCCAGCAATTTGGGAGGCTAAAGGCAGGCAGATGCAGATCACTTGAGGCCAAGAGTTTGAGACCAGCCTGGCCAACATAATGAAACCCCATCTCTACTAAAAGTACAAAAATTAGCCAGGCGTAGTGGCAATGCCTATAATCCCAGTTACTCAGGAGGCTGAGGTGGGAGGATCACTTGAACTCTGGAGGCAGAGGTTGCAGTGAGCTGAGATCATGCCACTACACTTCAGCCTGGGTGACAGAGTGAGACTCTGTCTCAAGAAAAAAAAAGGAA
The DNA here is from genome assembly GCF_000001405.40 of Homo sapiens. Classification (NCBI taxonomy): domain Eukaryota; kingdom Metazoa; phylum Chordata; class Mammalia; order Primates; family Hominidae; genus Homo; species Homo sapiens. Next base: position 1,791,867 of record NT_167248.2, read on the forward strand.
AGAAAGAAAGAAAAAAGAAAAAGAAAAATGGCTGATTCCACATCTGGAGCTGGGAAAGTAAAAAAAAATTGTGCCTGGGACATCTAGTTGTGTCAAAAGCAAGCAAGTGCTCACAGAACTTTTGGGGTATGTCAGAATGGATGTAGGAGTTAGCTTAAAAGGGCTCCCACTGGGGCCCTCTCCCAATCTAGATCATTCTGGCCAATAAGGTGAAACCCCGTCTGTACTAAAAATACAAAAATTAGCTGGCCATGGTGGCATGCACCTGTAGTCCCAGCTACTCAGGAGGCTGAGGCAGGAGAATTGCTTGAACCCAGGAGGCAGAGGTTGCAGTGAGCCGAGATCGTACCACTGCACTCCAGCCTGGTGACAGAGTGAGACTCCATCTCAAATTAAAAAAAAAAAAAAAGGCTCCCACTGGACACATAAGGTACAGTTCGAGCACAAAAAAATAATGACTGTAACCAATTGTGAAATATTAAATGGATACCTGGCATGGTGTAGTCCCAGCACTTTGAGGCCAAGGCAGGTGGATCACTTGATCTCAGGCAACATGGCAAAACCCCATCTCTACAAAAAATACAAAAATCATCTGGGTGTGGTGGCATGCACCTGTGGTCCCAGCTACTCAGGAGGCTGAGGTAGGAGGATCACTTGAGCCTGGCAGGTTGAGGCTGCAGTGAGTGGTAATTGCGCCACTGCACTCCAGCCTGGGCAACAGACCGTGATGCTGTCTCAAAAAATAAAAGAAATACTGAATGGATAAAAACCCTAAATCTATAGTTTAAAAAAAGAAAAAAAATAAATTTTCTACCTTTGGAGATTAATATCATACCAATACCTTATTCTGAAAACTGGTAAAGGGAAATAAGCATTTACCTTGCCTTTTAGAAGGACCCTACTTTGGCCGGGCGCTGTGGCTCATGTCTGTAATCCCAGCACTTTGGGAGGCTGAGGCAGGTGGATCACTTGAGGTCAGGAGTTTGAGAAGGACCCTACTTTTTCCAGTTGGTGAGAGAAAGCTCCTTCCTAGGTAATTATGCCCTTATAAATGTAGAAGTGGGAGAATTAGAAAAGCACCTTTTGTAATTTCTGATGAAATAACCAATTCAAGCAAGAATCACTGTAGATGGCGATAAGAGAAAGTTTTTCAGCGTATACACACAGTGTCAAAGAACCATGCAGACGACTTGCTAATTGCCAAGAGGGAAACATAACCTTTACAGAAAAGATCTGACCGTGTCCATCCTAACCAAGCAATCATACTTAGCATCACTGCTTGTGGGATGGCTTCATATCATATGCCTTCTGATGTGAGGCAATGTGACATATATAGCAAGTTTGAGGAATTAGTCCCAAGACTGGGTAACCTGAATCTAACCAAGTAATTGGGGGAAAACCCCTCAAAACTCAGGGAGACAGATGAACACATTAAGTGACATCAAAGAAACAGTAAGACAAATCTAGAATGTTGAACAGTCTAAAAGACAACTGCCCTAGTATCCTCAAAGATCCAATTCCAAGAAGAAAAAAACTGGATGATTGTAGATTAAAAAGAAAGGGGTGAGAAAAGGACATAAAAAAATGCAATGTTGAAACTTGATTGGTTCCTGTTCTGGGAGTTTTTTAAAAGCTATATATTAAAACATCATGCTATACACCATAAATCTATACAATTTTTATTTGGTAATTATACTTAGGAAAAATTAAATGCTATAAAAGGCATTCAAATTGGAGAAGTTTAATGCTAGATGACATTAAAAATTATTAACTCATTAAACATGATGATTCTATTATGATTGTGTAAGAGATGTATATGACGTATTTAGGGGTGAATGGTCATGATGTCTGCAAGTTTCTTTTTTTTTGAGATGGAGTTTTGCTCTGTCACCCAGGCTAGAGTGCAGTGGCACTATCTTGGCTCACTGCAACCTCCACCTCCCAGGTTTGAGCAATTTTCCCACCTCAGCGTCCTGAGTAGCTGGGATCATAGGCATGTACCACCATGCCCGGCTAATTTTTTGTATTTTTAGTAGAGACGGGGTTTCACCATGTTGGCCAGGCTGGTCTCCAACTCCTGGCCTCAGGTGATCCGCCTACCTCGGCCTCCCAAAGTACTGGGATTACAGGTATGAGCCACCATGCCCAGCCGATGTCTCCAACTTTCAAATGGTTCAGGGCTGGGTGCAGTGCAATCCCAGCACTTTGGGAGGCCGAAGGAGGCGGATCACCTGAGGTCAGGAGTTTGAGGCCACCTTGGCCAACGTGGTGTAATCTCGTCTCCACTAAAAATACAAAAATTAGCCAGGCATGGTGGTGCACACCTGTAGTCCCAGCTAATGGGGAGGCTGAGGCAAGAGAATCACTTGAACCCGGGAGGCAGAGGTTGCAGTGAACCAAGATTGCACCACTGCACTCCAACCTGGGTGACAGAGCAAAACTCCATCTCAAAAAGAAAAAAAAAAGTTCAAATGGTTGAGAAAAGACAACACTTGTATACTGTTGGTAGGAATGTAAATTAGTACAGCTATTATGGAAAACTGTATGGCGGTTCCTCAAAAAACTAAAAATAGAATTACCATATGGGGCTGGGCACAGTGGCTCACACCTCTAATCCCATCATTTTGGGAGGCCGAGGTGAGCGGATCACCTGAAGTCGGGAGCTCGAGACCAGCCTGGCCAATATGGTGAAACCCCATTTCTACTAAAAATACAAAAATTAGTTGGGCGTGGTGGTGGGCGCCTGTAATCCCAGCTACTTGAGAGGCTGAGGCAGGAGAACCGCTTGAACCCGGGAGGCGGAGGTTGCAGTGAGCTGAGACCGTGCCATCGCACTCCAGCCTGGGCAACAAGAGTGAAACTCCATCTCAAAAAAAAAAAAAAGAATTACCATATGATCCAGCAATCTTGCGTCTGGGTATTTACTAAAGAGATTTGAAATCAGTATGTCGAGGAGATACCTGCACTCTCATGTTCGCTGCAGCACTATTAACCACAGTGAAGTTACATAGTCAAACCGAGTGTTCATCAGCAGATGAATGGATAAAGAAAATATGGTATATAGGCCGGGCGCAGTGGCTCAAGCCTGTAATCCCAGCACTTTGGGAGGTCGAGGCAGGCGGATCACGAGGTCAGGATATCGAGAGCATCCTGGCTAACACGGTGAAACCCCATCTCTACTAAAAGTACAAAAGAATTAGCTGGGCGTGGTGGCAGGCGCCTGTAGTCCCAGCTACTCTGGAGGCTGAGGCAGGAGAATCACTTCAACCTGGGAGGCGGAGTTTGCAGTGAGCTGAGATTGCACCAGTGCACTCCAACCTGGGTGACAGAGCAAGACTCCGTCTCAAAAAAAAAAAAAAAAAAGAAAGAAAGAAAGAAAATATGGTATATATACCGTGGAATGCTATTCAGCCTTTAAAAAGAAATTTTGTCATTTGAGACAGCGTTAATGGAATTGGAGAACATTATGCTGAGTGAAGTAAGCCAGGCACAGAAAGACAAATACTGTATGTTCTCACTTATAAGTGGAATCTAAAACAATCGAACTTAAAGGAGGAGAGAGCAGAATAGTAGTTACCAGAGGCTGGGGGTCTGGGGTAAATGGGGATATGATGGTTAAAGGTTACAAAGCTTCATTGGACTGGAAAAATAAGCTTTTCTTTTTCTTTGAGATATACTGCACAGCAAAGTGAATATAGTAAATAATTCTTGGACATTTCATAAGTGTTGAGGGTAAATATCTTTTTTACATTTTTAACATATTCCCTCCTCTGAATGTAGAGAGTAAATTTCAAACATTCTCACCACAAAAAAAGTAAGTATTTAAAAGTGATAGATGTTGGGCCGGGTGCAGTGGCTCACGTCTGTAATCCCAGCACTTTGGGAGGTGGAGGTGGGTGGATCACCTGAGGTCAGGAGTTGGAGACCAGCCTGGCCAACATGGTGAAACCCCGTCTCTACTAAAAATACAAAAAATTAGCCGGGCATGGTGGCGGACGCCTGTAATGCCAGCTACTCGGGAGGCTGAGGCAGAAGAATCACTTGAACCCGGGAGGCGGAAGTTGCAGTGAGCCGAGATTGCACCACTGCACTCCAGCCTGGGCAACAAGAGTGAAACTCCATCTCAAAAAAAAAAAAAGTGATAGATGTTAATTTGCTTGATTTAATCATCCCACAGTGTATTCATGAATCATAACATCACTTTGTACGCCATAAATATATACAACTATAATTTGCCAATTTACAATTAAAGGTTAAAATTTTTAAAAATAAAAGGTAATGACAACAAAAAAAATGGATAAGTAGACAGAAAAATCGATTAATACAGAAGCTGGCAAAAACTAGTAAAGCAAATATGGCAAAATGTAGAATTTGTTGAATCTTTCAGTATTTGGGTGTTTATTGTTCTTTTTCTATGTTAGAAATTTTTCAAAATAAAAAGTTGCAAATGATTTCCATATTATTCTGATTTTTACACAGTAACAGAAAACATTCCTGGCTGCAGCTCATTAATATTTCTTCTTTGTTCTCCTGAGGAATCAAAAGATTCTCATTTATGATATGTCAAAAGGCACATAAAGAAACATATCCAAACTTTGTTGTCTCTTCATTCAAGTTTGGCTTTAATATTTTATTAAAAATTTTTGTATTTGTAAATATTAAAACACTGAAACTTGCTACTGACACAAGAACGACAATGCACTAACAATAAAATCAAAGTAGAAGCTAAACTATTCAGAAGCAGTAGCAACTCCATGATTCCAAGGTAATTTAAACAGGCAATTTCAGAGTGCTTCAAGATGAAGGCGCAAAGCAGCCTCTCAGCCTGCAGTGATGCTACGACACCGGCAGATGGCGCTGCAAAGCTTCTCAAATGCAGCGGGAAGTCCATTTACCAACGGCTGTTGCGATCTCTTAATTAGCTTGAACTGAGTTTGTATTAGAATTTATAATTTTTACTGCATATTGCAGTTACTCGTATATTACTGACACTGGAACAGACATGTTTTAACAAACTGGTTGAGCCGTATCAGTGCGAACCAGCTGAATGTCAGCGCTGTTCCCTCCTGTGACAGAAGCCACCGGCGCCTGCCTGAGGGCACTCCCCTCACTGGGACTCTCAGTACCACGCCCACCTGTCCCCAAGGTTTGTTTCATCACTAAGCCCCACCTTCCAGCATTTTCACCTTTCTCCTTCACTTGATCCTTCTTCCTAACATCGTGTTAACACACTCCAAACTAAAAAAGTTCCTCAACTGCATATACTCTGCTCCCTCCATTTTTTTCTTTCATTGCAATCACTGCCAAACATTTTGAAAATTCTCTCCTCACCTCCACTGCCTTTACGCTTTTCCTCCAAATTATTCCTTAACCCTCTGACATCTGGGGCTTCTGATTCCACCTCTCCAAAGAAATGCTCCCACCAAGACCATGGAGGCCCCTCTCGTTGCTGGTGGATACTCGTTCATTTTCCCCGCCACCACCCATCAGCAGCGTTCCACGCCGCCCTTCCTTCCTTCCTTCCTCCCCTAGCTTCATCACACCACGTTACTAGGTTTTTCCTGTCTCACTGGCTCCTTTCCCTGCTCTCCTTTTTATATGTTTCCTGCTTTCTTCCTCAGCCTTCTCTGCTCCCCACACCTATATGTTGATGATGCCCAAATCTCTGTCTCCAGCCACGACCTCTCTTTCCCCAAGCTCCATTTGCATAAACTGTCTCTGATGAGATTTAGGGCGCTTACGGTGGTATGGCTGTAGACAACTGTCTCAGGAAACAGACCCATGACCCACCCAGTTGCCAAGTCAGAAACAGGATGTATACTCTTGACTTGTCTCTCTCCCCTACACAGCAAAACAATCCCAAGACATGTCAATTCTATCTCCTGAGCAACCCATAAAACGATTTCTCTTCTTTCCATCTTCCATTACCCTAATTCTGGTGTTCATTCTCTCTCCCTGGGATGGCTGTAAAAGCCTCTGATTTCTCCCCTTTCCAAACCAGTCTCCACACTGCAACCATAGTGATCTAAGGCACAATTCTCACCTTTTCAGTCTTAGGCTTAAAGTTCAACATCCCTCTGGATACAGTCTAAATCTTTAACACGGCTGAAAAGGCCCAGCAAGAGCTGGACCAAGCCCACCTCTCCAGCTTCACCTTTCCTCATTTCTCCTTTGCACCCTCTGCCTCTGAACAAGTTACAGTCTTCCAAAGTTGTCATGTTTCTTGACCTTTGCTGTCTCCTCTGCCCAGAATGCAATTTCCCTGTCTGGCTAACTCCTGTCCAGCATTTGGCCTCAGCATGGACATCTGTTCCTCTAGGACGCTTCCCCTGATTCACCAAGACCAGCTTAACTGCCCCTACTGGCTGTTCCTATAGCAATTCTTTACCACAGACTACTGATTTTTTGTGTTTGTTTTGTTTTGGCAGTCTGACATAACTTTATACTAATGCAGCTTCTAGCCCTGTCCCCCACTCCTTCCTGATCAGTATCCCAATGTCCCTCCTATATGGAGCCACCACTACCCCACAGGATCCTGTACCACCCTTCTCCCAGAACTTATCACACTTTTTTTTTGTAATTGTGTTTCCATTCTCCAATAAATTGTGAGTGCCACAAAGAACCATTTCTATCTCACTTACCACTTGGAAGTGACTGGCAGGTAGTAATTGCTCAACAAATGTTCTATGAGTGAATGAATCCTTGGGATAATTATAGTACTAACCATCTTATTTAGTTATGACAGTTCAATAGAAACACGTAAAATAATGCTTTTATAGTTTACATACTGCTATAGAGCTATTGTATTATATTATTATTATTCTATTCCTACCCTCTATTGCTTGAGAGTAGGATATTGCCTTATTCAATTTTGGTTATTGTCCCAGAACTCAGGGATATATGTCTGGCATATATTGTTTTTAACCAATTTTTGTTGACTGTATCAATGATTGTAAGAAGTGAACAAAGGGCCAGATAATTGAACTATCCTGGACCACACACAGCTACCCTGTTCCAGAAGCAGGACTATAATCCCATCTGGAAAAAGGGAAACTTGGAAGTTGACATCTAAATGAAATTCCAGCATGGATGAGAGAAGCCCTGATTTCTCTCCATCAAGAGACTAGCCAGCTATGGAAGCCACCAGAGCCCCAGACCTCCATGGTCAAGTATTCACATAGTAGACATGACCCAGACAAGAGGGTGCGTATTTCAGCGTGGAGGGGAGACTGGGCCCTTGGTTTCCTGTGTCTTTGTAGTCAGTTCTAACCTCAGCCTCAGGCACTGGTGTTGGGGCCCTATTCATCCTCATCTGCACGTCCCTCAGTTCTTTTCCTGTTGCTATTATCCTATAGAGTCAGCAAGTCATGGAAGAGGTTTTACAGTCTAACCCTGTGGGGGTGTCAGGAGTTGCCTCCTGCCAGGTCTTCAGCATAAAAATCCCCCCTCCTCAGCTCCCAGTCAATTCTTCATCCCCACCCCTAGACTCTCCCAAATACCCCTGATGAAACCCCTGAGGTGGAAAAAGATAAAGACAAGCAAAGATAAACAGCACAGGAAGCAGAGGTACAAATAGAATTCTGATTTTTCTCCTTTCTCTCCACATTTTGAGGAAATGAATCCAATGTCCTCACCCCACCTCCTGCAGCGGAGAAGTCCCCTGAGCATCTCTGAACATCATGAACCCTCAAAGTAAGCTTAGCTTGGGCCCCTTTTCCTTTTCTATCAGTGAGGCCAAAGAGCCCCAGATGGGAGACAGGTGGATTTTTCTCTCAGCTGGGACCTTTTCTCTTTCTTGTCTAGCACATTTTGGGAAACCTTCAAGTACATTCTCATGCTGGTATTATTTAAACTTTGCACTGGAGTGAATTCCAGGAGTTATGTCCACACTGAGACCAATGGAGATGAACCTAAAGCAATATGTGGCCAAACACCTTAGCCTCTTTAAATATACTTTCCTTTGCTCCTTGGTTAACAGGGTCTGTCTGCTCGCATTAGAGAAACTGCCCAGTGACTCAGATCCTGAAAGGATCTGCTTTAGAGAAAAAAGGAGTCTGGTACTTCTCACTCCATCTAGTGGGCAACCTGTCCAACTACACTTTTTGCTATCATCCAATACAGACAACACTGGCAGTCAATAAAAAAGCTCATTCTCCCATTTCTAAAAGAATTCAATCTAGGAGTCTAGCTGCTGGCTTAACAAAGGGATATACAGCAAAGCCTAAGGTGCCCTGACTCACGAGAGAGCTGATTTCTGCCGAAATGCTGAGGTGAAACCCTAAAATGGTTCTGGCCACCTGCTAGGTTCTAGCTCAGACCCTGCACTGGATCATCTTTGTTCCACCCCCAAACCAGAGTAAATGGAATTCAGGAGGCTGGTTCTGTGCCCGCCCCTATGTACCTCAAATACTCGTAGCTGCCAAGCTTTTAAACAATGAAACTTAACACTGTACTTAAAGGGCTGTTCTGCTCAAATCATAAATGTGCACGCTAGTTGTTCACCAGTAATTAAAACTACTCGTACACATTTAATCAACATTTTCACAAGCGTTTTGCCTTAACTAAAAATTTGTATCAACATGAAGTCCTAGAATTATACTGCATGAGCCCCCAGGATTTGGAGAACATCATTCACCCTTCTTAATCCAAAAACTTGGGTGCCTGAAGGTGGGGTTTTGATCATGGCCAGGCTTCAAATTTAGGTCAGGCTCTGGTGGTACATCCTTATATGCTTGGTGCTCAGCACAGGTCAAGACACACAATAGACCCTCAATAAATATTTGCTGAATTTGAACAATTCCTGTAAAAATCTCATTAAGAGACATCAGCTTGGGACACAGTTCCTCTCTTACTGTTCCTTCTCCCAGAAGCTCCTGGAATGAGCAGGTCTGGCGGCAGGGGGCACACAGGGCTGCTGCTCAAATCGGAGAATGGCACAAACTCCAAAAGGGAGCTGGATTTAGACCTCCCCTCCCCATGTAGATAACGGGATTCCTAAGGTGCAGAGTGGGAGAATGGGTAGAGGAAGCAGGTTTCAGAGACTGAGAACCTACTAAACTCCTAAGAGAACTTTCCCTTGCAAAGAGAATGCATGAAAAAAGAAGGGAGAAGAGGAGAGAAGCCTCCCACAGCTGTTAGCCTGGAACAGCCGCTCTCACCTCAGTTCATCTGGGGAAGGGGCTACAAAGCAAACAATCTTTATTCACAATTGGGGTGGCAGAGGGGAGATACCCCCAGGTCAGTCCAAAAGCAAAGATACTGGGAGGGAAGATGGCGCTGGGCGAGGAACTCAGCACTCATCCTCACCCAGCAGGGCATAAGGGTTTCGGCCAGCCAGGCTGGACCCTGGAGCCGAGGTTGGGGTCTCCTCATCCCCTTCTCCCTCCTCATCCGCATCCCGGTCCTCCTCTCCCTCCTCCTCACAGGAGCTGCTCAGCTCTTCCTCTTCCTCCTCCTCCTCGTCACCTGCTGGCCCCACCCTGCCCTGCAAAACCACCAGCTCCGTGGTCTCTGGATGGGACTCCCAGGTGCCTGGGGAACCAAAACAAGAAAAAAATGGAGGAGAGTTTTGAGCAAGAACTAAAGCCAAGGAAAGATGGGGAAGAGGCAAAGACTAGGAATAACAATAATCTTTAGAGCTGCTGGCATTCATTCATTCATCCATTCATTCAACTTCCTATGTGCAGATTGCTGAACAGAACCTTTGTGCACATCAACTTCAATCTTTACAATCACTATGCTAAGGGTCAATTATTACCCTCAGTTTGCAGATCAGGAAAATATCACAGATGTTAAGTAACAGAGCTAGCCAACAGGTACAGAATCCAGGTTTGACCCTCTCTCTGGCCACAAAGCCCACACCCTTTTACCTACGCTATAGCAGGGGGCTGGGGAAGAATATCTGGGCTCTGACCTTTCTGTTCACTGTAGCCTGGGGGATGAAAACACAGGCTGAGGCGGCCGTCCACTGCCAGCCGCAAGAGACTGTTGGCTGCTCTGTACACATCATTCCGAGCCGCCTTGGCTGTCTTGTAACCACGTTTCTCTGCCCAGGCTGGAGGAAGAAAAGAATAATGGAAAGGGAAAGCATTAACCAGGTACCAGTTATACTCCCACTCCCATAACACAGTCCTTCCAGTTTTCCCCAAAACATTCCAGGCCAGAGATCTTACTGGCTATGCAACAAAAATCTAGGGGTGAGTGGACAGCAGCTTCATCAATGGCAGAATCTCTGAGGAGAGGAAAGGAGACAGGGAAGGGTAAAAGGCGAGGCAGGTAAGGAAGAGCAGCTGAAACCAGGTGGGGCGAAGCCAGGCACATGGAACTCACCTTCACAGATGTCCCAGGCACACCAGGGGTGTTCCGCTGAGGGGTCCTCAGCCTCTGGGTGGCGCAGGTGGAGCAGGGCCTGCACGGGAATTCGGGAGGCCAGGTAGCCCACAGCAGTGTAGGGCTCCTGGATCTGGGCGATAGGGTAGATCCCTGCCAGAACCTGAGGGAAATGAGCACTCAGTACTTTCCTCAATGTCCCACCTTCTCTCTTTCCCTTACCCACCCTCCCCGTCATACCTGCAACTGCCTAGGCAGAAGAGATGGGAAGATGAGGCCTGGGCAGTCACAGAGCTTCACAGAGGGGGTAAGAAAGTAGGTCTGAAAGTATCGGGTATGGCCCGGGGTTCTGGAGACACTCACGACTTTCCGCCCCACCAGCCCATTGATCAGCGAGGACTTTCCCACATTAGGGAAACCTGAGGAAGGCAAGGAAAATTAACGTTTAACAGGTTTCTACTCTGTGATGGGACTTGGTGCTATACCTATAGGTAAAAGGGGAACTAAGGCTCAGAAATTAAGGAAATGGTATTGCAGAATACAAATCACGCTCTGGGCTGCCAGGGTTAAATCCTGGCCCTTCCACTTACCAGCTTTGTGATGTCAGGGCAACTAACTTTCTGAGCCTCTGTTTCTTCATTTTACAGTGTGGACACCTCCCTACCTCAGGGTGGTCAGGATTAAATGAGATAACCAATACAACTTGTGTGGGTCAGTGCCTGCAGTACAGTAAGTACCCAGTACCAGTGATCCACATCTCATAATTACTATGACTTGGCCTGGCACAGTGGCTCACGCTTGTAATCCCAGCGTGATTACTTTGGGAGGCCAAGGCGGGTGGATCACCTGAGGTCAGGACTTCAAGACCAGCCTGGCCAACATGGTGAAACCCCATCTCTACTAAAAATACAAAAATTAGCTGGGCGTGGTGGTGGGCGCCTGTAATTGCAGCTACTTGGGAGGCTGAGGCAGGAGAACCACTTGAACCCAGGAGGCGGAGGTTGCAGTGAGCTGAGATTGCACCATTGCACTCCAGCCTGGGCAATAAGAGGGAAACTCCATCTCAAAAAATAATAATAATAATTACGATGACTTGTCCAAGGAGAAAACTGGAAGCCTTGGGGCTCACTGCCACTCTGCTCACTCACCACCACCAGTTTTTGTGTTTCTGGCTGACTTCAGTGCCTTCATCTCCCTTCCACAGAGCATCTCCTTTACCCCACCTCAGCTGCCCACTCCCATGGTAATACCTGCATCTTGTCACTTCACAGCTCCAAAGCCTCAATTCCAAGCACCCCTCTCTGCCCTGACAACTCATCTTTCCAGCTCACTTACTCTGGTTACTCCATGCCAGTAAGTCTTTGACCCCTGACCTTAACACAGTAACACTATGCAATACCCAACTCGTGTCCTCAATTTCCTTCTTACTTGACTCAGATTTCATGATCCAGCTCCTCAGCCAGGGCCGTTCACAGACCTGGAACTCCCTGGTCCCACTTCTCCCCTCTATCTTACTCACCTGGCAAAATCCCAACCCTGTAAAATCCAGCTCTGCCCATTCAGCACTGCCCCTGGGCAGCTGACTGTGGCTAAGAAAAGATGTACCACTGTGCTCACTCTTTACAACACATGCAAGTATCTAGGAGGAAGGGAGGGAAGGAGGGAGAAAAAAGTTCTCCTTTGACGACCACCACCAGACCTAGTTCTCTGTCCGCTTTGCAGGAAAACTCCTTAAAAGACTTACCTACTTTTTTCACCATTTCTTCCTGCTATCTTCTTTGTAACTGTAAACTACAACATACAAAAAAATGCACAGAACATACATGTGCAGCCTGATGAACCCCATACCACCCAATGTGTGACAACATGTTCCATCTGTCCTTGTTTTTTTTTGTTTTTGTTTTTGAGACAGAGTCTCACTCCCTCACCCGGGCTGGAGTGCAGTGGTGCGATGTTGGCTCACTACAACCTCATCCTCCCAGGTTCAAGCGATTCTCGTGCCTCAACCTCCTGAGTAGCTGAGACCACAGGCGTGCGGCTCCACACCTGGCTAACTTTTTGTATTTTTAGTAGAGATAGGGTTTTGCCATGTTGGCCAGGCTGGTCTCAAACTCCTGACCTCAAGTAATGCGCCTGCCTCAGCCTCCCAAAGTGCTAGGATTACAGGGATGAGCCACCATACCGGCCGCCACTCATCCTTCTTGATCATAATCCTCTCCCTCTATACATGCAAGCTTTATCCTTTTAAGGAAATCAACTCCTTACATTTCTCTTTAGTTTATGACCTGTGTATCTCTCAACAATGCAGCTTAATTTTGCAGCTTTCAAACTTGATAGAACTGAAATTGTGCAGTATGGATGCTATTGGGTCAGACTCTTTTCACACAATGTTATGTGAAGTTGTTGCACCTTCTCTCATGGGCCTACTCCAGTTTGGCTTTCTCCACCCCACTGAAACCACGGATCTTCACATTGCCAAGCCTGCTGAGCAGCTCTCTGTTCTCTCATTTGGCCTGTCAGCAACAGTTGACACAGCTGATTCCTCCTTTCCTCTTCAAACACCTTCTTCATTTGACTTCTGGGACGCTCCCTTGGTTTTCCTCCTTCTCACTGTCCTTTGCCCAACTAAATGCTGGCTTGTCCTAAGGCTCAGTCCTTGACCTCCTCTTCTCCAACTATTTCCTTTCTCTCCTACATCTCATCCAATTCCATGGCTTTTTTTTTTTTTTTTTTGACGAAGTCTTGCTCTGTCACCCAGGCTGGAGTGCAGTGGTATGATCTTGGCTCACCGTAACCTCCGCCTCCAGGATTCAAGCAATTCTCCTGCCTCACCCTCCTGAGTATCTGGGACTACAGGCACGCACCACCACACACGGCTAATTTTCTGTATTTTTTGGTAGAGACAGGGTTTCACCATGTTGGCCAGGCTGGTCTCAAACTCCTGGCCTCAAGTGATCCACCTGCCTCAGCCTCCCAAAGGGCTGGGATTATAGGCATGAGCCACTGTGCCCAGCCTAATCCTGTGGCTTTAAATACCACTTATATCCATCAATGGTTCCCCAAATTTAAATCTTTCCCAAATTCAAATTTCCGTCCTCTTCTCTCCCCTAAGCTGCTGACTACTTACCCACTGCCTATTCAACATCTCCACTAGGGATATTTAAAAAGAATCTGAAATTTCATTTCTGATTCCCCTCTCCTCCCCAAAGCCTTCAAATCTGCTTCTCCCCCAGTCTTCCCATCTCAGTATTTCCAGTTGCTCAAGACAAAAACCTGGAAGTCCTTCTTTATCCTCACTTTCCTTCACGTGCCAACTGCAAGCCATCAGCGATCTCATTTTCTCTACCTTCAAAATATATCATGCTTCCGGCCCTGTCTCACCACCTCCAGCTCCAGCATCCTACTCTAAGCAACTCTTATTTCTCTCCTAGATTACTGAAATAGCCTCAACTGCTCTCTCTGCTCCCTTTCTTGCCCACCCCCCATCATTTATTCTCTACTCAGGAGGTAAACTTATAAGAAACAAAATCAGATCCTATCATTCCCCTGTTCAAAACCTACCCTTGGCTTCTCATGAGACTTGGAATAAAATCCAAAATGGCTGTCACAGCCTCAGGGCTCTACATGATGTGGGCCCTGGTGATCTTGCTGACCTCATCCCCAGTACTTTATCCTGGCTCCCATACTCCAATCCCCTGGGCACTCTTGCTGGTCCTAGAATCTCCAAGCCCATTCCCTCCTCAAGACCCTTTCCCCACAGTTCTGAATGGCTCACTTCATCTCATCATCCAGTTCTCTCCTCAGGGAGGTTTTCCCTGAGCACCTCTCCTCTCAGTCACTCTCTATCCCCTTTCATTGCTTTATTGCCTTCACTGCCCCTACATGATTTCGGATCACAAAATCTATTTACTCACAAGAAAATAAGCTCCATGAATCTACAGACCTTTTTGCCATTTCCACAGCAGTATGTCCCATCCCTAGAATATCTGGCACCTGGTTAAGTGTTCAGTACATATTTGTTGAATGGGTAAATGAATGAGAGCTGGAGGGAAATCCAAACTCAGGGGTGCCTGTGCCACAGCAAACACTCTCCCTCTCACACCACCTGGAATAGAGATCAGCTAGAGCAGAGGCTGCTAAGAGAGGGAACAGAGGCTCCTTGTGACAGGGAGACTAGGATCAGAAGTCAGGGAAGGGACAGCCGGGTGAAATGACTGGAAAGAGGAGCAATCACTCAGCAGTAAGGCAGGTTCTTCCAAAGACAAAAAGGACACAGAGATAAGTCAGGGCACTTCCAAGGAACCCAACTACCTACTCCACACTCCCAAATTTATTCTGGGTTGGGCCCTTTTTGGTTCCAATATCACCTCGGATACCATAACTTGTCCAAGGTCTCTTCTTACCTCTCCCACCCTAAATGAAGACGGGCCCTGGGTCCTAATCATACATTCCTTTTTCCTCCACTGTGAGCTGAGACAAAGCCCTTAAGAGGAGATTCTCCTTGGCAACAAACTTAAAGGGTTAAAACCTAGAAGAATACTAATTCTTGCTGAGCTCCTACTATGATTTGATAATCACTGTACTACAGACTAATTACTACAATTCAAATGGTTTATATAAACCACTTAAAACAGTGCCTGTTACATAGTAAGCACCATATAAATACTGAGTTTTAACAATAATAATTGTTATTATTGTTATCACTATTTGTCAGGCATTCTTACACTCTCTTAACACTATTCCCATCATTCCTCACATCCATTCTTTTTTTTTAAAGACAGGGTCTCTATCAGCCAGGCTGGAGTGCAGTGGCACAATCATAGCTCACTGCAGCCTTGAACTCTTGGGCTCAAGTGATCCTCCTGCCTCAGCCTCTGAAGTAGCAGAGACTACAGGCACATACCACCACACTTGGCTAGTTTTCTTTATCTTTTGTAAAGATGGGGTTTCACTATGTTGCCCACACTAGTCTTGAGCTCCTGGTCTCAAGCAATCCTCCCACCTCAGCCTCCCAAAGCGCTGGGACTATATAGGCATGAGCCCTCACACATGGCCGTCATCCATTCTTTTACTCAGGTATCAATGTCCTTATTTTTAAAATCAAAGTAACTAAGACTCAGAGTAGCAAAATCACTTACTCAAGACCTCACAGCTGAGAAGAGGTGGAATTTAACTCAGGCTGTCATGATCCTTCCACTGCAGCAGACGCCTCTTCTGCCTTGCCCACCGCCACTGGCAGAGATCACCCCTCAGACACCCTGGGGCCTAATGAGACCTGATCGCCCTCTCTCTTCTCCGAATATGAAAACTCTGTACCTCCTTGGAGGCCACCACGCACAAGCTGCCACTTCCTTACCCACACAGCCGATGGTCACCACCCCATCCTTGTAGCGCTCTTGGGTTGGGCCAGTTGGCTCCATTGCTGAATCAGTCTGCTGCTCCACCAGGACTGCTGGGCCATCCTCCTCTTCCTCCTCCTCCCCAGAGCCATTACCCCAGGTGGCCCCAGCCACATCCCGAGCAATCTTCTCCCGCCAGCTGCTCAAGTCCACTGCTCAAAGAAGGAGAAGATTAAAGAGGTTCTCCCCAGGGCTGCTGTGCATGATGGCACATACTGTGCCCTGCACAGATTATGTAACTGGCACCCTCTGGAGTTGTACAGTGCCAACCTAAATAAGAGCAGGTCAGAGAATCTCCCAAAAGTCATTTGACCCTACCCTCCCTGGAATCACGCACGTTTCTCTGAGCTTCTGAAAAGTACTGGGAAGGCTAAAGGCAGCAAGCCACTGAGGCTCCTGACTACCTGCTGCCTCTCGTCCCACCAAGTCAGTCTGCTCCTTATTCTGTCCCTTCCCCTGGCCTCTTGCACATATCCACCATAGAGGGGTTGGCTTCAGGAAAGGTGAGCAAAATGATTCTGCATCTTTGGTCTCCCCCATGTCCTCCTACAGCCCTCCTCTAAGGGCCACATACCTTTCCCCACAGTGATGGCTTCACAGGCTCTCAGCAACTGCTCTGGCCCCAGGGCCCGAGTCCATCCTCTCCCCCGCCTCCGACTCTTCTTCAAGACTGAGATCAGAGGGCACAAAAGGATGGGCACACGGGCTTAGGCCTCTCATCTCTCCCACCACCCTTAGGCCCAAGACCAGGTGCCCCCTTGTCAATAAGCCTCTCTGTTCTCCCCTTTGTCCCCTGCCAACTCACCTCTCCCAAGTTGCCCTCTCTCATTGCCCACTCACCACTACTAGGATCCTGTGGGGTGCGGGGGTCCCGAGGAAAAGAGGTGAAAAGGACGACGTGGAGCTGGGGATAGTGTTGATGGAAATAATGCTTCCAGGCAACCACAAGAGCTGGCGGGGCCAGATCCACCTTGTTCAAAACCAGCACCAGGG
Source organism: Homo sapiens (assembly GCF_000001405.40). Taxonomy (NCBI): domain Eukaryota; kingdom Metazoa; phylum Chordata; class Mammalia; order Primates; family Hominidae; genus Homo; species Homo sapiens. The sequence goes on from NT_167248.2 coordinate 1,808,588, forward strand.
CCAGTCCAAGTTCTCCAGTCACATACTCATAAAGTGCTGGCGGGAAATTCACAACCTAGGACAGAGTTGATAAGAGGATGGAGCAGTGAAAGTCAACCCAGAGTTCTCTGCCTCCAGCTCCCCACTCAGCAGGTGTAGCTCAGAGACAAGGCCCTGGTGGTAGCAGACTCTGGGCTAAAAACTATAAACCAGACAAACTGAAAAACAAAGACAAAACAGGGGTTAGTAATACTTCTGAGTCTCAGAGGGCTTCCTATAGGTCATGATTAGAGATGGAAATGAACCCAAAACAAGACAAGGAAACAGCATCACTTAGCACACTGAGGTAAAGGCTGGGATCGGAAACAGGGATGGGGGTTAGGGTAGAAATTAGTCTGCTTTTTTGTGTGTGCACAACTATGTAAGTGTGTACACGTGCATATATGCATGCATGCAAGTACGTGCACATGTGTGCATGTTTGTGTGTTAATGTGACTGTGAACATGTGTGCAAACATGCCTGTGTATATTGATGTGCACATGATGTACGTGTGAGTATGTGTGTGTACATATTATTAAGGACCTCCAACCTAAATGGTCCTCACAGACCTCCCTTTCTCCCACTGGAGGACAAGAGTGAAGTTGCAGAGCTAGGATTCACACAGGGCAGTCCAGCAGCAGTCTACAGCCTTAACTACTACTCTAGCATTCCAGGTGGGTTCTGTAGCAACTGATGTGGCAGTGCTAGAGAAATGAGATAAGGAAGAAAGGGCATCTTTGGGCTGGGCAGGAGGAAGTCCCCAGCTGCATTCATAGAATCCCTGGAGCTCCAACACTTGGATTTTCTATTGGTCTGTGATGAGCTAAAGGACAGGACATGGCTGTTTTGAAGAGAAGAGTGAGCTGGCCAAGGGAGGAATGACAGGCTATAAGAGAATAAAAAACTGAGTTCCTAACTGCGGACATCAGCACTAGGTAGAGATTAGAAAGACAGGAAGATAGATACCTCTCTGTCTCCCAACTCTTGCCTCTGACCTTTGCCCCTGAAAAACCTTTCTCCCTCCTCCTTGCCCACCCTTATCCCTAGTACTCACTGGATGTCGGATATCAGTGATAAGCAGGACGATGTCAGACATCTCTAACACCCGCCACAGCTGCCTCCATGTCTAAAAAGACAGGATCAGGAAGAGAAACTGAAAACAGAGTCCCTCTCCAGCCTGATCCCAAACCAATTTGACCATAGGTCACTATGCCCCACTCCTGTCCCTAGAGTACACTGTCACCTCCAGATTGTGCTCAAAGTAGCTGAGTTTCTCAGAGGAGTAAGCCCCATGAATCTTCCCAAGATAGTCTTGGAAGCTCCGTTCCTCTTGGCTCATTAGTTGCTCCTTGGACATCTCATAGCTCCAAGGAGGACGTCGAGGAAAGTCCAGAACTGGGAATTCAGGAAAAAGTCCAAGTGTGAGGAAATCTTCAGGATTCAAGAGTACATCCCAGACCCCTCCTTCCTCACAGTCGGCTTTTACCTTTCCAAACTCCTTCCCCAGCCCAATGCCTGTCTTGCTCTCACTCACCTGAGCCAGGCTGATACACCTCCCGGATGTCCAGCTCCAACAACTCAGCACTGACCGGCTGTAGAACTTGCTCCCGGGCTGCTCTCTTTCTCCTCTCTACCTCCTCCCTGCTGTCTCTCTCAAAATGCAGTCGGTATCTAAGGGAACAGGGACCGAGACATCCAGAGCAATCCTGTGGCCACAAACTCCTATTTTCTCCCCTCTTGTACAATCAACTTCGCAAACCATTCTCTCCAGAGTCGTTCAAGTCTCCTCTCTCAAGTCAGACTTCCCCCAAGTCCTTCTTTCAGGCAATACTCAGCCTTCTCCTTCTAAAAGCCCAACTCTCTCCAGCCCCTCTGGAAAGGAAGACTGTGGCCCGCTGTGGGGAGCCGAGTGGCTAGCGGAGAACTGTGGCATCCCAGGCCCACCGTCTTCACCAGTAGCAGCCCGCTTTCCCCCAAAGCTCTGACTTCCGGGTAGGCGGGAAAGCCGGGACCAGCGCCCCCTCCCACCCTCACCGATTTGGGTCGTAGCCTCGTGGACCCAGCCCCTGAGAAGGCTGCTGGTTAAGCCTGCGGATATGATGGGTCACAGACTCCCCGTCCGAGGTGTCGGTCTGTTCCTCTCGCCGCTCCCGGCTCCCGCTGCGGCTGTTGGAACTGGAGCGCAGCCCATCTTGAAGCCCTGCGGGGAGGGGCCGGTGACGCCAGTGCTGGCCAGCTCTCAGGGGCCATAAGACCCTCTCCCCCATCGGCCTGACTCCCTTTCATCCCACTCAACTTCTTCCGATGTTCAGTCCTCCCAGACACCCTATTTGGGACCCTCCCGGATGTGCGTGGGGGGAGTCACTCCTTCAGGGAGCAGTGGGGACGGCGCCCCGTGCTAGCTGGAGGGATTCCCCTCCCCCAACTCTCCATCCTTCCCCACCCCTTCCAGATGTAGGGGGGGTGGGGGATCCCCTCCGCGATAGGCCGCGAGGGTTGACGCGGTCCCACGACCCCCTCCCACGATCCCCAGAGGTGCAGCGGGCACACCCCTCCTTCCAGATGTGCGGAAGCCCGAGCCCCGCCCCCTCCTCCCGCTCCCGCACTGACCTCTCTTCCGCTCCCGTTTGTCCTGCAACTGCTTCTTCTTCTGCTTCACGCTGAATGGCTTCTTCCTCGGCATGGCCCGGACCAGTCACCTGGCCCGCCCTCCGCCGAGCTCCCGCCGCCTCAACTGACTGCCCCCCGGGGCAGCCCCCGCCGCAGGGGCCCGGGACCCTAGAGGAGGCGGGGCTAGCAGGTGACGTCAGCGGGCGGGCCCGACAGAATTACCGCCGCGGCGGCGATGGAAGGCGGACGGGGGAGATATAGTCACTTCCCTCCAGGAGCGAGGCGAGAGGATGATGCGGGGTGGGCTACTGGCACGTGAGAGCCAGTGGCACCGAGAGGGCGCCCCGGCGGCGAGGAAGGAGGCGCGCGTGGGAGGACCAGGCTAACTCCGTCACGGACGCTACCAACTCGCGTTCGGAGGAGGGGGGGCGCGTGTCATCACTACCTTGCGCTCCCGGGAGAACCTACCACTCACCTGGAGGGGGCGGCGGAGCGGAGGGCGGGGCCTACTACCTAGGGGAGAGGGGGCGTGGACACGCTGAGGCTATACTACAAAGCCCCGGGCTTGACCTTAGTGGAAAGCCGAGACTGCGTCCAGGTTGCTGGACTACACCGGGGGCACGGTCAGAGGTCTTTAGGGGAGGGCGGCGGTCTGAGAGTCCTGGGTGCCGACCTGTTGGGACCCAAATTCCTTGTGGGAACGATGATAAGGAGCAGGTTTACAGATCATAAGTGCAAAAGCGGGCGAGAAGGGAAACCCAAGCGGGACAAGGACTTTTGGGGGGAGGTCAAAGGGCACGAAGTTGTGCCTGCAGCTGTTACCATAGTAACCGAGGACCGGATGTGGCGATCTTACGGTGCGACAGTCCTCTTCTCAGGCCCTCTGGCCCGAGAGCCTGTTGACTCTGTGACACACTCTGAGGAGCTGGTTGTGGTGTTTTCCAGCGAGGGAAGAAAAGAGTAATTTTTTCAAAGCATTTATAGAAACGCAGCAAAGGGAAGGTGTGAGGTTGCCGCCATGCCTGGCAGAGACGGAGGGAGGCAGTTGGCTCCGGAATGCGGCCGCCGCAGATGTTCTCCGCAACCTTCCGGAAGTGGAATGGCGGGAGCCTCAGCATTGCTGCCCACCGACCCCCCGGAAGCGGAAACAGAATCCCCGCGTGCCCCTTCCTCACTACCCTCCAAATCCCGCTGCAGCCATTGCCGCAGACACGATGCCGAAACGAAAGAAGCAGAATCATCACCAGCCACCGACACAGCAGCAGCCCCCGCTGCCCGAGCGGGAAGAGACTGGAGATGAGGAGGATGGGAGTCCCATCGGTGAGGGGTCTGGGAGGGATGTGCACATGCCTGTCAAGCCCGTCCGGGCAAGGGGCTAGGGGCTAATAAGGTGCGAAGGAGGGGGCTGTAACGGAAGGAGGAAGGGCGCACGCGCTGGGGAGGGATGGAAGTGGGGCTCTCCCAAATGGAGCCTTGAACCAGGAGTTCTCTTACTGGAACCATCAACCTCAATACGGCCCCAGACCTTTCTGGAGAAGGCGGGGGTGGAGAGAATAAAGAGCTCTTTTGCGCAGCCGCAGAACAGTAGGGGAAAGGGGTAGTAGAGATGTTGCAGATTGCGATGACTGGGATGACAGTTTGTATCCAGACTTTGACTGAAAAGGTACAGGTGCAGCTTTCTCTAAACTAGTCCTCTGGCCAGCAGTTAAGGTGAGGGATTGGTTCATGTCTGGAGACACTTAGGTTGTTTTGGATAGCGACGGTACGGTGAAGAAAAAAAGTTGTCAGTATCTTTTCCTGCATTATCCCCTTTGATTGAATATCTACTTTTTGCAAACCCTGAAACAGCTTTGCAGAAAAAAGGGCAGATAGATGGGGTGAGAACTCCCAAGACTGCTGAAAATATACCTGACTTTACTGGTTGAATTAAGAAATAAGTAATACAAGAAAAACACCTAAGAACAGAATCATCAGTCCTTTAATCCATTCTGATGACCATATTTTCATGTCTGCTCTTAGGACCACCCAGCCTTCTGGGCCCTCCCCCCATGGCCAATGGAAAACCTGGCGACCCTAAGTCAGGTGAGGAGGAAGGGGCCCTGATCCTTGTATTAGGTCGTAGAGAAGACAGCAAGGGAGGGGATAAAACCCAGGAAGGACTTAAAAATAAAAGATCAGGGATTCCATCCCTAAATGAATGGAGAGAAGTTGTATATTTGCTGATTTAAAAACTCAATGTTGTAAAAATGTCACTTCTTCCCAAATTGATAAACAGATTTCATGCATTCCAAGTCAGAACACCCATAATGTTTTTGTGGAAATACACATTATTATAGGGAAATGCAAAATATCAAGGCGACTATCAAGACAATCTTGAAGTGGGAGGGCTTACTATGAATATCAAGATTTGTAAGCTGGGCATGGTGGCACACGCCTGTAGTCCCAGTTACTCAGGAGGCTGAGGTGCGAGGATCCTTTGAGCCCAGGAGTTTTTGAGGCCACTCTGGGCAACATAGTGAGATCCTGTCTCTAAATACAAGAAGAAAAAAAGACTTACTATAAAGCTACAATAGTTACAACGATGCAGTTTGGAAACAATGATAGACATAAGTCAATAGGACTTATGTCCCGAAGAGTCCAATAACAGGCCCATACATGTGTGGACACTTCATTTATGATGAAGATGGAACTGAAAAGTTGGTCTTTTCAATAAATGATATTGGATCAATTGGATATTCATGTGAAAAAAATGGAATTTCACCTTGCACTCATAATCATATACAAAGATCTATTTCAAATGGACTGTAGATCTAAGTATAAAAGGTAAGAGAATAATTATTCTAGAAAGTAAATGTATTTTCTAAGAGTAGCTAAGAGTTCTTAAACAGACAAGAAATGCACGTATACACACTAACCATAAAGGAAAGATTGATAAATGGAACTCCGTTAGAAAATATAAATTTGCGGCTGGGTACAGTGGCTCACGCCTGTAATCCCAGCACTTTGGGAGGCCGAGGCGGGCGAATCACGAGGTCAGCAGTTCAAGACCAGCCTGACCAACATGGTGAAACCCCTGTCTCTACTAAAAATACAAAAATTAGCCGGGCATGGTGGTGTGTGCCTGTAATCCCAGCTACTGAGGAGGCTGAGACAGGAGAATCGCTTGAACCTGGAAGGCGGAGGTTGCAGTGAGCTGAGATTGCACCACTGCACTCCAGCCTGGGGGACAGAGTGAGACTGTCTCAAAAAAAAGAAAAAACAAAATACAAACTTGCCAAATAATACCATTAAGAAATTAACAGGAAGCCATACAATAGAAGATATTTGCAATAAATATAACAAATAAAGATCCTGTATCTATAATATATAAAGAACTCTTCCAGACAAGCCATTTGAAAAATTGACAAAAACACAGGACACCTTATTAAAATGGAGATCTAAATGAACTAAAGGTCTAAATGAACAAGTACTCAATATCATTAATTGTCAAGTAAATGCAAGATAAAAATATACCACTTTGAAATTAGAACTCTTGTGTACTGCTGCTGGGATTATAAAATGGTGAAACTACTATAGAAAACAATATGAAGAGGTTCCTCTTAATTAAAAATAGAACTACCAGATGACAAAAAAATTAAAAATAGAATTACCCCAGAACTCCTGCTTCCAGGTATATATCAAAAAAAAAAAAATGGAAAGCAGGGTCTTGAGATATTTGCAGACTCATGTTCATAGCAGCAGTATTCACAATAACAAAGAGGTGGAAGCAACCCACATGTCCACTGATGGAAGGATAAATGTGGCGTGTACATACAATGGAATATTATTCAGCCTTATGAAGGAAGAAAGTGCTGTCACATACTACAACATGGATGAACTTTGAGGACTTTATGTTAAGTAAAGACATAGTGTATTATTCCACTTATCTGAGGTGTCTAAAGTCAAATTCAGGGGCTGGGCATGGTGCTTCACGCCTGTAATCCCAGCACTTTGGGAGGCCAAGGCAGGCAGATCACTTGAGGTCAGGAGTTCGAGAACAGCCTGGCCAATATGGCAAAACCCTGTCTCTACTAAAAATAGAAAAATTAGCTGGGCATGGTGGTGCACACCTGTAATCCCAGCTACTCGGGTAGCTGAGGCATGAGAATTGCTTGAACCTGGGAGGCAGAGGTTGCAGTGAGTCGAGATCACGCCACTGCACTCCAGCCTGGATGACAGAGCAAGATTGTCAAAACAAAAAATAAAAATAAAGTCAACTTCAAAGAAACAGTAGAATGATGGTTACCAGAGGCTGGGGGAAGGAAGCTGGAGGAAGGGGAGTTTTGTTTAATGGGTACAGAGTTTCAGTTTTGCAAGATAAAAAACTTTTGGAGGTCGGGCATGGTGGCTCGTGCCTGTAATCCCAGCACTTTGGGAGGCCAAGTCGGGCGGATCATGAGATCAGGAATTCAAGACCAGCCTGGCCGATATGGTAAAACTCCATCTCTACTAAAAATACAAAAATTAGCCAGGCGTGGTGGTGGGCGCCTGTAATCCCAGCTACTTGGGAGGCTGAGGCAGGAGAATCACTTGAACCCAGGAGGCAGAGGTTGCAGTGAGCCAAGATCGCGCCACTGCACTCCAGCCTGGGCGACAGAGCGAGACTCCATCTCAAAAAACAAACAAAAACTTGGAGATCTGTTTCACATCAATATGAATATATGTAACACTACTGAACTGTACACTTAAAAATAGTTAAGATGGTAAATTTTATGTGTTTTTTACCACAATAAAAACCAAACAAAACAAGGCATGATGATTCATGCCTGTAATCCCAGCACTTTAGGAGACCAAGGTGGGAGGATCACTTGAGCCCAAGAGTTCAAGACCAGCCTGGGCAGTGTGGCAAGACCCAATCTCTCATTAAATAAATAATAATAACCAAACAAAAAAATAACCACCACTTTTCACACTCACCATGGCAAAATTTAAAAACCTAACAATTCCAAGTGTTGTCAAGGCTATAGGACAACTGCTGGTGAGAGTGCAAATTGGTATAACCACTGTGAAAAAAAAGTTTGGCATTATGTATGAAACTTGAGCATAACATATACTTTATAAGCCAGTAATACCTCTACTACGTATATATTCAACAGAAATGCATACGTATGTGTAACAACATGTATAAAAATGTTTATAGTGGCATTTCTCGTTATAGCCCCAAACTGGATACCACCCACATGTCCATCATCAGTAGAATGGATAAATAAATTGTTGTGTATGCATGCAATGGGACTACACTGCAACGAAAATGAATGAACTGCTGCTACAGGCAACCTGGATGAATCTCACAAACATGATGTTGAGCGAAAGGAGCCAGACATAAAAGAATGCAGACTGTATGATTCCATTTTTGTGAAGTTCAAAAACAGGCAAAAACTAACCTATGGTGTCAGGATAGTGGTTACCTTTGGGGAGGAGGGTGGGTAATGGGAAAAGGGGCACAAGGGGAGGATCTTTTGAGGTGCTAATAAGGCTTTATCTCTTCACCTGGTGGTGGAAACTCAAGTGTGTCTACTTTGTGAGAACTGGGTTGTGCACTTAAAACTGGTGTGTCTTTATGTATGCTGTTCTTCAATAAAAAAAATTTTTTTAATCACGGTTTATCAGGATTCAGCTGCCCATTAGACACCTTTCTGTGTCTCTCTCTCTCTCTCTCTCCAGCTCTTCACAGAGGTCCTCCAGGATCAAGGGGACCACTGATTCCACCACTGCTGAGTCTCCCACCTCCTCCTTGGGGTAGAGGCCCAATTCGGAGAGGGCTTGGCCCCAGGTCTAGCCCATATGGTCGTGGTTGGTGGGGAGTCAATGCAGAACCTCCTTTTCCGGGGCCAGGCCATGGGGGTCCCACCAGGGGAAGCTTTCACAAGGAACAGAGAAACCCTCGAAGGCTCAAAAGCTGGTCTCTTATCAAGAATACCTGCCCGCCCAAGGATGACCCCCAGGTTATGGAAGGTGAGGTCCATTTTGTTATGCCCATTACTCCCAGAGTGACCTAATTTTCAGAAGATCATTCACAATCTTCTCTGGGCTTTCCTTTTTGCTTTTGAAGCAGAAGTAGACCTCAATGTTATTTCTCCCAGGAGAAAGACTACCATTCCAAAATACCTGGAAATGGTAGGGGGTAGAAAATCAGTTCTCCTTCTGTCTCTGCGTTTCATTGTATTTGTTTTCTTTGTTGCTCAAATTTTTAACTGTTCCATTTTCACTTGTTCACAGACAAATCCGACCGCCCTGTCTGCCGACATTTTGCCAAAAAGGGCCACTGTCGATATGAGGACCTCTGTGCCTTCTACCACCCAGGCGTCAATGGACCTCCTCTGTGAGACTGTGCCTTCCCATCCAGGCTGGAAGGAGCTCTCTGTGACCTAGCGGCCATTTATTTCTCTGTAGCCCTATGATGGCTACTGTGAGGCTCTTCTAACACCCTCAGTCAGTGACACACCCATCCCATCCACCACTTCCCCCGTGTGGGGTCCAGAGTGGTGTTGCATCACTGGTGCGCGGCATACGCGCTTTCTTCTGATCCAGCCTGTAGAGACTCGCCTTCGGGACCCATCTTTGCTTCCTTTCAGTTGCCTCCTGGATCTTCTTTCCCGTCATCAAATGACTGCTGAACAGGAAACCTCTTTGGTGCTGTTTCTTGTGCATCTGTCCACCTGTTCCCCAGTATTGCCCTCAATTCCTGAGAGCCCTGGAGCGGTTTCCTACCATTCCCTTCTTTTAGCTGCTTGTTTTAAGTCCTTTTTATGTGACATTCCCTACCCCCAATGTTGTCAGCTGCTTGTGAAACTCAGCCAGGTTGTCTAACCTGGGGTCAAGTTTGGGTGACTGGTGCAGAGTTACTTCCTAAAAGGCCACTCTCCCTGCCTTTGGATTTCATAGTTTCTCTGTCAGTAGCATGATCCCCACCGCTATGGTCTATCTATGATCACCGTGCTTTGTGAAACTGTGCATCCCCTTGTAGCCTTTCTCAGTGTCCGTGGCATTTTTGTGACTTCCCAGCACTAGAATAAGTTTTCCTGCCAAAATGAGTGAGGCGCTTGGTGCCCTCTGGACTTTCCCACTTCCCAACATGGGAGAATTGTGAACTTTCCATCAGACTGCCTCCCTGGCCCTCCCCATTCTTCTCCTGTTGGTTATTCTGAGTCTGACACAGACCCATGACATGTCTTATAAAGCCTCCAATGGCTTTATCCTACCTAGATCCCTTCCAGCCCATTTTAATTAGACTATGTCATTGTGAGGCCACCAGTCCATTCATTTGAATTCTGTGAATCTCCACCTTGCCTATCTTTGGGTAGAAGCTGGACAGTACTGTTGCCCTCTTCCAATCCTCTTCCCCTACATCCCTGGCACTGGTTGTTTTCTGTGAAAACAGCAGTGAACAGGTTCAGTTTTGAACTGGCCCTGAGGAAATGGGTCAGGAGTTGTATTGGCAAGAGGGAGGGGTGAGAGCTGTTGGAGAACTGAGAATGAGGTTTTTTTTTTTTTTTTCTTTTTAACTTTTTTTATATTAGTAATAAATGCAGTGGAAACCAGCATTTTATTTAATCCCTGTGTTCTAGTCATCTCTGGAGTTGCAGATGAAGCTGTTCTCACCTGGTGGAGTCAGCTTATTCTTTAGTTCATACACACTAGTGATGGGGAATGACAAAGCTTAAGGTTCTTCCAGGCTGAAAAAAACCAATGGAGGTTCCATTAGCCTGTAGGCATCAACCAGAACAAGCTGCCTTATGTTCAAGGGCAAAGTTTTGTAAGAAAAAGGAAAGGCCAGGTGTCCGTGGAGTTATTTTTAAATATTTTACTTTGCAGAGTTTGTGTTTATGGAGTGGTAATGATGAAGGAGTCTTTCAGCAGCAATTTGCAGAATGCCTGTGGGCCAGGCAATATACCAAGCACTAGAGATAACTGACAGCCAAAGCCAATGGATTTAAAATGTACAGGGAAGACAGGTTTCTCATAATCACAAATAGCATGTAAAGTTAAACCTGTCAAAAGTGCTGGGAAGAAGACAGGGAAGAAAAGAGGGTGAAAGAGAGTTGTGTAATAAAGGGAGTCAGGGTAGGAGATGCAACTGAGACAAGCTCCAAAGGATAAACAGGAGGTGGGGTGGGAGAGGGAAGTCAAGGCAAAGGTCTTCGCTAAAAGACCTAGGGGAAGAGGAGCTAAGAAACCTAGGGACAGTGGGAGATGATGCAGAAGAAAGAGGAGTTAGACCACTCAGGGCCTTGGAAAACATGAAGATTTGGCTCTTTTCTTAGAACAGAAGCCTTTGAAGAATTTTAGACAGGAGTATCATGGCTTAGGCTGGCTTTTCAAAAAAAATCAACTTGTATGGAGAGGGCCCACCTTGGACCTGGAAGTTAATTAGAAGGCTACTGGCTACTTCAGTAGTACAAGTGAGCCATGATGGTGACATAGACTTGGGTAGTAGAGTTGGAGAAAAGTAGACATTTGAAAATTACAGGTCAAAATAAAAGTATCAGATTTCTCCAGGTAGTTCTGGCTTATGTAACTGCCATTTAAAAAGAAGTCTTAAGATAGAAGTTTATGGCTGGGCGCGGTGGCTCACGCCTGTAATCCCAGCACTTTGGGAGGCCAAGGTGGGTGGATCACGAGGTCAGGAGATCAAGACCATCCTGGCTAACATGGTGAAACCCCATCTCTACTAAAAATAGAAAAAAAATTAGCCAGGCGTGGTGGCCGGCGTCTGTAGTCCCAGCTACTCGGGAGGCTGAGGCAGGAGAATGGCGTGAACCCAGGAGGCGGAGCTTGCAGTGAGCCGAGATCGCACCACTGCACTCCAGCATGGGCGACAGCGCAAGACTCCATCTCAAAAATAAATAAATAAAAAATAAAAATAAAAATAAATAATTTTTAAAAAGATAGAAGTTTATTTCTCTCACAGGTCAAGAGGTGGACAATCAACAATCCAAGATGTGTGACAATGCCACCACTACAAGGTCCCTGAGTATTCAGAACCTCAACCCCCAACTTTCAGATTCACAACCACAAGCTTCTATTCACTGTCCAAAGTGAAGCTCTGGCTTCCTCATCCATGTTCAAAGCCTCAGGATGGAGGAAGGGCTGAGAACACCAGTTGTCTGGGAAGAAACTTCTTTTTTTTTTTTTTTTTTTTTTTTTGAGACGGAGTCTCAGCTCTGTCGCCCAGGCTGGAGTGCAGTGGCATGATCTTGGCTCACTGCAAGCTCCGCCTCCCAGGTTCACGCCATTCTCCTGCCTCAGCCTCCCGAGTAGCTGGGACTACAGGCGCCCACCACCATGCCCAGCTAATTTTTTGTGTTTTTAGTAGAGATGGGGTTTCACTGTGTTAGCCAGGATGGTCTCGATCTCCTGACCTGGTGATCTGCTTGCCTCGGCCTCCCAAAGTGCTGGGATTACAGGTGTGAGCCACCACGCCCAGCCGGAAGAAACTTCTTAAAAGTTAACTTATAACTCCTCAACTTATGGGCAAGCATTTAAGTTGAGTTTATTAATTCTACAGAGGTTATCTCCCTAAAAGGGGGCTAGGAATGACAGGATTAGGGTTTGTGTTTGGTGATTTCAAAAGAAACAGGAAATTGTTCTGGCTTAGATGCTGTCAGAAAGATGACTACTTCTTAATCTTATCTAGAAGGAGGGAGAAATGAAATATGGCTAAAGCTGTAAGGTAAAAAAGCCAACACATTTTAGCTGACAGGGAACTGTGTGGTGTTTTTGTGCTTAGACAAGATTTTGAAGTTTGTCTAATTTCATCACAAACACAGGATGACCTTGTTTGACACTGATTTTCTGTGAGATAGTTTATGTTCAACAAGAGTACCATGGCCTAACTATGGGCAACAGGCCAGCTCCCAGCAACACCAAAGCCTGCCAGTTATTGTCAGGCCAGTTCCCAATTCTCAGGGACTGTTTTTCTTAAAAGTATGCAAACATATAATTACAGGTTGAGATGAATCATATGAAGGAAATAAATGGGGTACTGAATAGAAACAGTAGTTGGGGAGCTACTCAAGACATGGTGGCCGGGCGCGGTAGGTCACGCCTGTAATCCCAGTACTCTGGGAGGCTGAGGCGGGTGGATCGCCTGAGGTCAGGAATTCGAGACCAGCCTGGCCAACATGGTGAAACCCTGTCTCTACTAAAATAACAACAACTAGCGAGGCGTGGTGGTGGGCATTTATAAATAATCCCAGCTACTTGGGAGGCTGAGGCAGGAGAATGGCTTGAACCCAGGAAGCAGAGGTTGCAGTTAGCCGAGATTGCACCATTGTACTCCACCCTGGGCAACAGAGCGAGACTCCATATCCAAAAAAAAAAAAGACATGGTGGCTAGGATAGACCTCTCTGAGGAATCTGTAGATGAAGGGCCCAGAACTTAGCCTTGAGGAACTCTGACATTGAATTGCTAAGTGAAGAAGGACAAGGATAAGCCAGACAAGGAGACTAAGGAGGGATGACGGAGAGGCAGGGAGAGATCTCAGAGTGTGGCGTCACCTGGCTGCTTGCTCAGTGCCAGGTACCCTGCTAAGCTCTTTATAGACATTGTCTTTGTCTTATTTAAGCTTCACATACTTTTTTGGGGGGGGAGAGGGGGTGGTTCAAGCGATTCTCCTGCCTCAGCCTCCCGAGTAGCTGGAATTACAGGTGCCCACCACCACACCCGGCTAATTTTTTGTATTTTAGTAGAGATGGGGTTTCACCATGTTGGCCAGGCCGGTCTCGAACTCCTGACCTCAGGTGATCTACCTGCCTCGGCCTCCCAAAGTGCTGGGATTATAGGCATGAGCCACCGCACCTGGCCAAGCTTTGCATACTTTCAGTGAACACTTTAGTGCCTACTGTAGGGCAAGCACTGTTTTAGGAGCTGGAGCTACATCAATAAAAAGGACAAAATCCCTGCCCATATGGAGCTTACATTGCTTTGAGGATGATAGACAATATACATAGGTAATATAATTTTAAGTAATAGTAAATGCTTCAAATGAAAATAAAGTGAAAAAAGAGGTTAGAGAGTGACAGGTGGAAGAGAACAGGTTGATACAAAGAGAGAGCTGCTTTGAGGAGGTAACACATAGAGAGAAAATTAAACGAGGGAACAAACCATATGAACACACAGAGAAAGTGCGTTCCAGGCACAGGGAACAGCAAAGGCAAAGGCCTTGATGCAGGAATGACTCTGGGGTGTTTGAAGTAAAAATAGAAGGCCAGGCCAGGCGTGGTGGTTCATGCCTGCAGTCCCAGCACTCTCAGAGGCTGAGGCAGGAGCACTGCTTGAGCTCAGAAGTTTGAGACCAGCCTGGGCAACATGGTGAGACCCTGTGTCTGCAAAAATGTTTAAAAAGTACCCAGGCCTGGTGGCGTGTGCCTGTAGTCCTAGCTAGTTGGAGGCTGAGGTGGGAGGATCCTTTGAGGTTGCAGTGAGCTATGATTATACCACTACACTCCAGCTTGAATGACAGACCAAGATCCTGGTTCAAAAAAAAAAAAAAAAGCCCAGTGTGGCTAGACTGTGGGAGATGGGATCAAGATGTTTAACAGAGGGCATATTGTACAGAGCCCTATAAACTATGGTAAAGCATTTGGATTTTATTCTGGATTTTATACTTTTTTAAATATTTTTATACTTTGAACAAATGGATTTACTTTTTTTTTTTTTCTTTTTGAGACGGAGTCTTGCTCCATCACCCAGGTTGGAGTGCAGTGGCATGATCTCAGCTCACTGCAACCTCCACCTCCCGGGTTCAAGTGATTCTCCTGCCTCAGCCTCCCAAGTAGCTGGGACTACAGGCGCCCACCACCACGCCTGGCTAATTTTTGTATTTTTAGTAGACACAGGGTTTCGCCATGTTGGCCAGCCTGGTCTTGAACTCCTGACCTTTTGATCCGCCCGCCTCAGCCTCCCAAAGTGCTGGGATTACAGGCGTGAGCCACCGCGATTGGCCCATGGATTTACATTTTAAAACCACCTCTGACTGTAGGTGTGAAGGATAGACTAGAGAATGAGAATGACAGCAGGCAGACCAGTTAGGAGGCCAGCGCAGTGCAGTGGTCCAGGGAGAAGAGACGATGGCTTGGTCAGGGTAGAGGTGGAGAGAAGTGGTTAAATTTGGGTTATGTTTTAGTCTCAGTTGATGGCAATTACATCTTTCTAGTTAACTCAGGCCAGAAATATTGGAGTCATCTTTAATTCTATTTGTCAAACATGACCTCCAATCCATTAACAAAACTTGTTGGCTCTTTTCCAAAATACATTCAGAAACCAGCCCTTTTCACACCTCCACTGCTGTCACCCTAGTCTGAGTCACCATCACCTCCTAATAGATCTCCCTGCTTCTGTCATTTCTGCCCATTCTTTGCTGCCTGCCCCCTCCCACCTCCCGCCCAGGTTGTTCTCAGCACAGCCTCCAGAGTCATCCTTTTTATTTAACAATTTAAAAAATGTTATAGGCCAGGCATGGTGGCTCACGCCTCTAATCCCAGCACTTTGGGAGGCCGAGGCAGGCGGATCACGAGGTCAGGAGTCCGAGACCAGCCTGACCAACATGGTGAAACCCCGTCTCTACTAAAAATACAAAAATGAGCCAGGCATGGTGACGCACGCTTGTAATCCCAGCTACTCAGGAGACTGAGGCAGGAGAATTGCTTGAACCCAGGAGGCAGAGGTTGCAGGGAGCCGAGATCACGCTACTGCACTCCAGCCTGGGCAACAGAGCAAGACTCTGTCTCAAAAAAATAAAATAAAATAAAAATTAAAAAATTGTATTATATACGGAGACAAGGGGTCTCGCTATGTTGCCTGGGTTGGTCACAAACCCCTGGGCTCAGGCAATTCTCCTGCCTCAGCCTCCCAAAGTACTGGCATTACAGGTGTGAGCCACTGCACCTGGCCAGGTCATCCTTTTATTTATTTTATTTTATTTTTTTTTTTTTGAGACGGAGTCTCGCTCTGTCGCCCAACCTGGAGTGCAGTGGCGGGATCTCGGCTCACTGCAAGCTCTGCCTCCTGGGTTCATGCCATTCTCCTACCTCAGCCTCCCCAGTAGCTGGGACTACAGGCGCCCGCCACCTCGCCCAGCTAACTTTTTTGTATTTTTAGTAGAGATGGGGTTTCACCATGTTAGCCAGGATGGTCTCAATCTCCTGACCTCGTGATCCACCCATCTAGGACTTCCAAAGTGCTGGCATTACAGGCATGAGCCACCGCGCCCCAGCCCAGGTCATCCTTTTAAAATGTAGGTTGGATCACATCACTCTGCTCAGAACTCTGCAGTGACTTCCATTTAAATCAACAGAAGAAGCCAAAATCCTTAAGATAATTTAAAAGACCTTTCCCAATCCAGACCCTGCTTTACTTCTCTTTTCACCTTTCCCACAACTCTGGCTCACTCATGCCACTCCAGCCCCTCTTGCCTCCTTCCTGTTTGTTCCCCATGTATGTCCGAACACTCCTGTCACAGGGCTTTACTCCAGCTGTTTCTTATGCTAGAAAGGCCCTTCTCCTGGAAATCCATGTGGCCAAAACTAATCTTCTTTAATGATTTGCTTGAATTTCACTTTACTGAGGCCTCATTTAAGACTAAAATCTGTCCTCTTGATACTTTTAAACTTGATCCATATTTTCTTTTATCTATAGGATCATCTCCCCTGCTGGAAACGTAATCAGAGATCTTTATTTTATTCAGTAGTATCCCAAGAGCGTAGAAGAGTGCCTGGCACATACTATACACTCAATAAATATATTTGTTGAACAGATGAATGAAAAAATGAGGCAGACTTAGCTGGCTGATGGATTGATTAGGGGAGGAGGAATGGAGAAAGAGGATGATGACCTTTCAGTTTTGGCCCAAATAACTGAATGACCTGTGGTGCAATTTCTTGATGGGGAAGCCTGGAAGAGACAGGATTTAGGAGTAAGAACAAGAGCTCCATTTTGTACGTATGAGAGAGATTTATTAAAGATCTCAGAGAAGATGTCCCATAAGCAGTTGAATTCATGAGCCTGGAGCTCGGGGCAGAAGTTGGGGGCCAGCAAGAGAAGTTTGGGAATCTTCATTGGTTATAGATGGTATTTAAAGTCAGGAGGTGATAGGTGATAAGTCTAGATTAAGGAGAGTGTCAAAGATTTAGCCCTGAGGCACTTCAACATTTAGACTTCAGGAGAAGCCCATTAGATGCAAAGGAAACCTATAGAGAGTAGTGTCCCTGAAGAAAACAAAGGAGGGAGGGAGCGACCAAGTCTATCAAACATTGATGGGAGAGTGAGTAGGATGGCCCCAGATCTGTTGACTTTGGCAAGTGTGAATTCAGACAATGGTGGCAACAAAAGCATGATTGTAGTGGTTTGAGAGCTGACAGAACTACAGGAGCACCTTGCTCAAGCTCCCATATTAAGTGGTAGAGTTAGAAGTGAACCAAAGTCTTGATTGTGGTGATAGTTTACTGGGTTTATGCAGGTCAAAACTTATTTAAGTGATACTTTGCAGTTTATTTTGGGTGCCATTTTATTTTGTGTACAGTTTATTGTATGTCAATTATATCTCAGTAAAGCTGTTACCAAAAAAAATAAATGAACCGAAGCTCCACTGCACCGTGACTTCTGCATGTTGGGCTCCAGTTCCCTGTTTACAATTGTACACTTCGGGATTTTGTGACACATTTCAACACTGGACCGATCAGACCTCTCCCTTAGCCATTGGTCTGCACTGTCTTTTCTGCCCATGACCCAGTCAGTCTCGCGCCCCATGACCCTCTCCTAAAACACGCGCAGTCTCCTCTCTCTTCCCCTTCCTCTCGTGTCTTCCTTGCCTACCAGCCTCACCTGATGGGCTCGTGTTCTCTCCGTCCCCGATCCACTCGGGCTCCGGCAGCTGCTGCTTGGGCGCCTTCGGCATCGCGGTGGCAGAACTAGAAACGAGTTACAGATAGAAACTAGAATATGCTTTTTAAAAAAACAAAAAACAAAACAAACAAAAAAACAGTATGCCTCAACTCCTTCATACTAGTAGGAAATTATTATGTTCATTCCTTGAGTCTCGCGGCGTCGGGAGGTCACGGCGTCAGGCTTCCCAGACAGTCGTAAACGCCATGTGTTTACGCGACTGGAGCAAGCGGACGCCGGCCCCGCTCCGTCATTGCAGGCCACGCCTCCACTGAACCAGGGCCACGCCCCCGAGATGACGGCGAAGCTCGCACGTGCGCAGCCCGGGGGCGGGGTTGGCCGCGCCAGCTTGGAGAGCCAGCCCCATCGGGGTTCCCCGCCGCCGGAAGCGGAAATAGCACCGGGCGCCGCCACAGTAGCTGTAACTGCCACCGCGATGCCGAAGGCGCCCAAGCAGCAGCCGCCGGAGCCCGAGTGGATCGGGGACGGAGAGAGCACGAGCCCATCAGGTGAGGCTGGTAGGCAAGGAAGAAACGAGCAGAGGGGGAAGAGAGAGGAGACTGCGCGTGTTTTAAGAGAGGGTCATGGGGCACGAGACTGACCGGGCCCGTGCGGGAGTTACTGCGCATGCGTGCCGTGGGCCCGGGAGGAGTTTGCCGGGGAGGAGTGGGTTTGGAATCGGGGTTAAAGGAAAGAGATCCAGATGTCGCACGTGACCTAAGTGAGACTGGGCGAGATAAAAGAAAGAGCATATGGCACCGAGGGAGAGATGGGGAGAAATGGGAAAACCTTGCTTAAAAAATTTGGACATCCGCCCCACCATACACTGTATTCCACCAGGAATATATGAGCCCTGCCTCGACCTCCCCTTCCCCCTGCGCGCGCATACACACACCTTGGGAGCCTGTGATCCCCCTTGTTTCTCAAGAGAGGGTGACTCCTTCATGGTTTCTTTCTTAAGACACCCCTCTCACTCAACTGGAGCAAGAGTGTAGATTTTTGATGTTGGAATGAGGGTTAAGGTTTACTTAAAAAGCAGCGAAAGTTTGTTAAGCGCTTGTTTTTAATTAAGCACTCTATATACTGTGCTTTGAGAGGGGAAGGAAAAAAACATGAAGATATCTTCCCAGGGTTGAAGTCAGTTTTAAGGGGGACATAAATGGACACAACTAACCCCAGTAGGTACACAGTAACTAATTTTAAAAGCACTTATTGGATGCCTACTGTATACCAGGTACTGTGTGGAGGAAGTGGGAATGTAGAGATAAAAGATAAGACTTTCCCTCAAGGGACAACCCAGTATGGTGAAGGGTCAGAGCATTAACCAGACAGACAGTGGTTGTCAGAGTATGATGAAGGTGCTTAAGAATGTTATGGGACTGTAGAAGAGAGGAGGAGCATCTACTCAGACAGGTAAGGGAGTGTCAGCAAAGCCTCCCAAGAATATGTAATAGCTGAGTATTTTTTTTTGAGGCACATTGTAGCTCCATCACCCAGGCTGGAGTGCAGTGGCATGAACATGGCTCACTGCAGCCTCCACCTCCTGGGTTTAAAGGATCTTCCTGCCTCAGTCTCCCAAGTAGTTGAGACTACTGGCATGCACCACCACACCTTATTTTTAAAATTTTTTGTAGACACAAGATCTGGCTATGTTGCCTAGGCTGGTCTCAAACTCCTGGGCTCAAGTAATTCTCCTGCCTCAGCCTCCAAAAGTGCTGGGATTACAGGCGTGAGCCACTACATCTGCTCCCCAGAGTTTATTCTTGAAAGATCATCGTGAATTAGCAAGGGGAAGCGCATTCCAAGCCAAGGAAGTTTGTGGAAGGTAGAGATGTAGGCAAGCCTGACTGGTCCCACTAGAGCCTGGTGACTAGTGTGATGAAGTCAGAAAGATGCTCAGGAGACAGATAATGAAAGGCTTTAGATGCCATTCCGAGGAGTTTAATCCTAAAGACATTAAGAAGGAAGGCCCATTGAAGTGCATAAGGAATGATTATGAACAGTTCACCTGTAGCACTGAGCAATGGAGAATGAATGGCCTTGAACTGGTCAAGATGGAGGTGGGGAGACCATTTAGGGGGCTCTGGCCATGATCTAGGTGAGAAGTGGTAAGGGGATAAGCCAAGGCCTGAAGAATAAAGAGTTACTAAGGAGGCGGCATTGATCGGAACTGAGAACTGATTAAATGAAGGGAGAAGTAAGGTTGACACTTAAGTAACCCAGTGACTAGTAGACTATTAACTGAAAGCAGTAATGGACAGGAGAGTAAGAAGTGGAAAGAGATAAGGTGAACTTCTGAATGCTGAGTTAGGCGTTTCTGAGGATTTCTAAAAGGAAATGGCAAGAAGAGAGTTTGTTTAGTCACTGTGGAGAGACAACTATACTAGGAGTAAAGACACAGGCAAGTATAGTTGAAGTGCTGGATATGGAAGAGTCCCCTAGAGAGTGTTTGCAGATTGAACCAAAAAGAAGGTTAAAGGTGGGAACCCTAAAGAACTTCAGCAATTGCAGGAAGCAGGTGGGGAAGGAGGCTGAAGAGATGAGACTGAGAAAGGCAAACAGCCAGAGAAACTGGAGGCAAACCAGGAGTGAGCAAGATCCCAGAAATTAAATAATGATAGAAGAGAATAAAAAAGGTGTGGAGGTAGGCAGCATGGAATGCTGCAGAGAAGTCAGGCAAAATAAGGACCAAAAAATACTTTGTGGTTTGAGGAGCTAAGGGTTCAGTGGCAACTTTGGCAGAAGTAGTGTTCATTCGGAGATGATACCAGATTGCAGTATGTTTCAAAGGTATGGGAGAAGAGAAAGTGAAGCTTGTGAATTACGATTTTGAGACCCAATGAGGACAAGAATACGAAACAGTAATGGGGGAGAGGGGTATAAGGGTAAAGAAGGCTTGCTTTCTTGCCTTGAAGGAGCAGCTTAAGCGATATACGAAAGGAGAGAAGACACAGTATATCTCTAGCCACACTTAATCTTTTTCAGTTCCTTGGGGATTATACTTTCTCACAATGAAACTCTTCAGAGGCTTTTCCTGTCCCTATAATGAAGTGGATAAGAGTGATTAAAGTACAAAAGATTTTTTTGGTTTTGGTGGGTTTTTTTTTTTTGTGACGGAGCCTCACTCCAGGCTGGAGTGCAGTGGCGCGATCTCAGCTCACTGCAGCCTCAATCGCAGGCTCAAGCCATCTTCCCTTGTAGCTGGGACTACAGGCACACACCGCCATGCCTGGCTTATTTTTTGTTTGTTTTTGTTTTTTGTTTTCTGTAGAGATGAGGTCTTGCTATGTTGCCCAGGCTAATCTTGAACCTCTGGCCTCAACCAGTCCTCCCACCTTGGTCCCCAAAATGTTGGGATTACAGGCGTGAGCCAGTGTGCCTGGCCACAAAAGAGATTTAAAGGAAGGAGAGATGGTATGGCTGTGTTAGTCCTTGGGGAGAAATTAGTGTCTGGGATGAGTCAGTCATCTGTGTTGATAAGGTGAGCTGATCAGGTTTTTCCTTCTTAGGTACTTCAGTAGATCCTTCCTCCTAATGCCTTTAGGATTAAACTCCTTGGAATAGCATATAAAGCCTTTTATTATTAATCCTGCACAATTTTTCAACTCTCACACTAGTCACCCAATACTGGGCTCAGATTTTTTTTCTTTAACTTTTTTGTTTGTTTTTTGTGGTTTGTTTTTTGGGGAGGAGGAGGGCCCCAAACTTTGAAATGTGTTCTGGATGGAGGATGCAGATTAAGCAAAGACAGACATAAGCGTGCCTGGGACTTCATAAAGGAACAGAAAGAAGCCAGTATCGAGACCAGAGGTGTGGGTAGGGAAACAGAAAAGATAGGGTAGGGCCATTTTAGTCTGTGAAGCCTTTAATTATTGGAATTGTCTCTCGTTAACTCTAGTTTTTTGGAGAAGTAGATGCACCATAAAACTTTCCTGAATAAATGATTACTTTGAAATACATGGAATTCTAGTCTGAGAATATTTTAATGTAGTAGATGGCGGATACCATTGACTTTTTTTCTTTTTTTTTTTTTTTTTTGAGACAGTCTCGCTGTGTCACCCAGGCTGGAGTGCAGTGGCGCGATCTTGGCTCACTGCAACCTCCACCTCCCAGGTACAAGCGATTCTCCTGCCTCAGCTTCCCAAGTAGCTGGGACTACATGCGTGCTCTACCACGCCCAGCTAATTTTTGTATTTTTAGTAGAGATGGGGTTTCACCATGTTGGCCAAGCTGGTCTCAATCTCCTGACCTTGTGATCCACCCACCTTGGCCTCCCAATGTGCTGAGATTACAGGCCTGAGCCGCCGCACCCGACCAATTTTTTTTTTTTAATATTAAATACTGAAATGCTTAAGGGTAGAATTAGATAGCAGTGAATGGAAGGGATGTTTTGGAAGAGAAGATAATAAATAGGCCTAAGCCTGAAGGGAAATCATGAGGCTGCCTCCAGTAGGGGAGGGAGTTGGACATGGTCCTCTACCTTCAGGGAAACAAGGATGGAGAGGGGGAGAGCTAGAATCTGTTGAATCTGTTTTGGCTTTACTGGGAACACAGGCTAAACAGTCTCTCAGGTTACTCTCTAGAATGAAAGCACACAGACAGGTAAATATGACACAATGTGATTTGTGCTATAATATTCAAGCAGAACAAGTAAGGCATAGACTGAGGTGTTCATTTGCTTACCAGATAACTCTATTTACATGGCCTATAGGTTTTACAAACAACGTGTCCCCCTGGCCAGGCACAGTGGCTCAGGCCTATAATTCCAACAGTTTGGGAAGCTGAGGCAGGAGAATTGCTTGAGGCCAGAGGTTCAGGATTAGCCTGAGCAACATAGTGAGACCTCCTCTCTAAAAATTATTATTTTTTTAATTAGGCAGGCATGGTGGCGCTTGCCTGTAGTCCTAGCTACTCAGGAGGCTAAAGTGGGAGGATCACCTAAGCCTAGGAATTTAAGGTTACAGTGAGTTATGATCATGCCACTGCATTCCAGCCTGGGTGACAGAGCAAGACCCTGTCTCTTAAAAAAAAAAAAAAAAAAAGGAGGGTGTGTGTGTGTTGTATACATGTGTGTGTATCTACACATATCTCCCAAATTGAATTTATAATATCTTCTTCCTTCCTATAAGACCTTCTCTTCCACTGCCTCCTTAATTAATAAATGGTACCACTTAGCCCAGCTAATTTTGCCAGCTAAAAACACAGGAGTCATCTCTGAGTGCTCTTTTTTTTTTTTTTTTTTTTTTTTTTTTTTTTGAGATAGAGTCTTGCTCTGTCACCCAGGCTGCAGTACAATAGCGTGATCTCAGCTCACTGCAACCTCCGCCTCCTGGGTTCAAGCAATTCTCCTGTCTTAGCCTCCTGAGTAGCTGGGATTACAGGCGCCCGCCACTATGCCTGGCTAATTTTTTGTATTTTTAGTAGAGACTGGGTTTCACCATGTTCACCAGACTAGTCTTGAACTCCTGACCTCAAGTGATCCGCCTGCCTCTGCCTCACAAAGTGCCGGGATTACAGGCATGAGCCACCGCGCCCGGCCGGGTGCTCTTTATTCCCCACCTCTAGCCCCATCCTATGAATTCTTCTTTATGTCCGCTTGTCACCACCACCCAGACTACTCTGACAGCCTCCCCAGTGGATTTCCCACTATGCTTATTCCCTCCGATTCTTGCTGTACTCTGAAGCCAGAGTGAAACTTTAAAGTGTGAAAGTGATCATACCAATAAAGTCCCCATTCCTTAACCTTGCTACAAGGCCCTCACTCCAGCCTTACCTTGCACCATTCTCCCCTCAGTCTGTAAGCTTAGCCATACCAAACCTTTCCCTGTCTCTCAGTGTGTGTGCTTTCTCACAGCTGGGCCTGTGCACAGCACTGGAATTACACCATGTGTCTGACTAACTTCTCATACTCCTCATTACTTCAGTTATTTGCTTAAATGCCATCTTCTTAGAGAGGCCGCCACCAGAGATGAAGCCAGCCTCTCCCCCACCACCAAGTAGGCTTTACCTTTTCTTTTGGAACCTTCAGTACACCTGGAATTACCTATTTAAAAATCTCTCTTCCTATAGCCTGCAAGCTCCAGAGGAGACCACATTTGTCTTGTTCATTGCTATAATCCCCTACGCTAGCACAATATCTGACACATGGTAGCTGTCTAGTAGATACTTAGTGGATGAATGAATAGAGATGGGAATTATTATTTCTGCAGGAGTTGTGAGACAGTACAAATATTTAAGGAGTGATAGTTAAGCTAGAAAAATAATAAAATAGGATAGAGGCTACAGAGATCTTTGCAGGGGGGATCAGACTGCTTTGGAATTTGCAGATAAGCATTCACGATGTCCGCTTAACTTTCTAGACAAAGTGGTGAAGAAAGGGAAGAAGGACAAGAAGATCAAAAAAACGGTGAGAAAATGAGGGTTGAGGATAAGAAATGACTATGGATGTTTCCAAGCTAAATAAATAGCCATGTGAAGGAGGTGGGAGGTCCAAGGGAGGAGAAAAGATCTTGTCAAGAGAGGAGATAGGCAGGGCACGGTGGCTTACACCTGTAATCCCAGCGCTTAGGGAGGCAGAGGTGGGAGGATAGCTTAAGCCCAGGAATTTGAGACCTGCACACTCCATTCTCCACAAAAAGAAAAAAAAGAGAGAGACAGGAGGTAAGGTGAGGGTGGAG
The DNA here is from genome assembly GCF_000001405.40 of Homo sapiens. Lineage (NCBI taxonomy): Eukaryota > Metazoa > Chordata > Mammalia > Primates > Hominidae > Homo > Homo sapiens. The sequence continues at coordinate 1,832,816 of NT_167248.2, forward strand.
TGGAGGGCCAGTGGGCCAATGTGTGGCAGAGCACAGCCTGCTTGGATTGCTCTTGGAAACATGTTTACCTGTAGCTTAACTCCCTTTATAGTTCTTTGAAGAGCTGGCAGTAGAAGATAAACAGGCTGGGGAAGAAGAGAAAGTGCTCAAGGAGAAGGAGCAGCAGCAGCAGCAACAGCAACAGCAGGTACAAGTGCCACAGGGCCCACCAATCCTGGGAGGCATCTGGGTTCCACCAACCCCTTTCCAGCCCATGTTGCTCCATTCAGCTGATGGGGAACCCTCTGTGAGGCAGAAATACAGCAGGGGCCTGGGCTTCATTTTCTCACTGTTCTTTTGCTCTCAGCAGCAAAAAAAAAAGCGAGATACCCGAAAAGGCAGGCGGAAGAAGGATGTGGATGATGATGGAGAAGAGAAAGAGCTCATGGAGCGTCTTAAGAAGCTCTCAGTGCCAACCAGTGATGAGGAGGATGAAGGTAAATGACCTGAGGGGGAATGGGTACCTGGAATCCATGAGTCATGGAGAGTGATACCTCATACCCTGATCTTCAAGTTGGATTCAATTGGGGGGCCAGACATTGTAATTCTTTCCTATCTCATGTTCTCCCCCTGTCATTTCAGTACCCGCCCCAAAACCCCGCGGAGGGAAGAAAACCAAGGTAAGCCATCTGTGTGGTAAACGGAGACTCCAAGGATGCAACCTTGACCATCCTACTGACTTCTGTGGCCCTTTCATTCTCTAGGGTGGTAATGTTTTTGCAGCCCTGATTCAGGATCAGAGTGAGGAAGAGGAGGAGGAAGAAAAACATCCTCCTAAGCCTGCCAAGCCGGAGAAGAATCGGATCAATAAGGTGACAGTGGTGGCTCGATCAGTCACTCTCACTCCATTTAGCACCTTCTGGCCATGGTGGAGTAATTTCCCGCTTTTAAACTAGCTCTTCTCGGTCTGTCTTACTTATACTGTTAAAATCATCTTTTTAGAATACATGCCCAGGCTGGGCACAGTGGGTCACGCCTGTAATCCCAGCACTTTGGGAGGCCGAGGTGGGCGAATCACGAGGTCAAGAGATCGAGACCAGCCTGACCAACATGGCGAAACCTCATCTCTACTAAAAATACAAAAATTAGCCAGGCGTGGTGGCGTGCGCCTGTAATCCCAGCTACTTGGAAGGCTGAGGCAGGAGAATCACTTGAACTTGGGAGGTGGAATTTGCAGTGAGCTGAGATTGAGGCACTGCACTCCAGCCTGGGCAACAGAGCAAGACTCAGTCTCAAAAAAAAAACAACAAAAAAAACCATGCCATTTTTATCACTCAGAAATCTACAGTGATTCTGTTGCTTTAAGCACAGAACCTGAAACAAAGCCCCAGGTCCTTGCTCTTCTACTTGTGACTCTTCTGCGTGTGCATCTTAGTCCATGTCCATTTGAGCTCTTGAGAAAGCCTCCAGTGCTAGTGCCACTCACTCTGGTGGCGCACTTGCCTGACTTATAATCCTTAGCCTTGCTGACGTTCCCTAGTTATCTCTTCGCTATCTAGTCTGAAGCTGGAGGGTAGGGTTTTTCTGGGTCTCATTTTTCGTCAGCAGCACTCAATACAGATGGTCTCCAACTTCTGCTTCGGTGTACGATTTTTCTACTTTATGATGGTGTGAAAGTCATACTCATTTAGGGTACTCCTCAACTCATGATGGGATTATATCCAGATAAACCCATCATAAGTTGGAACTATTTTTTTTTTTTTTTTTTTTTGAGACGGAGTCTCACTCTGTTGCCAGGCTGGAGTGCAGTGGCGTAATCCTGGCTCACTGCAACCTCCGCCTCCCGGGTTCAAGTGATTCTCCTGCCTCAGCTTCCTGAGTAGCTGAGATTACAGGCACGTGCCACCACGCCCAGCTAATTTTTGTGTTTTTAGTAGAGACAGGGTTTCACCATGTTGACCAGGATGGTCTCGATCTCTTGACCTTGTGATCCACCTGCCTTGGCCTCCCAAAGTGCTGGGATTACAGGTGTGAGCCACCACGCCCGGCCAAGAACTATCATTTTTTATTTAAGTTTCTGGTGGGTTTATCGGGATGCAACCTGTCGTAAATGGAGGAGCATGTGTATGGTTAACACAGTAGACTCTCTAGAAATGCTTATTACACAGCAAAGTAGCACAATAATTTGTATGTATGTGTGTAATGTGTATGTGTGTCTCCTCCAGGCCGTATCTGAGGAACAGCAGCCTGCACTCAAGGGCAAAAAGGGAAAGGAAGAGAAGTCAAAAGGGAAGGCTAAGGTGAGAGAGTAACTAGCAGGAGGAGGTATTGGGGCCCAGGAATTAAAACATTTCATCAGGGCTGGGCGCGGTGGCTCACGCCTGTAATCCCAGCACTTTGGGAGGCCGAGGTGGGCGGATCACGAGGTCAGGAGATCGAGACCATCCTGGTAACACGGTAAAACCCCGTCTCTACTAAAAATACAAAAAAAATTAGCCGGGCGTGGTGGCGGGCGCCTGTAGTCCCAGCTACTCGGGAGGCTGAGGCAGGAGAATGGCGTGAACCCGGGAGGTGGAGCTTGCAGTGAGCCGAGATTGCGCCACTGCACTCCAGCCTGGGTGACAGAGCGAGACTCCGTCTCAAAAAAAAAAAAAGAAAAAAAAAAAAACATTTCATCAGACCTGTCTTTTCCCTATTAGCCTCAAAATAAATTCGCTGCTCTGGACAATGAAGAGGAGGATAAAGAAGAAGAAATTATAAAGGAAAAGGAGCCTCCCAAACAAGGGAAGGAGAAGGCCAAGAAGGCAGAGCAGGTGTGTATTTGGTGTTGGGGCAAGGTGGAATGAGGGACTAGGGCTTCCAGGGTCCTTATGGGAGAGTTAGAATCTGGGGATATAGTTATTATCCCAGCAAACCTTTATTCTTTTCTTTTTTTGGGGGAGTAGTTGGGGTGGTGGTTCGTTTGTTTTTGTTTTTGTTTTTGTTTACACAGGATCTTACTCTGTCACTCAGGCTGGAGTGCAGTGGTGTGAACACGGCTCACTGAAGCCTCAACCTCCTGGGCTCAACAGATTCTCCTGCCTCAGCCTACTGAGTAGCTGGGACTACAAGTGTGCACCACTACCCCTGGCTAATTTTTTTATTTTTAGTATAGAGATGAGGTCTCACTATGTTGCTCAGGCTGGTCTTGAACTTCTGGGCTCAAGCAGTCCTCCTGCCTCAGCCTCCCAAAATGCTGGGTTTACAGGTGTGAGCCAGCATGCCAGCCAGCAAACTTTTTCTATAAAGGGCCATATAGTAAATGTTTTTGGCTTTGCAGGCCACATACAATCTCTATCACATATTCTTTTTTTTTTTTAACAACTCTTTGAAAATACAAAAATTATTTTTATAAAGTTCAGGAGCTATATAAAAATAAATGTCAGGTCAGCCTTGGCCCATGGGCTGTAGTTTGCAACACCTAATCCAGTGAAGAAAGGGCCTGGAATTTATCTCAGATGATCTGGGTCCTGGCTCTGCCTTCACTGGCTGTGTGACCTTGAATACATCTTCCCATCCCCTTGGGTCTCACTTGTCTCCTTTGTGTGATAGAAGGAGGAGTCCGGAGATCTCTAGGGTCCCTATGCGTCTGGCACTTCCTAATTCTGTGATTCTGCTGGATTCCTCTGACTGTGCACTAGAGCTTCCTGATCTTTTTTTTTTTTTTTTTTTTTTTTGAGATGGAGTCTCACTCCGTTGCCCAGGCTGGAGTGCGGTGGCGCAATCTCAGCTCACTGCAACCTCTGCCTCCCGGGTTCAAGCAATTCTTCTGCCTCAGTCTCCCGAGTAGCTGGGACTACAGGCACGTGCCACCATGACCGGCTGATTTTTTGTGTTTTTAGTAGAGACAGGATTTCACCATGTTAGCCAGGATGGTCTTGATCTCCTGACCTTGTGATCTGTCCATCTTGGCCTCCCAAAGTGCTGGGATTACAGACATGAGCCACCGTGCCCGGACGGCTACCTGATCTTTTCTTTGCATGTTAACAAGGAAACCACAGAAACTCATTTTATACAAATGAAACTCTTGAAATCCATTTACTCCACCTTCAGTTACATTGTATTGGGAGTTACATTTATAGGGACATAACGCGTTGTCACATTTCATAAATACACATTCATACCATTTGTCTTGTACCATTCCTGGTAGCAGAAATTAATAAAGGACCTCAGGGAGACCAGGGGCTGGGTATGAGAATGAGAGAGGATCCCAAGATATTTTAGGACTCTGAGTAGTGAAGGAAAGAGCTGGGGCAGGGACAGGGGGCAGATGATGTGAAATCTGAGTTCTAGAAGGAGTCCCTAGTTTTTTTTTGTTGTTTTTTTTTTTGAGACGGAGTCTTGCTTTGTCACCCAGGCTGGAGTGCAGTGGCACGATCTCGGCTCACTGCAAGCTCCTCCTCCCAGGTTCACACCATTCTCCTGCCTCAGCCTCCCGAGTAGCTGGGACTACAGGCGCCCGCCACCACGTCCGGCTAATTTTTTGTATTTTTAGTAGAGATGGGGTTTCACCATGTTAGCCAGGATGGTCTTGATCTCCTGACCTTGGGATCTGCCCGCTTTGGCTTCCCAAAGTGCTGGGATTACAGGCGTGAGCCACCGCGCCCAGCCAGGAGTCCCTAGTTTTGACCATCCCCGGGTTCTCACAGGGTTCAGAGGAAGAAGGAGAAGGGGAAGAAGAGGAGGAGGAAGGAGGAGAGTCTAAGGCAGATGATCCCTATGCTCATCTTAGCAAAAAGGAGAAGAAAAAGCTGAAAAAACAGGTAAGACCTTGGTTCTTAGCGGTCAAAAGTAGGGGATTTTTAAATACTTCAACTAGGGGACATGCGATTGGGGACACGAAGGAAAGGTTTGGGGGCTACTCCAAGTAAAACAATCGGAGTAAGAAAATAATTGTGTTCTGTGAACCTTATCTCAATGTCTGATGACATGGGCTGTTTCACTTTGGGGTTTTTTGTTTATTTTTTGAGACAGGGTCTCACACTGTTACTCAGGCTGGAGTGCAATGACGTGATCTCTGTTCACTGCAGCCTCAACCTACCAGGCTCAAGTGATCCTCCCACCTCAGCCTCCCGAATAGCTGAGACTATGGGTGGCACCACCATGCCTGGCTAATTTTTGTATTTTTTGTAGAGACAGTATTTTAGCATGTTGGCCAGGCTGGTCTCAAACTCCTGAGCTCAAGAGATCCACCTACCTCAGCCTCCCAGAGTGCTGGGATTACAGGCGTGAGCCAGCATGCCCAGCCAGCATGGGCTGTTTCATGGTGATGGGAAACTGGTAGACTGTGGCTTCAAATGTAGTTTTTCCTACCTTCTCAGATGGAGTATGAGCGCCAAGTGGCTTCATTAAAAGCAGCCAATGCAGCTGAAAATGACTTCTCCGTGTCCCAGGCGGAGATGTCCTCCCGCCAAGCCATGTTAGAAAATGCATCTGACATCAAGGTAAGGTCTCAAGGGGCCCCTTCCAGTCCACTTACCTAGGGAAGAGCCAGTTCTCTCATCTTCCCTGAGTGGCTGTGGTGTGTGAATGGGTTAGTTCAGTGGGAAGAAAGATTGGAGGCATTTTCCACACCTTAGGTTCTGCCAACTTGAGCAAGAAGATAGAAAAACCAGTAGAAGTGGGGTCCACCCTTGGCAGAAAATAGTGTGGGACAGACTAGACTAGCTGAGGATGCATGGGGCTCCCATTACAGGCAGCGAACAGGGCGGGGACCGGCTGTGGGGAGAGGAAGGGGATTATGCTGGAGGTAGCGGTTTGTCAGGGGCTTCCCTGCAGGGAGAAAGTGGCCGCTCCTGTCCCAAAGGGAGAATTTTCATGTGATCATCCCTTCCCTCTGCCACCTCTTTCCTGATGGCTGCAGCTGGAGAAGTTCAGCATCTCCGCTCATGGCAAGGAGCTGTTCGTCAATGCAGACCTGTACATTGTAGCCGGCCGCCGCTACGGGCTGGTAGGACCCAATGGGTGAGAAGAGGAGGGAGCTGGAGGCAAAAAAGGGCCTGGAGGGAAAAGAAGAGATTTCTCAGTGGTGGCCAGGTCCTAATAGCTTTTATTCCCCAGCAAGGGCAAGACCACACTCCTCAAGCACATTGCCAACCGAGCCCTGAGCATCCCTCCCAACATTGATGTGTTGCTGTGTGAGCAGGGTGAGACCACTGGGGAGAAAAGGGGCTTGGTGGGGTGGGCAGTTGGGTAGAAAAGCCAGCCAGCCAAGAATAGAAGAAATTGTGGCTATGGAGTTGGAAGGGATGTGGAGGGAGACTGGAGACCGGGAAAGGGATGCTAAGGAAAGGAGGGGAGGGTCAATGAGGAACTTGAGAGTGTTTTATTTGGAACAAGTACAAAGAGCTGGGCAGGGTCAGGCAAAACAGAAATGTAATTGAAGGGAAAGAAAGATGAGACTCTTGGCTCTTGAGGCTGCCTGACTGTTCTCCCTCTGCCTCCCAGAGGTGGTAGCAGATGAGACACCAGCAGTCCAGGCTGTTCTTCGAGCTGACACCAAGCGATTGAAGCTGCTGGAAGAGGAGCGGCGGCTTCAGGGACAGCTGGAACAAGGGGATGACACAGCTGCTGAGAGGCTAGAGAAGGTAGAGGAGATGGCGCAGGGGACACGGGCAAAGACTTGGGGGTTCCTGGGACCCTCAGACGTGTGTCCTCTTCTCCCTCCTCCCAGGTGTATGAGGAATTGCGGGCCACTGGGGCGGCAGCTGCAGAGGCCAAAGCACGGCGGATCCTGGCTGGCCTGGGCTTTGACCCTGAAATGCAGAATCGACCCACACAGAAGTTCTCAGGGGGCTGGCGCATGCGTGTCTCCCTGGCCAGGTGGGCCATTCACCTCACTGCCCTCCCTTCCAGCCTCAGACCACCGGGGCCCTTTTCCTCTTTCCCTTCTCATTCTTCCAAGGCCAATAGGGAGGCTCAAGGCTTACCTCTCCCTCCTTACTATCTGTGTTGTGAGAACTTAGGGTCTTTCTCTATTTCTCTCCCTACTTGGTGGTGAGTTCTCATCAACATACCCTGCAGCTGGGTGCAATGGGTCACGCCTGTAATCCCAGCACTTTGGAAGGCAGAGGCAGGAGGATTATCTTGAACCCAGGAGTTTGAGACCAGCCTGGGCAATATAGTGAGACTCTATCTTCACAAAAGGGGGAAGAAAACATATCCTAGCCTGGGCAACATAGGGAGACCCTGTCTCTACAAAAAATTTAAAGATCAGCTGGATATGGTGGCGCACGCTGTGGTCACAGCTACTCTGGAGGCTGAAGTAGAAGTATCACTTAGACCTGGGAGATTTAGACTACAGTGAGCCCTTATTGTGCCACTGCACGACAGCCTGGGCAACAGGGCGAGACCCTGTCTCAAAAAAATTAAACCGTATCCTGCCCGAGAACTTCTCTGAGGAGAGCTTGGGAAGGCGTGTTCATGGTCTCAGGCTCTATCTCCGAGTTTTCTCTGGGGTTGTCTGAGCAAGGATCTTTCTCTCCCTGACCCTGCCCTCTGCTACCCACCCTCTAGGGCACTGTTCATGGAGCCCACACTGCTGATGCTGGATGAGCCCACCAACCACCTGGACCTCAACGCTGTCATCTGGCTTAATAAGTGCGTTACGGCCTTTGCATCATTGGTTCCCATTCTGCACTTTCTTCCCCTTCCCTCCCTGCCCTGTTTTCCTTTAGCCCTTCTCCACTGTGCCTGTGAGTGGAGCTCTATTCAGACCCCCCTTTCCCTCCCAGCCCCCGTTGTCTGCCTGCTTCCTCTGAATTCTCTCTCACTTGACCACTGTGACACTTACACCCTGTTCTCTGAAACCCAGCTACCTCCAGGGCTGGCGGAAGACCTTGCTGATCGTCTCCCATGACCAGGGCTTCTTGGATGATGTCTGCACTGATATCATCCACCTCGATGCCCAGCGGCTCCACTACTATAGGGGCAATTACAGTAAGTAGGATTGTGTGTGGATGCAGGGAAGAGATAGAACCTCGAAAAGAGGCCTGAGTGGGAGGGCCTATTTAGATAAACTGAATCCTGTCAGAATTCCAGACAGTGATGCCTACCCCATCACCACCAGTCCCTGGTTGTCCCTTTGCTGGGAAGAGGAGCAACCACTGATGCCTGGTCCCCTCTTCTGCCCCAGTGACCTTCAAAAAGATGTACCAGCAGAAGCAGAAAGAACTGCTGAAACAGTATGAGAAGCAAGAGAAAAAGCTGAAGGAGCTGAAGGCAGGCGGGAAGTCCACCAAGCAGGCGGTGAGCACCTGAGGGACTTCTGGGCTGGGGGCCACTGTTCTCTCCTGGCAGTGGAGGAAGAAGGAGACTCTGGAACGCTGGCCTACATTTCAAGGACTGCCGTGCAGGGCTCAGGTTTCTCTTTTTTCCTCTTCCTCTCCAGGAAAAACAAACGAAGGAAGCCCTGACTCGGAAGCAGCAGAAATGCCGACGGAAAAACCAAGATGAGGAATCCCAGGAGGCCCCTGAGCTCCTGAAGCGCCCTAAGGAGTACACTGTGCGCTTCACTTTTCCAGACCCCCCACCACTCAGCCCTCCAGTGCTGGGTCTGCATGGTGAGTGCCGCGGGCCTCTGCTGCTCCACAGGAAGCACCGGAAGCATGTATGTGCACCCTAAATTCTCCACCAAGGCTGAGATTGCTCCTGTTCTCCAAGGCCAGCACATGAGAGGGACTTTGCAGGGACTGAAAAGAATATAAATTGCTTCTTTTCGTGGCTTTCAGGTGTGACATTCGGCTACCAGGGACAGAAACCACTCTTTAAGAACTTGGATTTTGGCATCGACATGGATTCAAGGAGTGAGTTGGCGGGGTTGCCTCAGGGATGTGTAGCAGGAGCCACAGGGAGAGTCTCTGGGGACCTCTTTGACCACCTGTCTTCCATCTTGCAGTTTGCATTGTGGGCCCTAATGGTGTGGGGAAGAGTACGCTACTCCTGCTGCTGACTGGCAAGCTGACACCGGTGAGTCCTGGAGCCAAGGAGGGAGAGCATGAGAAATGTGAAGACACAGCTGCTTTTGCCAGAAGCTGGAATCAGGGAGCCTCTCGAGAATGTAGAGTTAAATACAGAACTCATGATAGATGATTCATTTCCCTAAGAGGGGCAGTAGAGGAGGAAAGAGCTTAGATCAGTTCAGGGGGGAGAGCTAAGAGAATTAAGATAGAACTAGGGGGCACACCCACGTGTTTTGGTTATACAAGAAATATATGTCTTTTATAGAACGATTAAAAATTGCATAAACGGGCCAGGCACAGTAGCTCACTCCTATAATCCCAGCAGGGATCACCTAAGGTCAAGAGTTCCAGACCAGCCTAGCCAACATAGTGAACCCCGCCTCTACTAAAAATACAAAAATTAGCCGTGTGCGGTGGCGCGCACCTATATCCTAGCTACTCAGGAGGCTGAGGCAGAATTGCTGGAACCTGGGAGGCGGGGGTTGCAGTGAGCTGAGATTGCACCATTGCACTCCAGCCTGGGCAACAGAGCGAGACTCCATCTCAAAAAAAAAAAAAAATTGGCCTGGCGTGGTGGCTCACGCCTATAATCCCAACTCTTTGGGGGAGGCTGAGGCAGGCAGATCACTTGAGCTTAGGAGTTAAAAACCAGCCTGAGCCCACTGTGGTGGCTCACACCTGTAATCCCAACACTTTGGGAAGCCGAGGTGGGAGATCACCTGAGGTCAGGAGTTTGAGACCAACATGAAGAAACCCCATCTCTACTAAAAATACAAAATTAGCCAGACGTGGTTGCACATGCCTGTAATCCCAGCTATTTTGGGAGGCTGAGGCAGGAGAATCACTTGAACCCAGGAGGCAGAGGTTGCAGTGAGCTGAGATTGCGCTATTGCACTCCAGCCTGGGCAACAAGAGCAAAACTCCGTCTAAAAAAAAAAAACAGACCAGCCTGAGCAACATGGTGAAATCCCATCTCTACTAAAAATACAAAAATTAGCTGGGTATGTTGGTGCACGACTGTAGTCCCAGCTACTCGGGAGGCTGAGGTAGGAGAATTGCTTGAGTCCAGGGGGCAGAGGTTCCAGTTAGCCGAGGTCGTGCCACTGCACTCCAGTCTAAGTGACAGAGTGAGGCTCTGTCAAAAAAAAAAAAAAAATGCTTAAGAGAAAAATCTGGAGATAACCAGTTTTTTTTTTTTGTTATTTTGTTTTGAGACGGAGTCTCACTGTCGCCCAGCCTGGAGTGCAGTGGTGCGATCTTGGCCCACTGCAACCTCCACCTCCCAGGTTCAAGATATTCTCCTGCCTCAGCCTCCTGAATAGCTGGGATTATAGGTACGCCCCACCATGCCCAGCTACTTTTTGTATTTTTAGTAGAGACAGGGTTTCACCATGTTGGTCAGGCTGGTCTCGAACTCCTGACCTTGTGATCCGCCCGCCTCAGCCTCCCAAAGTGCTGGGATTACAGGCGTGAGCCACCGCTCCCAGCTGAGATAACCAGTATTAATGTTTTAGTGGATATCTTTCTCCTTTTTTCTTTGCAAATGTGCATATAATTTTTAACAAAAATGGGCTGTCATATGAGTTGTTGTGTAGCTAGATTTTTCCAAATATATCAAGCATTTTTCCATGCAATTACTTATTTCATATGAGTCTACCTTTTTTTTTTGAGACAGAGTCTCACTCTGTCACCCAGGCTGGAGTGCAGTGGCACAGTCTTGGCTCACTGCAACCTCCGTCTCCTGGGTTCACGCGATTCTCCTGCCTTAGCCTCCCGAGTAGCTGGGACAACAGGCGCGTGCTACCACGCCCAGCTAATTTTTTGTATTTTTAGTAGAGATGGTTTCACCGTGTTAGCCAGGATGGTCTTGATCTCCTGACCTCATGATCTGCCTGCGTCGGCCTCCCAGAGTGCTGGGATTACAGGTGTGAGCCACCACGCCCGGCAAACTCTACCATTTTATTTGAACTTTTGTAATATATTGCCATCTAGTGTGTTAGAAAGTTTGTAGCCATTTCTGCTCTCTCTAGCAGTGTTGAGAGGCCATTTTCTCATATCCAGAGATTAGATCTTTAGAAAGGTATTATTAGATTCTCCCCAAAACACTAAACTTGCCACATGAGGCCCTTACGATGTACCATTCGTGAGTCTCGCTGTATGGAGAGCAGGTGTTCTTTGGCTGTGGTTAGTCCCTCCTGCTTGTCCCTCTTGTCCTCCATTTTGCTTAACTCCCCTTTTGTCCCTTAACTCTTTTACTTTGCTCACCATGCCTTTGTCATATTAGGGGAACATCCCTGTTCCTTTTCTTTTTTGAGACAAAGTCTTCCCCTGTCCCCGAGGGTGGAGTGCAGTGGTGCGATCTCAGCAACTTCCACCTCCTGGGTTAAAACCATTCTTGTGCCTCAGCCTCCTGAGTAGCTGGGATTATAGGCATGTCCCACTATGCCCAGCTAATTATTGTATTTTTAGTAGAGACAGGGTTTCACAATGTTGGCCAGCCTGGTCTCAAACTCCTGACCTTAAGTGCCTCCTGACCTGCCTTCCTTGGCCTCCCAAAGTGCTGAGATTACAGGCATGAGCCACCGTGCCCAGCCCCTATTCCTTTTCTTATGCATACTTGTCCCTGGCCCATTTCTGGTGTTTGTCTCTCCTTCAGAAAAGTTGGTGTATGGACGAGGTCAGGAGATCGAGACCATCCTGGCTAACATGGTGAAATCCCGTCTCTACTAAAAATACAAAAAATTAGCCGGGTGTGGTGGCAGGCACCTGTATTCCCAGCTACTGGGGAGGCTGAGGCAGGAGAATGGCGTGAACCCGGAAGGTGGAGGTTGCAGTGAGCCGAGATCGCGCCACTGCACTCCAGCCTGGGGGACAGAGCGAGACTCCGTCTCAAAAAAAAAAAAAAAAAGTTGATGTATGGAGCTGCAGCACCTTTTTCCCTTGCCCTCCTCTTAACTACTTTGTCTTCCCTTGCAGACCCATGGGGAAATGAGAAAGAACCACCGGCTGGTAAGTTGGCATTGGGATTTAGGGAATGATAATCTGATGGAGGAAGTGTGACTTTAACCGACCACCTCCCTCTCTTCTCGGGCAGAAAATTGGCTTCTTCAACCAGCAGTATGCAGAGCAGCTGCGCATGGAGGAGACGCCCACTGAGTACCTGCAGCGGGGCTTCAACCTGCCCTACCAGGATGCCCGCAAGTGCCTGGGCCGCTTCGGCCTGGAGAGTCACGCCCACACCATCCAGATCTGCAAACTCTCTGGTACCACTTCAGGGGCCAGGGAGGGTGCCCTTCACCTTATCATTCATGTCTACAAACTGTACCTAGAGGAACCGAGAATGAGGGAGCCTCAGCTCACAAACTGGCACATCTTGAGGGTTTGCCTTCAGAATGTGAGGTGCTAGGTGTGACAGCCCTCCCCTTCCTTTGCTACAGGTGGTCAGAAGGCGCGAGTTGTGTTTGCTGAGCTGGCCTGTCGGGAACCTGATGTCCTCATCTTGGTGAGTGAGCTGGGCTGTGGGAAAAGGGATAAGGGTAACAGTAATGGAAGACGGGAGTTGCAGTGCTCAGTCATGGAATTCCTCCTATGTAGGACGAGCCAACCAATAACCTGGACATAGAGTCTATTGATGCTCTAGGGGAGGCCATCAATGAATACAAGGGTGGTAAGTCAGCTGAGAGTGTGCCCTCATCCCTGCTCCATGGGGACCAAGCTGTAGTGTCCTTCACTACAGAAGGGCCTAGGACTCCCTTATTTCATGTTCTGATTCCCCTCTTTCTCCTTTCTTCCTGCCCTCTGTTGTTGCTATCTTTCTTCAAAGCTGTGATCGTTGTCAGCCATGATGCCCGACTCATCACAGAAACCAATTGCCAGCTGTGGGTGGTGGAGGAGCAGAGTGTTAGCCAAATCGATGGTGACTTTGAAGACTACAAGCGGGAGGTGTTGGAGGCCCTGGGTGAAGTCATGGTCAGCCGGCCCCGAGAGTGAAGCTTTCCTTCCCAGAAGTCTCCCGAGAGACATATTTGTGTGGCCTAGAAGTCCTCTGTGGTCTCCCCTCCTCTGAAGACTGCCTCTGGCCTGCAGCTGACCTGGCAACCATTCAGGCACATGAAGGTGGAGTGTGACCTTGATGTGACCGGGATCCCACTCTGATTGCATCCATTTCTCTGAAAGACTTGTTTGTTCTGCTTCTCTTCATATAACTGAGCTGGCCTTATCCTTGGCATCCCCCTAAACAAACAAGAGGTGACCACCTTATTGTGAGGTTCCATCCAGCCAAGTTTATGTGGCCTATTGTCTCAGGACTCTCATCACTCAGAAGCCTGCCTCTGATTTACCCTACAGCTTCAGGCCCAGCTGCCCCCCAGTCTTTGGGTGGTGCTGTTCTTTTCTGGTGGATTTAATGCTGACTCACTGGTACAAACAGCTGTTGAAGCTCAGAGCTGGAGGTGAGCTTCTGAGGCCTTTGCCATTATCCAGCCCAAGATTTGGTGCCTGCAGCCTCTTGTCTGGTTGAGGACTTGGGGCAGGAAAGGAATGCTGCTGAACTTGAATTTCCCTTTACAAGGGGAAGAAATAAAGGAAAGGAGTTGCTGCCGACCTGTCACTGTTTGGAGATTGATGGGAGTTGGAACTGTTCTCAGTCTTGATTTGCTTTATTCAGTTTTCTAGCAGCTTTTAATAGTCCCCTCTTCCCCACTAAATGGATCTTGTTTGCAGTCTTGCTGACAGTGTTTGCTGTTTAAGGATCATAGGATTCCTTTCCCCCAACCCTTCACGCAAGGAAAAAGCAAAGTGATTCATACCTTCTATCTTGGAACATGGGTCTCTTTCCTTTTTTTTTTTTTTTTTTTTTTTTGACAGAATCTTGCCCTTTCACTCAGGCTGGAGTGCAGTGGCATGATCTTGGCTCACTGCAGCCTCCACCTCCTGGGTTCAAGCAATTTTCCTGCCTCAGCCTCCCGAGTAGCTGGGATTACAGGCACACACCACCAGGCCCAGCTAATTTTAGTGTTTTTAATAGAGACAGGGTTTTACCATGTTGGTCAGGCTGGTCTCGAACTCTTGACCTCAAGTAATTCACCTACCTTGACTTCCTAAAGTGCTGGGATTATAGGGATGAGCCACTGTGCCCAACTTCTTTTTTTTTCTCTTTTCTGAGACAGGGTCTTGCTGTGTTGCCCAGGCTAGAGTGCACTGTACCCTCAACCTCCTGGGCTCAAGCAATCCTTCCACCTCAGCCTCCTGAGTAGCTGGGACTACAGGCATGTGCCGCCACACTCAACTAATTTTTTTTTTTTTAATTTTTAGTAGAGACAGTGTCTTGCTATGTTGCTTAAGGCTGGTCCTGAACTCCTGACCTCAGGCAGTCTTCCTACCTCGACCTCCCAAAGTGCTGGGGTGCTGGGATTATAGACGTGAGCCACGACGCCTAGCCAGAATTTGGGTCTCATTGTCCAAGTTAATCTCATGAATGAGGAGGTGCTCTGCCCTGTGGCCAGGGACCAGGGTATTGATTCTCTCAAAAATTATTAAATCATCTAGCCAAAATGTACGGTACTGTGGGGTATATAAGAAGGGAAGAGACAAGATCTGCCTTCATTAATAGTCTGGTTAGAGAAGACTTAAAAGTAAGCATGAATAGATAATTAATTTGATCAATTGTCTAATATGTCGTACTCTAGATTCTAAGTTGCCACATACTCAAAAAAGGGAAAGATTATCCAGGGCCTGATTATTTGACAGGGTCACTTGAGGGTAGATCTTGAAAAATGATGATTTGACTAATCAGGGACCAGGGAGCCATTTTTCAGAAGTAGGAAAAGAGCAGATCTCAGGCTTGGGGGGAAGAACAAGCTACTTGGGAGTTAATGGATGATAGCTGCTGTGGCCATTTTTCTTAAGAGTTAGACTGGGGAGATGGGTTTGGAAAGTAAAATGCAAATGGTGGGTAGTGGTATTAGGTGGTGATGTGCAAGGCGTGCTGTAGAAACCTGCAGGGTGAAGCCCATAACTTTTGTTACGGGAATGGGGTAACTGAATCCTAAACTAGCTAGGGGAGATAGGGATGGAAAGAGCAGATGTGGAGGTTGGGGAGAAGGGAGTGACAGGAGATATATCCAGTTCCAGAGGGAATAGGGAGAGCTGTGTGGCTAAGATTTAACTGTTTGGACATTTAATTTGGGGAAATTGTTTTCCAGCCAAGTGAATAAATAATACTGGACTTCAAGTACAAGCTTCATACAGGAAGTGAAGTTTTGGTGTGGAGATAGCTGCATAGTCAGGGAACACTCTAAATTAAAAATAAGGAGGCCGGGCATGGTGGCTCATGCCTGTAATCCCAGCACTTTGGGAGGCGGGCAGATCATGAGATCAGGAGTTCGAGAGCACCCTGACCAACATATTGAAACCCCATCTCCACTAAAAATACAAAAAAATTAGCCGAGCGTGGTGGTGCACACCTGTAGTCCCAGCTACTCAGGAGGCTGAGGCAGGAGAATTGCTTGAACCCGGGAGGCAGTGGTTGCAGTGAGCCGAGGTTGCGCCACTGCACTCCAGCCTGAGCAACAGAGCGAGACTCTGTCTCAAACAAAAACCAAAAGACATCAGGAAACATGCCTCTTATGGAATTTGAGGGGGAAAAGTCAGGGTCTTGGCAGTGACCTTGGACAAGCCATTAGCCTCTTGATACCTCTTTTCTCATCTGTAAAATGAAGGTGGTAGTTACCTACTTCACAGGGTTATTAGGGGATTCAATGTGTAATAATACGTAAAGTGCCTTAAATTCTGTTGCTTTTGTTATATGTATTTCATATTATATATATATATATATATTTTTTTTTTTTTTTTTTTGAGATGGAGTCTTACTCTGTTGCCAGGCTGGAGTGCTGTGGCGTGATCTTGGCTCACTGCAACCTCTGCCTCCTGGGTTCAAGTAATTCTGCTGTCTCACCCTCCCAAGTAGCTGAGATTACAGGCACGTGCCACCACGCCCGGCTAAGTTTTGTACTTTTGGTAGAGATCAGGTTTTGCCATGTTGGCCAGTCTGGTCTCAAACTCCTGACCTCAGGTGATCTGCCCACTTCGGCCTCCCAAAGTGCTGGGATTACAGGCGTGAGCCACCGCACCTGGCCTATACTTTTGCATTTTTAAGTTTTTACTTCGCTAGTCTAGTTGAGATGATACATAAAATATATAGGAATGTTATTTATAAAGTGAATACCAGCTTGCATTTCAAATATTTGGTCACTAATTTCACTACTTCAAACATAAGTGAGAAAAGTACTTTAAGTACTCCAAAATAACTTTCCGCCACAGGCATAAATTTCATTTCTCTCTCTGTTCTTTTTTTTTTTTTTTTTTTTTAAAGATGAGGCCTTGCTATATTGCCCAGGCTGGTCCCAAACTCCTGGCCTCAAGCAGTCCTTTCTCCTAGGCTCCCCAAAGTGCTGGGATTACAGGAATGAGCCACGGCACCTGGCCACAAACTTTATCTCCTCCCGTGTATGTTTTAACTTCTGTGATCCCTGTAGCCAATCATATGTGCTGTTAATGGAATTAATAATTCACCTAAATGTGGGCAAAAGTATGCCCTCCAAAAAGCAGCATAGAAATGGAACACGAAAGGGAAACATTTCCATGGTAGCGCATGGAAATTTCATTAACCAAATTAAATTGTTTTATTTATAAACAGCTTATTACCTACAAGTGATGCACATATGTGGTACACAGTAAACATCGTAGAAATGTGTTTTTTGTTGTTTTGAGATGTGGTCTCCCTCTGTTTCCCAGGCTGGAGTGCAGTGGCACAATCATGGCTCACTGCAGCCTCAACCCTCTGGACTCAAGTGATCCTCCTACCTCAGCTTCTCAAGTAGCTGGGACTACAAGTGTCCACCAACATGCCCAGCCAATTTTTTAATTTTTTTGTAGCAAAGAGGTCTTGCTTTGTTGCCCGGGCTGGTCTCAGACTCCTGGGTTCAAGTTATCCTCCCACCTCAGCCTCATTAAAGCCAAAGCCTGAAGGTAGGAAAGGAAGAGCCTTCAGGGAAGGGACCAAAATGTGCAAAGACCCTGAGGCTGAAAAGAGCTGAACATGGTCAAGGAATGGCTGGAGCTGAGAACTTGAGCATGCGCCAATACACACGGGGCCTTATATGCATAGACAGCAGGTTGGGATGTGATGAGGAGAGGCTGAGCAATGGGAGGCCATTGGTTCTGTTTAGCCAGGAGTGCAAACTGATTCAGTTTTCATTTTTACAAAATTGCTCCTGGCTGCTAGGTGGCAAATAGTGGGTGTGGGGAGACAGGGAAAAGAGATGCCAGGAGAACAGCTCAATATTACTTTGGAAAGAAGATTCTCTTCATCTAAGAATGGAATGGAAGGGAGATAATGTAGACTCAGATATTTCCATGTGAAGGGAAGGGAAAATGTTGCTCACAGTGGATGGGACTCACTTTTTCCCAAGCTTTGGTGCCAGAGAATCAAGAAGAGTAGGCCGCGCACGGTGCCTCATGCCTGTAATCCCAGCACTTTGGGAGGCCGAGGCAGGCGGATCACCTGAGGTCAGGAGTTCGAGACCAGCCTGACCAACTTGGCAAAACACCGTCTCTACTAAAAATGCAAAAATTAGCCAGGAGTAGTGGCACGCATTTGTAATCCCAGCTACTCAGGAAGCTGAGGCAGGAGAATTACTTGAACCTGGGAGGTGGAGGTTGCAGTGAGCGGAGATCATGCCATTGGACTCCAGCCTGGGCAACAAGAGCAAAACTTCGTCTCAAAAAAAAAAAAAGGTTTGCTGAGCAGCAGTAAGTGTAGAATCAATGCTAACATTAATTTGTACTGGGCTAAGATAGTAGGATTTTGTGATTTTTCAACATTAGGTCTACTGCCCAGGAGTAGGAATGAAAGAAATAGGATAATGATTCTGAATTGAAGATAGACCCCGTTGCACCTGGGGAAGGATTGACAGAAAGAGAACGTTGAATGTCACAAGGGTATTTTAGAGGGAAAAAATGGAAGCAGAAAGGAAAAACAGACTGAAACGGTAGAGAGAAAAGTGCCTGCAGGGAGGGCTTGGTGAAGAAACATCATTGTAGTGAAATGAATGAAATGTTCAACCTCTCTCCCCCTGCAAAAAAACAAAAAACAAGGAAAATCTTCTCTTTATATAATCTAAAGTTTTTACGTAAGTAAAAAGGAACAGGTAGGCCGGGTGCCGTGACTCACACCTGTAATCCCAGCACTTTGGGAGGCCAAGGCGGGTGGATCACCTGAGGTCAGGAGTTCGAGACCAGCCTGGACAAGATGGTAAAACCCCATCTCTACTAAAAATACAGAAATTAGCCAGGCGTGGTGGCAGGTGCCTACAATCCCAGCTACTCAGGAGGCTGAGGCAGGAGAATCCTTGAACCCAGGGGGCAGTGAGCCAAGATCGTGCCATTTCACTCCAGCCTGGGCAAAAGAGTGAAACTTGTCTAAAAAAAAAAAACAGGTTTCTTTGAATTTTTTTTTTTTTTTTTTTTGAGATGAAATTTTGCTGTCACCCAGGCTGGAGTGCAATGGCACGATCTCAGCTCACTGCAACCTCCGCCTCCTGGGTTCAAACGATTCTTCTGCCTCAGCCTCCAGAGTAGCTGGGATTACAGGCACCAGTCACCACGCCCGGCTAATTTTTTGTATTTTTAGTAGAGACGGTTTCACCATGTTGGTCAGGTTGCTCTCGAACTCCTGATCTCAGGTGATCCACGCGCCTCGGCCTCCCAAAGTGCTGGGATTACAGGCGTGAGCCACCACGCCTGGCCGAATTTTCATAAATGATTTGAAAGAAAATGAGCTCATTCTTTCTTTTTTTTTTAGACGGAGTCTTGCTCTGTCGCCATCCTGGAATGCAGTAGCGTTATCTCGGCTCACTGCAACCTCTGCCTCCTGGATTCAAGCGATTCCCCTGCCTCAGCCTCCCAAGTAGCTGGGACTACAGGTGCGTGCCACCACTCCCGGCTAATTTTTTTTTTTTTTTTGAGACAGAGTCTTGCTCTGTCGCCCAGGCTGGAGTGCAGTGGCGCGATCTCTGCTCGCTGCAAGCTCCACCTCCCGGGTTCATGCCATTCTCCTGCCTCAGTCTCCTCAGTAGCTGGGATTACAGGCACCCGCCACCACACCCACCTAAGTTTTTGTATTTTTAGTAGAGAAGGGGTTTCACCTTGTTAGCCAGGATGGTCTCCATCTCCTGACCTCATGATCTGCCCGCTTCGGCCTCCCAAAGTGCTGGGATTACAGGCGTGAGCCACCGCGCCTGGCAATTTTTGTATTTTTAATAGAGACGGGGTTTCACCATGTTGGCTAGGATGGTCTCCATCTCCTGACCTTGGGATTTGCCCGCCTCGGCCTCCCAGAGTGTTGGGATTACAGGTGTGAGCCACCGCGCTCGGCCGAGCTTATTCTTAAAATACAGTAAAAACTTTAAGCTCTCTTTTAAGGTTCTTGTGGCTTGTTGCAGGAGATAGAAGAAAGGTGAGAAGCAGGCAGTAAATGGAAGCAGAAAGAGACACAAAGTTGTGACCACTAGGTTGTGACATGTTTGGGTTTTTTCACTTGAGCTGTATACTTCTTTGGTATTTCACGCCCTAGCCTGGTCCTTAGATTATGTCTTCTCAGGTCTTCTCCCAGTGCACACAGCAACAACAGACTGACCTGAACACCTCCGCCCACACACACCAAGCCTGGGCAAGGGGAAGGTAAAACTACCCACTTTGGGCCTACATGCAGTGAGGCCTTTCAGATACTGATAAAACATTGTTGCCCCCTCATGTGGCCAATGCTGGAAATACAGCTGAGACACGTATTCCAGGGCAGTGTAGCAGCCTCAGCAACTGGGAATTTGTTAGAAATGCATATCTCGGGATCCATCCTGACCTACTAAATCAGAATTTTGCTGGACCCTACCCCCAATCTGTCTGTTTTTTCTTTTTGTTTTGTTTTTGTTTTTTGAGATGGAGATGGAGTCTGGCTCTGTCACCCAAGCTGAAGTGCAGTGGTGTGATCTCTGCTCACTGCAACCTCCACTTCCCGGGTTCAAGTGATTCTCCTGCTTTAGTCTCCCAAGTAGCTGGGATTACAGGCGCGAGCCACCATGCCTGACTAATTTTTGTATTTTTAGTAGAGATGGGATTTCACCATGTTGGCCAGGCTGGTCACAAACTCCTCACCTCAGGTGATCCATCCGCCTTGGCCTCTCAAAGTGCTGGGATTACAGGCATAAGCCACTGCATCCAACCCAAATTTGTTTTTTTTTTTCTTTCTTTTTTTTTTTTTTTTTTTTGAGACCAAGTTTCGCTCTTGTTACCCAGACTGGAGTGCAATGGTGCGATCTCGGCTCACCACGACCTCCACCTCCCGGGTTCAAGCAATTCTCCTGCCTCGGCCTCCCGAGTAGCTGGGATTACAGGCATGCGCCACCACGCCCGGCTAATTTTTGTATTTTTAGTAGAGACGGGGGTTCTCCATGTTGGTCAGGCTGGTCTCGAACTCCTGACCTCCTGATCTACCCGCCTTGGCCTCCCAAAGTGCTGGGTTTACAGGTATGAGCCACTGCACCCGGCCCCAGATTTGTTTTCTAATAAGCTCTTCAGATGATCCTGATGAATGCTAACAGACTTGAAAACCGCCATTCTCAACCCACATGTTAAAACATGTTAATATCTTCAACTGCCCCATATCTGCCACACACACTCCCCCCAGAGTGATGTATCCTTTCTTTTTTTTTCAGATGGAGTTTCACTCTTGTTGCCCAGGCTGGAGTGCAGTGGTGCAGTCTGCAACCTCTGCCTCCTGGGTTCAAGCGATTCTCCTGCCTTCCGAGTAGCTGGGATAACAGGCGCCAGTAACCACACCCAGCTAATTTTTGTATTTTTAGTAGAGATGGGGTTTCTTCATGTTGGCCAGGCTGGTCTCGAACTTCTGACCTCAGGTGATCCAACTGCTTCGGCCTCCCAAGGTGCTGGGATTACAGGCGTGAGCCACCACGCCCAGCTTTAATTTCTGGTTTAAGAGTGGAGGCCAGGCGCGGAAATGGGGAAATGGAGTTTCCCTATGTTGCTTAGGGTAGTTTTGAACTCCTGGGTTCAAGTGATCCTCCCATGTGGGCCTCCCAAAGTGCTGGGATTACAGGCGTGAGCCAACATGCCCAGCTTTAATTTCTGGTTTAAGAAGAGTGGAGGCCAGGCGCGGAAATGGGGAAATGGAGCTTCCCTATGTTGCTTAGGGTAGTTTTGAACTCCTGGGTTCAAGTGATCCTCCCATGTTGGCGTCCCAAAGTGCTGGGATTACTGGCTTGAGCCACCATGCCTGGCCAGAGCCACTTTGGGAAGAGCAGTCTATACTTACCCTTTGTTTTTTTGTGACGGAATTTTGCCCTGTCACTCAGGCTGGAGTGCAGTGGCATGATCTCGGCTCACTGCAACCTGCACCTCCTGGGTTTAAGGGATTCTCCCGCCTCAGCCTCCGGAGTAGCTGGGTTATAGGCACCCAGCTAATGTTTGTATTTTTAGTAGAGACGGGGTTTTGTCATGTTGGCCAGGCTGGTCTCCAACTCCTGACCTCAGGTGATCCACCCACCTCGCCTTCCCAAAGTGATGGGATTACAGGCATGACCCAATATGCCTGGCTTTTTTTTTTTTTTTTTTTTTTTTTTGAGACAGGGTCTTGCTCTGTTGCTCCGGCTGGATTGCAGTGGTACAATCATAGCTGTGAGTTTGAACTCCCAGGCTCAAGTGATCCTCTCGCCTCAGCCTCCCAGGTAGCTGGAACTAAAGGCATGTGCCACCATGCCTAATATTTTTTGTATTTTTTGTACAGACCTGGTCTCCCTATGTTGCTCAGGCTGGTCTCAAACTCCTGGGCTCAAGTAGTCTTCCCACCTCGGCCTCCCAAAAGTGCTGGGATTACAGACATGAGCCACTGATACCCAACACTAACCTGGCTAAGGTCACCCAGGCTGTAGAGAGGTAGAGCTGGGACAATGGCCTTTATCTGACTCCAGCATCCTCAGGATTTCCTCCCTTATCTGTAGAATGTGGATAAGATGACCAAGAACACATCCTAGAGGGCACGATAGCCAGGATAGGACTGTTCTAGGAACACACACGAGGCGTGTTAAAGAAGACTCAGAAAGATGAAAACCAGGAAAGAGCCCTGTGGCCGAGATCTACTCTGTATCCTAGAGTATTTTATGTACTTTTTGAAGCATTTTTTCACCAGTACTTAATAGCAACTGTTAGATCAAGCATTAGCTCCAGAGGAGTAAAAATCAGATTCCACAGATTTGTACTAATGTATCTAACACAGGTGGTAATGGCTTTTAAAAAAAAAAAATGAAAAACAGTCCAGGCCGGGCGCGGTGGCTCACGCCTGTAATCCCAGCGCTTTGGGAGGCCGTGGCGGGCAGATCACGAGGTCAGGAGTTCCAGACCAGCCTGGCCAACATGGTGAAACCAAGTCTCTACTAAAAATACAAAAAAATTAGCCAGGCATGGTGGCAGGTGCCTGGAATCCCAGCTACTCAGAAGACTGAGGCAGAAGAATCCCTTGAACCCAGGAGGCAGAGATTGCAGTAAGCCAAGACTGCACCACTGCATTCTAGCCCAGGCAACGGAGCGAGACTCCGTCTCAAAAAAGTCCAAACACACTAGGGGTTAAATAAGCTGCTTCTCTTTCCACTGTTTATTATTAATGTACAAAATATACAAAACCAAAAAAAAAAATACTCATCCTCAAATCCATTTTGGCTCTAACCCAAGACCCTGCACAAAACCCAACCAATCCACTGTTTTCATAGAAAACAACTGATGCCAAAGTGAAGGAGAGAACTGGGAAAGGGCAAAATCATCTTGTTGAATCCACCCAGGAAGGCGCCTGGTGGGGATTCAGAGGTGGTTGACAGGGTGAAGTACCTGGAAGCCTCCTTCACGCTGGCAAGGTTCCAGGTGGGAGCAGGGAGTGAGCTGACTCCCAAAGGCAGTGCATGTAGTGTGACTTTCAGGCCCAGCACGCCGGGCCCAAGTTGATGAGAAGCTGGTCTCACTGAAGTATTTTATCAAGTCTCCAGACTGGCTATAGTTGGCAAAGGCAGACCAGCACCACCGGTCTCACCTCTGCCAGCTAAAACTTGCACCGGATGCAGATACGAGTTCGCCATCATCGAACCTAGCAGACCCAGGACGCAGACTGGGTGTTCACAGAAAGTTGAAGGTCCCACTTGAGAAAGGACTAAGAATGGTGAGCCCACGCTGGGGGAGGGGTGGGGATGATGTGTGTTCCAGAACTCAAATCCAGCTGATTGAGCCCTCTCAGTGCAGTGGGATATACAATACCCCTTTCAGCATCTCCCCACCCCATGAGGAATAATGAACTTAGCTGGGATGATTTCTTAAGTGCAGCTGATCCTGTGTCAGAGTTCTGTGTGCATGTGGGGACCCGCAATAGAAGGGTAGGGGTGTTCGCCAGGATAACCAGCTTTAGGTTCTCAAGCATTAAGGGTAATACTGGAAAGGGGTTTGGGGTACAGGGCGAATCTTCTCAAAAAGTGAAGCCAACTGGGTCTCCTCTTCAGCAGTCCAGGAACGTTTCCAGTCTCTCTCCTCCCCAGACTGGAGGAAAATATGTACATCAATGCGCACCAGTGATCAGAAAACCCCCAGGAACCCAAGCAAGTGGGAACTGAGGGGGCCGGCTCCTCATCAGCTGGGGAAAAGGGAAAATGGGCCTCACAGAAGCCATAACAGGGTGGAAAGAGCGAGGCTGCAGTCCACAGGGGTTGTGTGAACAGGGCAGGCAAATGGTCCCTAGGGCAGGGGGGGCCCATTGACACCCGGGTGGTAGAAGGCACAGTTGTTCTCATAGCGGCAGTTGCCCTTCATCATGAAATGTCGGCAGACAGGGCGGTTTGACATGTCTGTGGGAACGATGGCAAAACAGTTAGACAGGAAATAGCTGAGGGCAATGCCATCCTCACCACCCCTTGTCCATGACATCCTGAGAACTGTCTTTCAGAGACAATCTTGGGGATTTGGGGGAAGGGCATAGAGTAGGAACTGCTATGCATACTAGGACATCAAAGAGACGGGTACCTCACGTTCTGCCTAGCTACCAACAGTAGTGACTCTCACCCACTCCCCAAAAGCTTGTATGGGACAACCAAAAGGCATATGGGGGACAGGGAGCATCCTCACCTCCTCCATGGCTGTGGCCTCCATCGTGCCCTCGGTGGCCCCCTCCCCCGTGGCCAGGACCATCATGGCCACGGTGCTCATGAGGTGGCGGCCCTCGATGGTCATGGCCTCGGTGACCAGGGACATCATGAGGCCGGTGGCCATGGGGCCCCCCGTGTCCAGGGCCTTCATGGGGACGATGTCCACCACTTCCACCCATGCTTCCGCCAGGGCCTTCGTGGGGGCGATGTCCACCACCGGCACCCATTCCTCCGCCAGGGCCTTCATGGGGACGATGGCCACTGCCACCACTGATGCCACCGCCAGGGCCTTCGTGGGGACGATGTCCTCCACCCCCACCCATGCTACCACCAGGGCCTTCATGGGGGCGATGCCCACTTCCCATGCCACCGCCAGGGCCTTCGTGGGGACGATGTCCACTGCTGTTGCCCATGCCCCCACCAGGGCCTTCGTGAGGACGATGCCCACCACCTCCAACCATGCCCCCACCAGGGCCCCCTCGTCCATTTGGGGGTCCTCCTCCAGAGCGACCTCCTCTGGCGCCTCGGAATGGAGGAGGAGGAGGAGGAGGTTCGTTTCCTCCTCGGCCACCTCGGCCTCTATGGTATGGTCCAGGACCTGGTCCTGGACCCCCCCGCATTGGGCCACCCCGCATAGGGTCGCCCGGGCCATCCCAGAAGGGATCACCTCCCCGGGGAGGGGGTGGAGGACCCAGAAGACGTGGACCCACTGGCCCACCAGGGCCTCCATGGGGACCTGTAAGGGGACAAAAAAGAGAGACAGTATCAGCTACCAGGAACTGCCATCTCCCAACCTAAACCACCACCTCCCACCTTCCAGTCAATCCTATACTATTATCAGACTGAAATTAAGCAGATAAGCCCATTCCAACCTTTTACTCACCACCTACCTGGCATAGGTCCCCCAGGTCCAGGGGGAAAGTGCTGCATGCCCTTGGGGCCCCCAGGACCCCCTGGTGGGAAACCATTGGCTATTGGGCCAGGGCCTAGGAGTCCATGTGGCACTGTTAATGAAAACAAGAGTAACACAGCATGAGCACTCTAGAAGACTAGCATGATCTCCCATTTAGGTGCAACCAACTGACCCTCTCAAACCAACCTGGCAGAGCAATGCTCTCTCTGTCCAGTCTTCCCCTCCCATTTCTTGCCTAGTGGCCACAGCCCTGTATTCTTCTGCATCTTTGAAACCCTGCTTCCCCCAACTCCACTGCAGGCTTCCTCCCCCAGTCCCCTGGGGCTGGCCCTGAAGATTACCCAGCATCTGCTTGATCTTGTCCGAATAGTCTGGTTGTTTCAGTAGTTCCTCTGAAGGATGACTGTTTGGGCTACCCTGTGAGGATGTAAGAAGGCAAAGTCAACAGACAGAAAGGGTAACAACCATGGCGAAAGATAGCGCCAAAGATTAGGGGTAAGTGGGTAGATGTGGAGAACTGGGGTAAGGCGAATGGGAGACAGTGAGGAGAGCGAGCTTAAGGAGGCTCCACAGAAGGTGGAAAAGGGGAAGGAGGGTGCGTACCATGATGGAGGTGAGGATCTCTTGGACATTAATGCCTCCTCCTCCAGGGCCTTGGGGGCCCTTTCCAGCACCCATGCTTCCCATAAGATTGGCCAGAACTGGAGGCAACTTGGAGCCTCCTGCCCCATCAGGTGAGCCACCTGACCCCCCAGGTTCCAGAGTCTCAACATACGGAGTCTCATCCATGGAACACTCCTGAAAGAAGAACAAAAAAAATCAGGACTGACAGAACAGAGACATTCTCATATGAAAGATGCACCGAATTCAATGACCATCACAACTTCCATCATCACAGAACATTGACTTACCTCATCTAGGGGGATGAGTTTAGGGGGTATGGGCTCGTAGGGCTCAGGATCAGGCTCATGAGGACTATCAGGAACAACACAGGTGAGAGAAAAAAGAATGATAGTCAAGTTATTAATTCAGACCCTGAAAGTAATTTCTAACCTCCACCCCGTAATTACCCCAGCTCATGTTCCCTCAGGAGTGTCCAAGCACTCAACATCCCAGGGCACGAACCCCACTCTGCTCACCTCTCCTTGTTCAGGAAGAGCTCCTGAAGGATTCCCTTCTCCCGCTCAGCCTGGATATATCGCTCCTGACTATTGCTTCCAGGGGTGACAAGAGGTGAGGGCAGAACCAGGGGCCGGGGGCACACCCAGGGCACCTTCTCCTCCATGTTATCATGGCTCAGACGCCGCGCTGTCTCAAATGCATGTCGGTCTGACAGTATCTCTCGCTTAGCCGCCTCACCAAAGTCCTTGATCTTATTCACATTTACTGTCGGCAGGGGAAGAAAAGCAAGAGGGAAAGTAAGCACAACCAAGTCCTTTCAAAATCCCTTAAACACACCTATTACGTAGGAAATGACCTCTTACCTCGTTCAGTTTCATCCAATTCAAAATAGAAATATTCTCTCAGTTTGCCTTCCTCAGGCCATGTCACACTTTTCCTCTTCCTGCCTTTCCGGGTCAGTTGGTTAGGATCTCCAGGACTCTCCACTGGCTTGGCATCCAGAGCTCCTGGCTCCAAAGAGGCTGGAAGCAGAAGAGGTTTCAGACCCAGATCCCTCCTTTCAGAAAACCCCCCAAACTGAACCAGTTTCTAGATTACCTGTATCCATGAGCTCCGGGACTTCAACAGGGGGAACCGGGGTGCCTGGACGGTCTGCGTCCATTGCCTCAGAAGGTGGTGCTGGTTCTGGGGAAGAAGGTTTGGCTGTGCTTGGTTCTGTGCTCGTTTTCCCTTCAAAGGGGCTTGGCTATTGTGAAAGAAAAGGAAGTTAATGAACTGACTGGAAAGCCAAGGGCAAGGCAATTAGTCCAGGGTCCCAGGCACAGTCCCCCAACAGTTCCTATATAAAGGAAGACTCTGTCTCCACAATGTCTCACCTGCACCAGTCTATATCCAAGGCAAAACGCCTCTTGTTGTCCTCCCCGACAACTCCTAGCTGCTGTGCCCTTTCTTCTACTTTACCTTTTATACTCTGTCACTGAAACCTACTTCTGGGAGCCCATACCTTGGCAGCCGTAGGTGACAGTACTTTTTTTTTCTTCTTAATTTTGATGCCTGGAACAGGGGCTGAATTAAGAGCATCCAGAAAGCCCAGGCCCTCCATAGCTACAAAAAGAAAGAGCACCAAATGGCATCATCAGACCTCCTTCATAATCCTACACCTGCAAACACAGTCCAGGCATAAAATGAGCCAGTGAAGACCCTGCCTCAACTTAGGACACGATAAGCTCAAGAGGACCAGGAAGCACATGCAGGAGGATTCACACAGGATATTCTTGTTGTTATTCTAGGTTTCTCATGGCAGGCAAGCCATAGCTTTGGATGTGAATTATAGCTCAGGTAGCTGACGAAGTGAGCCCTTGTGAACATGACAGATCACCTTACCAGGTGCCCCTGACCAGTCACAGAATGGCACACGTCCCTATCTTATCTCTAAAATTACTCCTAAGTGACCCCTGAAACGGGAGTTCCAGAGGTACAAAAAGTAAGGGATACCAAGAAATCAAAGGAAAATGGAGGGAAATAATAAAAGAGAAGGGAAAAAACTTCTCGTTCCCAGGGACATTCATTCCCATAAGAGTTTGCTCCTGGCCAGGTGCGGTGGCTCATGCCTGTAATCCCAGCACTTTGGGAAGCTGAGGTGGGTGGATCACGAGGTCAGGAAATCAAGACCATCCTGGCTAACATGGTGAAACCCCATCTCTACTAAAAATACAAAAAATTAGCCGGGCGTGGTGGCGGGCACCTGTAGTCCCAGCTACTCGGGAGGCTGAGGCAGGAGAATGGCGTGAACCCGGGAGGCGGAGCTTGCAGTGAGCCAAGACCGTGCCACTGCACTCCAGCCTGGGTGACAGAGTGAGACTCTGTCTCCAAAAAAAAAAAAAAAAAGTTTGCTCCTAATTCAAAGTACATCTTCCCCACTTTAGACTCACGCTGTGGCGGGATGATCTTCACTTTGATCTCTTTGGTGGCATTAGGTGTTGTGTTGAGTGGCTTGTATTTCTTCTCTGCAGGGGGAGTGGCATCTCCTGGAGCAGCTACGTTGCTGTCAGAAGAGGAACTGTCATCAACATCCCCGACTCACCCCCTCCTGCTCCCTTGTGTCCACAGATCCACCCCATTCAGAGCCTGAGAATATGGTCCATACCTCTGACGTTTGAGGGGGATGGGTTTAAGGTTGTACTTGTCAGAAACCACCACTGTGCTGGCATTCTTCTTCACAGGCACCAAGGATGGTGTCTCCAGCTCTAGTCCTGGGGAAAGAAGCACGGTGTGGGCAGCTGAACTCAAACCCCAGACCCCCGAATTTTCCTCCCGTTCTCACCCGCAAATGTTCTTCTAGCCTTGTAACCAAAGCTTCCTCTGCTAGTCTTCCCTCTTCCTTACGATTAACATACCACACATCAAATGATTCCCCCATAAGGCTCTGGGTGTGCACATGCCCATGAACCCTCCAGAGGCCAGCCGCCAGTCTTACCAGTGGAACGGAACTTGGCATGACTGGGTGCTGTGGTGCGAAGAGACTTGGGCTTCTCCCTCTTCTTCTCTGGGGCCTCCTCAGCCCGGGTCTCAGCCTTCACCTCTGTCAAAGGTCGCTCAGGAAGGGTAGTTCGACTTTTTCCTTCATCTTTACGTTTCTTCTTATCTTTCTCTGTTGTGAAAAAACAAAGCAGAAAAGGATTTTATTTAGATGAACACTGTCAGAGGTGAAGCAGACTGGGAGCACCTAAAGGCCACATCCCAATAGGAAAGAAATAAATACAAAGGATAAAGGACTAAGGAGCTTACCAGCAGGCTGGGTACTGCTCTGAGAGCGGATGACAGCCATCCAGTCGCTGACAAGGACTGAGGCCAATTTCCGGAGCTCTGCAGGTGACAGAAAGGGGAAATGCCTAAATAATGTAAAGTAACATTCTTCCAGGAACAGAAAATGGGAGGTTTGAGAAAATATTGTGAAAATTTATGTAACGGAGAAAGTAACCCAAAGTTTTAAGAAGAACATGAGATATGCTTAAAAACCAAACCCTTAAAAAATGGAACAATGAATTAGAGTTGTGTTCTACTTGGATAACTTTCAACTCTGATGTCATCACACCACTCTGGAGTAAAAAGACCTAATATTTCAGAATATGTGGTTAAAATCTACATTAGTAAAAGACTACACGTTGGGTGCAGTGTACACTGCTTGGGTGATGAGTGTACCAAAATCTCAGAAATCACCATTAAAGAACTTATACATGTAACCAAAATCCACCAGTTCCTCAAAAACTGACATTTTTTTAAAAAGCTACGTTAGTTGCTTTATGTATAACACACCTAATTGTTACAACAATCTGAAGACTTTTTATTTTCCTTTATAGATGTGAAAACAAGAATAAAATTTGTTTCTAAATATATGAAAAAATACTTTGTAACTCTTTCCTTTTGTACTTGGCAAATAACATCTCTGATCTATGGCACCTCTCTTCTGGCCAACATTTCCACTTATAAACTCATTTCATAATTTATCATTTAGTAATAGGAGTTTCACAGATGAGACACGCTAGGATGATACTATTTCCCACAGCAAATTTTAAGTGTATGTGTTTTATAACAAGCAATTTTAGGAATCAGCTTCCAGTTAAAGTATGGCACCTTATATTCAGCAACAGAGAAATGAACAACTTTGGAATTGAGAACAGGAAAGAGGGTACAGGTTAGAGGAACTTTCTCTTTAAAAGAAGGAAAAAAAGCAAGGTGAGGTAGAAAGAGAAAAGTGAAGGGACAATCCAAGGATGGGAAAAGATATTAAGGTAATTAAGTGGAAGTAATAGAGAAAAGCCCATGAGAGAGCAGGAGTGGCACCCTACCTTCATCCTCACTTGACTTGCTCAGCTGCTTCACCAGTTTAGCTGTGTTGTTCTATGAGAGATGGGAGCAGCAGAAAGGTAAATGCCAGGAGGCAAATAATTCCACTTAGAGCTAAAAACGACAAAAGTTACAGTCCTCCCTGCTTTTTTTTTTTTTTTTATTTTTTGAGACGGAGTCTCACTCTGTTGCCCAGGCTAGAGTGCAGTGGCGCAGTCTTGGCTCACTGCAGCCTCGACCTCCCAGGCTCAAATGATTCTCCCACCTGAGCCTCCTAAATAACTGAGACTACAGGCATGCACCACCACATCTGGGTAAATTTTTTGTATTTTTTGTAGAGACAGAGTTTTATCATTTTTGCCCACGCTGGTCTTGAACTACTGGGCTCAAGCAATCCACCCACCTCAGCATCCCAAAGTGTTGGGATTACAGGTGTGAGCCACCACACCTGGCTGACACATTCCTTTTTTTTTTTTTTTTTTGAGACGAAGTCTCACTCTGTCGCCCAGGCTGGAGTGCAGTGGTGCGATCTCGGCTCACAATAACCTCCACCTCCTGGGTTCAAGCGATTCTCCAGCCTCAGCCTCCTGATTAGCTGGGACTACAGGCGCATGCCACCATGCCTGGCTAATTTTTTGTATTTTTAGTGGAGACGGGGTTTCACCACGTCAGCCAGGATGGTCTCAGTCTCCTGACCTCATGATCCGCCCGCCTCAGCCTCTCAAAGTGCTGGGATCACAGGCGTGAGCCACCGTGCCCAGCCGCCACACACCTATTAAAGGAGATAAATTCAAACCAAGTCTTCTTCTTCTAAATTCCTATTTTTTTTCTGCTGTTCTACCTCACAGGCCCAAGATTACAGCCACATCAGTCAGTTTGAGTTTTTCATCCATTAGACTAAACCAAAAAAGGAAGAATCAGGGTTTAAAGACTAAAGGTACCTGCTTGAGATGGTCTACAGTGAGCGGTAGATGCTGCAGGGTCAGTAGAATTTGCTGGAGGAGGGGAATGTTGTTGGTTGTCTTTGAATACGTCAGCCAATTGTTAAGAAGTTTGTAGCCGCCAACGTCAATAAATCTGCAGGCAGGCAGGAGAGTCTATCAGTAATGCCCTTTCTAGGTTTTGACAGTACCACATCCTACAATCCCAGTCTCCCATCAATGACCCAGGAACCCCATGCCTCACCGCCCCATCTTTTCGCTACACCTTCCCATTCCAACCATCCAGATCCCCACTTACTTGACCAATATTTCTGGTGAACGGGTCTGCAGGAGAATGTTCAAGTAAGTGCATCGACTCACCATCTTTCGTGCTTCCTTCATCAAACTGCAGAAGATGAGTTAGGGTTAGAAATGAAGCAGCCAGTATCTCTTCTCTTAGCAAAAGCGCCTCTCTGTGAACTGCCTAGAGATTCCTAATGACTTGGGACTTTGCTCCAGAGAAGGGGAGTCACATATACCTCTAGGAAGATGGGATGGATCCAGTGTGACATGGAAACTTATGGGAGAACAGAGACACCGCAGTCTCTGACCTGGGGAGGAGAGCATCGCTGCCTCCGTAACACACAGGATGAATTCCATTCTGCCTCCAGGTGATAAGGCTATCCCTCAACAACTGTCCCTAATAGTCTGTTCAAGACTGGCTTAGTTATTTACTCTCCCCTGAAAAACCTGAGAATCCCTGAAGGAAAATAACATTATGGGTAGGTGGAACACGAACCAAAACAATCTAGAATTCTGTTACCAGGCTACCCTGCTCTCATTCCAAAGCATGACTCCCTTGGGACCGTGGACGTCCAAATCTCCAGTTTCCATTATGGTCAGAAACAAGTGATCATCTTTTCCTATCCCTTATCCTAAAATTGTTACATTTTAATCCTATTGCACTGACTATCTTTCCCTTTCCTTTCCAGGATCATTCCAGTGTGCCTCAACTGCAGCCATGTTTTAACACACAATATTCTCTACTCACAGTGAATACAAAAAGGGGTAAAGACTCACCTGAAGATCTTGGAAATCCCATCCACACTTTTGACTTCCCCATCTCGGTTAAGGAAGCTGTCCAGGCCCTTGAGAAGTTCTTTGGGGTCTATGGGACCCGAACCCATGATGGTGGTTTCTATGGTAAGAGGACAAAACAAACAAACCCACAGAATAAATGGGTGGCAAGGACTACCCGAGTAGGCCCTCTAATAAACCACATCTCTATATTTGACAAAGTATAATGACTAATTATTCAACTATGCTATTTTTTAGATATGAAAAATCGACACAGACCACTTGCCACTACTGAGAAAATAGCCCTGGCAAGTTAAGCATGGGGAGCATATGTGACTGAACAGGAAAGCAATTCGATTGGAGGAGTAGGGCAGCACACCTGTCCCTCCCTCCCAGCAGCATCCTTCCTAGGATGGCTGAACTTCACTAGATCGTATTAAAGCTAAGATCAGTTCCCATAACAAGATGTTCAACTCTCCAGGGCATTTACACCTATCGTTAAGTCCTGTCTTCCCTAGTTGCTGATAAATTTGGCTTGAAAAACAGCCTATAGCTTGATAGAAATTGGGCCAATCTTGGGTGTTTGAGCTAAATGTCTTATAAGACTTGAGTCCTTTTTATCTTAGCCCATTAAGAGTCATAATCACTACACATGGCAAGATATGTATCAGCTGAAGTGGTAGATGATGGAGAACAAAACAAAACTTGAAAACAGAATCCCTCCCTAAGGAGATCTGGGAGTAGGTGCCAGAGATTGAGACAAATGGATGCATGGAAATCAAGCAGGTCCTCCTAGACCTTGAATAGACTGTCACTCATTAGCCAAACACTACACAAGTTTTTACTGTCTCTAAGTTAAAAGGAAGCTAGTGGTTTGTGCTTTCAAAAGCAAAGATGCGAATCTGGTCCTCTCCTCAAAAATCACGCTGTACAAGATCCCCTAGGAAAGCCTAAAACTGAAAACCATGGAACCTAAAAAGGGAACAGATAAAGCCAAATGCTAGAAAAATTCCCTTTTAAGCAGCTGTTTTAGACCAGGTTGGGAAGGGAATTAGTTAAAAGCTAAGC
Source organism: Homo sapiens (assembly GCF_000001405.40). NCBI lineage: Eukaryota > Metazoa > Chordata > Mammalia > Primates > Hominidae > Homo > Homo sapiens. The sequence continues at coordinate 1,865,991 of NT_167248.2, forward strand.
TCCTTTTATGGAAGGGACAAGCCAGAACTGAAGTTCCAGAAAGGTAATTTAGGATCAATATGGTTCTGATTGGGATTTTTATCTACACTGCCTCTAAATACTTGCTTCTAAGACCCAAAAAAGAGGCTGGGTGCAGTGGCTCATGCCTGTAATCCCAGCACTTTGGGAGGCCAAGGTGGGCAGATTCCTTGAGCGCAGGAGTTTGAAACCAGCCTTGGCAACATGGCGAAACCTCATCTCTACAAAACATAAGTCGAGTGTGATGGTGTGCACCTGTAGTCCCAGCTACCCGGGAGGCTGACGTGGGAAAACGGGAGGACTGCTTGAGCCCAGGGATACTGAGGCTACAATGAGCTGTGATTGTGCCACTGCACTCCAGCCTGAGAGACAGAGTAAGACGCTGCCTCAAAAACAAACAAACAAAAAACCACCAAAAAAGAAAGCCACTTCAGCAATATCTGCCTTTGGGCAATAAGGCCCACACTGAGTAGCAAGGAAGAGGCAAGAACAAAACCTTCCTCATCCTACATCTAGCACAGAAGTAACAGACACAATCCCAGCAGAAGGGTAGAAAAATCAGTATTTTACAAAGATGAGTAGTTTTGTGCCGGAAAAAACACAGGTTTCTTGTAAGATAATGCAAATTAGTTCTACTTGTTCTCAAACAAAAGAAAAAACATAGCATAACAATCTCAGCCTTTTTGTCCTCCCAACAAAAACGTCAGTAAGTTTCCAAATGTGTAGGTCCTAACAACCTAGGCGAGCAGCAGCAGAAGCAGGGAGGAGGCAGCCAGGAAGGGTAGGAGTATAATCTTGGCTCTGGAGATCATAACCTGTGGGCTGAACAGAGGGAGAGATGAGGCAAGAAATGTTGAGAAGTCGCTGCTGCCCTGGAACCTCCACAAATACAAGTGGAACCTGAGGTCAGAGAAAAAACATTCAAGGAGAATACTGGAAAAGATTAGATGTCCGTGGGCCAAATCCACTCAAGTGTGGTGATTCCTACACACACAGAGACAGACACAGAAATAAAGGTATTCTTCCCATGTAGTGAGATACTATAAAGTGATCTATAGAAACTATAAAGAGATACGATAAAGGGACACATAAAACAGATATCACATCTGTTGGAGACTGGAAAAGCAATGTATGGGTTCCAATAACAACATATCATAAGCAATCAAGAGACTAAGAAATTTTTAAAACTCCCTCTCTCTATATATACACACATACCTACCATTAGATTCCTAAAGCAAAATATATGCAATTTGACAAAAGGCCTTGAATTAAACATCATTTCAAACCAGTTACCCTTGACTGATTCAAACCCAGAGTTGAATATATATAACCCTGGAGAATTCCTTTTTGCATATCCAACTACAAGCTAAGCCAATAAATAGACCTACTACCCCTATTTCCTTCAGACACTAAATAAACTGTCATCTGAGCTCAAGTGTTCCTTAAGAGGATGGGAGACAAGAAAGAAGAGCCAGTCTTAGAAAAATGGACCAATGAGTACAAAGCTAAATTCTGTCCAGTGCCCTCTGCTGGAAATGGGATCCAGGGACTTTTTTATTCCCACATGTATAAACAAGAATAAAAGACATTAATAGTCAAAGGGAAGCTAAGAGACAAAGCAAAATTAGCGTTAAATATTCATTTTCCACTACTTATATTTTGGAAATATAAGTGAAATTTTGTCTCATGAGCACCAATCTTGATAAAATGTAAGTGGGTTTTCTCATGATGGCCTTCCTTCAGGAAGATTAGTTCTTATTTAAAATTAAGGACCCCAAGTGTCTTATAACCTAGTTTCCTTGCTTTGAAGTCAGTATATTTTGGAAAAAAACCAAACAATTTCCAAGGCGCTCAAGTGGAAAGGAATGTAAAGTCCAACATTTCGGGCACAGGGCTACAGCAGAGAAGGCAAACTGAGTTGATGAAGGCAGGCAGGGGCCGTGACTAAGTGTTGTAACATTACCTACTCAAGATCTGGAGTCTAGAATGAAAGCTTAAGAAAGCTTTCTGGAACCACAAGTAATCCACGGCATGATTATGTCTTCTTTTAATGAGCTGCTATTTTCTTGACTGCAGAACATACAGAAGGTGGGGAGTGAGGTAGCAACCCCCTGGCCTACCTCCACCTCATCCTAAGCTATGCGTTCCTTATGGAGAATGTTTCAGGCAGAGCCATACTCTACTGGCACAAGGCATTGGGGAATTTTCTACCATTTTTACCAGAGATAAACGTCTGTGACACCAACTCCTGCCTTCAAAATGAATTTTACTTGAGGGTTATTCAATTAAATAGGGTGAAAAAATATCCAGCATAGCTAAAGTTATTCCACACCCATCACCAATGAAACAGGACTGAATTGGTTCAGGATAAAAATTCTGTGCAAGTCAGAGCTCTTTAAAAAATAACTGTCTTCTAACAAAAGGAGAAAAAAGTCCCAAATTTACCTTAATTTAGAGGCACTTCTGGAAATGAAAATGATTTGTACCTAACCCCTTATGTTCCCCTTCCTTTCTTCAGTGTTTTAGGCACTTCCTAGTTTGACACAATAGTGGACTGAATTATGTCTCTCAGGTGATTCATCACAAGGTCATAGCTTTCTTCCAAGTAGTAAGCCCCTACCCCTCAGTCATTTTGCAAACCTGATACATGAGCTCCTCAAAAGCTTATCTGCCTTCCAATAAAGATGCAAAATGATATACCACCCTGACTCATAGAAAAAGACCCCAGACTAGAACTCTGGCCACAAACTACAAGGATCAGGTTTTCCAAGATTTTCTGAATGGATGTGGTTCCCCTAGTAGACCTGGCTTCCCATCTCCCATGTTAAGGAAGATCTTCTTTATTAATCCCCTGGCTCACTAGAGATCAGGAACCCCAGTGGGTAGAATGTTCAGCTCCCAAGGAAGATATGCTGCAGAGGCACATGGCAAACTGCTTAAAAGAAAAAAACAAAACAAAACAAAAAAAGCTTGTAGTCAACAGACATGTGAAGAGTCCCTCCCATCCAATCCAGAAGCTTAAGTAATAATTTGAGAATCTGTACCCAGTAGGAAGTTAGCCCTAAGTCTCACCCAGGTCACCAGAGGGCAGTTATACTTTCCAATTCTGCCTAGAACCTCCACGCTTCAGTGCAGGACTTTTAAAAATTAAAATTATATGGAGAGTCTGATAAAGATTTGACTTTGAAAAATTTGGGGGAAGAAAGGAACCAGACACCCAATACCACCCTCAGATAGGGCATGGCTTCTGAACATGCACCAAATGCCACAGCACTGCATGAGTTGAAAAATGAAGAGGACATCATTTTTTCATTAATGCTTTTAGGAATTTCTTTTAGAAGGGAAGGAAAAAGAAATTCAAAAAAGGTGGCTCTTTGGGGAAAAAAAAAAAATGAAAGTTGTGAAATGTAATACCAGAAAGGTTTTGCTTACCAGAAACCGTAGCTTGATTCCCCCTGCCTTGAGTTTACAACTGCCGCCTCCTTTCCTAAAGATTCACTTCTTATCCTAGTACCAATGTACAGGAACTAATCAAGTGCAGAACGTGATACAGCACTGAATACAGTTTATCCCCAAACTGAGAGGTGGGAATGAGGGCGATTTAGAAGAAAGTCCTAAAAGTACCCACCTTCCCCCGATTCTCATTACACAAAGCGACCAAATGCAGGAGGCCCACTGGTTCCTAAGCAGAAATGGCACACTTCAGTGTCATTAGGCCCGTTTATCTCCAAGTTACTCTTGCAAGCCCTTGTGTCTTTCCCATCTCCCTCTACACACATATATACATACACACACGCTCACACACATCCTCAAAGCTTCCCAGTCTTAGGTTTGCCTGTTTTTTCACCCCTGGCAGCTGAAGTGGGGAAAAATTACAAGCAGTTGTGATGAGTGAAGGAAAGTGAAAATAAAAACTGGTTCTATAAAAACTAGAACTACACAGAGATGGACAGCCTTGATACTTAATTCCTATAAGCTCCTATCCCTTTAAGATATTTTATATAATGAAAATAAGGAAAATGTCTTCTCCCTAGCAGCAACGAGCACAGGCAGTGCAAAAGCATCTGCTCAGGGGTGGAGCTTCAAGAGGGTGGAGAGAGGAGGAAGAAAGCTGATTACATCACCTTTCAAGGCTGCTCCTCCCACTTGACCAAGTTTCTAGGGCGGCCCTAAGCTCAGGATGGCAAAAGGGGGAGAAAAACAACAAAGACGGAGGGACGCCATTTTGTAATGGAGAAAGAGGACTTAAACTAAAAAGCCACCCGGCTCTGCCGGTAGCTTCAGTTACATTATAAAACACCTTTTTAGTAAAAAAAAAAAAAAAAAAAATCAAAAACCAGTTCCCCATCGTGAATAATCTTTGACCTATTTTGATCAGTAAGAGCGTAGTGAAAATTAAAGCAATTAAAATATTAAAAAGAACAATTTTCTGCAGGGAAGAACTGAATTTGCAACGGAGGTTCAACCGGCTACCATCGACCACCCCCATCCTCCCTATAGAGGGAAAGGGGGAGGAAGGACTTGGACCCCTCTCAACAAATAGGGTTGAGGTGGGAGGACAGGAAAAAAAATGGGTCAAGACACAACCTGCAACGCCGCTTGGAAGACAAAAGGACAAGGAAAGTCGCCATATTGAAGCAGGGAAGAAAAAAATTCCTTTTAACGACACAAATCTTTTAGAAAGCTAGCATTCAATTGCACTAAATGGCTTTTAAAATTATACTCCTAAATTCCACATTTCCCAACCTTTCCACCCTCTATTTAACTGTACCTCCCCCACCAAAAAATATCAAGTTAAAATGTTAATCACTCTTTTGCTTTTAAATACCTATGCAATCTGCAACAATTATAAGACATTCTTTACCTCCCCAACTATTATCTTGTATGTACTGGCACTAAGATTATATTTTGTCCTAAGTGTCTTGCAATCTTTATTCCTAGATTGCCACCTATTTTAACCACACAAATATACCCCAAGCAAATTACATTAAAATTGAGAGGATTTAACAGTCATTTAAAAAGTTATAGCGAGCTATTACTTCTCTCTGCCCATCTCCTTACCCTGCAATCTTTATGTACAGATTGCTTATTAATCTGGCAAATTGAAAGGCACCCTGCTTGTCTCACACACAAAGAAGTGGTACTTCTGGGCCACAAGATCCACCATCTCTTGTATGTGAGCTCATTAACCCTTTTGAAGACTGCTGCTAACCAGAGGAAGGTAACCATTCCTCCTTATATAAACACATATGGCTTTGGCAGTCTGGAAATTGGCTGGATTACCAAGGGTTAACCATCAAAATCCTCACTTGCTGGCCCTCCCTCCACCCTCTCTTTGCCTGCAGCAAGGCAGGGAAGAGATAGGTGGTAGGGGAGAGAGAACAAGACTGTTTAGACCCACAGGCCCTTTTTAATGGAGATTAAGTGACCAGATTGGTCCTTCTCCAGTTCTCTATTTGTTCTATGGTCTCATTTCTTCCTCTCATTATTTTTGGTTTCACAACGGGAAACGTTGATTTCTTGTTGCAAGGCTGGTTTTTGAAAATTCGACACTTACTATCCAATTTTTTTGCGACGTCAGCACCTCGGGCTCAGGGGGGAGGGGGTAAAATTTTGGAGGAAAAAAAATAAAACAACCAACCAGGACCCAAAACTCAATTATTTAGGGGGCCTCATTGGATCAAAAAGTCTTTTAAAAAATAAAGGCCAACTCAGTATTCATTTCCCCCCCACCCAACTCCATTTAGGGAGGGGGGTCGCAGAAAAAAGTTCTGAGTGGATTCAAAAAAGTAAACGCTGGATGAGTGAATTTGGGTGGTTTGGGAAGGGAGGGTGGTTGATTATTTTTGAAGTTATGTAGTGACGGTCCTTCGGCCACAGATTTCAAGTCCCAAGCAGCGTGGGCTGGTGGGGTGGGCAAGATAGGTGGGAAGGGGCAGAAGACACAAGTGGTTGGGCTGGTGGCTGCTGTTTTCCCTTTCCCCCCTCTCTCAGGATCCTTTCAAGGGCTTAGATGTTGCTGCGGCTTGTTTCTGTTTTCCTCGTGGCCGGCCTGTCTTTCTCCGAGAAAATTCAAACCTGGGATAAAAGGAACACAAGGGAGAAAGATGTAATCAGTACGGGTTGCTTCAAAACACTCACAAATGCCATCTTTGTTGTCCCCAAACAAACCTGTGTCCCATCCTGATCGCAACCGCTTTAAGCCGTGGCTCTCAAATGAACCCATCCATCCCTATCCCGCTTCCCAGATCCAACGCTCTCCGCAAAATTTTACCCACTAGACGACAAAGTAGGCAAACTTACCTCTAAACGAACCCCAGAATGGCGGCCGCCCGCTCGGGTGGAGTCTTTTATACCCGGACGCCGCCCAACGCGCCCAAACGTGCTAGTGAAACGCCCTTGTCGCGAGACATTATACGCGAGGCGTGAACTCATTGGTCAACCCAAATGACAACTCGCCAACTGATTGGCTACTCTCACTTCACCTTTGCTCCGCCCCTTTCCCTGGCACTCTCTTCCGCCTCCTTCCTGCCTCCCTGTCGCGTGCGCGTGACCAGGAGCCTAGCACCTCCCTTTCCTCTGCTTCCGCCACTTCCGCCCTGGAGAACATTTCTCACCCAGGATTGGTAGAAACCTAAGAGCGCATGCGCACTGAGAGGATACCGCTAAAAATCGCCTTCAAAATTGCTTAAAAGGCAAACTTTAACAATGCGATCTAAGAGTCGTAGTGACTGGCCAAAAAAAACCGCAATTTTGGGGTCTAATTCGATTGTGACGCAGTTGAAATTAGCTTCTCCCCCATGCCTTCCCTTTCACGCTTCCGTCCTGACGCAAACGTGGGGCCGCCTTCCGCACTGCGGGCTTGTCCTTGGCCCTGCCCTACTCAGTTTCCTGAAGCATGCGCAGTTGCCTTTCCGTCAATTCCTGTCCTGGGCGTACGTCAAGATGGCGGCGTCTGTATTAAACACCGTGCTGAGGCGGCTTCCTATGCTATCTCTCTTCCGAGGTTCTCACAGAGTTCAGGTAACTCTTCGAAAGACATTTTGCACAACCTCAAGTTGGTTATACCTTCTCGAGGTTGTCGCTCCACTGTCAGGAATCCACGAGTGGAGACCTTCCCACGTGTGTCTTAGCTGTCTAGGCAGTACTTCCTGCAACCCCCCCCCCACACCCCGCGCATTTTCTAATCCCGAGCCGAGGACTAAACGCCAGGGTTAGGTATCATCCTTTTTCCAAAATGCCATTTCAGTAAAATAACTTAAGTGATGGAATTGACCCCTGTCCACCCTCAGTCATGCATAACCAGCTTTTTAAAAATTATTTAACTAATTAAGGGGCCATGCTAATCTCTGTATCGTTGCAATTTTAGCATAACATATGTACTCCCCAAGCGAGCGCCACAACCAGCTGTTAACTATGCAAGTGGTGACTAAATCTGTGTTGCTCTGGAATGTCCTTGGGGAAATTAGGGATCCCAATTTCTACCAACCTTGCTATTTCTCAATAAGGTCAGGATATATTCTTACGACCTGAGGACAGTTTCTCAGCTCTCTTTATTAAATCAGTTTCTTATCGGAGTTATGAGAGCTTAACTCCGTCCTTTGAATTGAGGTTTCCCTCCAGTCTTGTGTACTCACCTCTCTGGAGGTTCTTGGTGGGGCACGGTGAGATAGGAAGGCTTGCCCAGCTGCCACTCCCTAAAGTGGGACTGAAGAGTGGTGACAGAGGTCAACACAGAAATAATAACAGCCTTGGTAGCTTTAAAACTAGCGTTAGGACTCAAGTTTGTTCTGCCCTGTAGAATGTTGACCTTCAGCTTTTATGAAAATGGGCAACTCAGTGACTTCATTGGATTGATTTGGAGACTCACCTGTCTTCTGCATCCCCTCCCCACCACACATCTTAGTTCCAAGAACCTAGATATCCTTCCTCTTACTTTATTCTTCCACCAGAGTCAATTTATTTCCAAAAAGCAAGAATACCTTTTATGTACTAGATTTTTTTTTCTTTTTTCTTTACACGAAATCTCACTCTGTTGCCAGGTTGGAGTGTAGTGGCGCAATCTTGGCTCACTGCAACCTCCGCCTCCCGGGTTCAAGTGATTCTCTTGCCTCAGCCTCCCGAGTAGCTGGGACTACAGGCGCATGCCACCACGCCGAACTAATTTTTGTATTTTTAGTAGAGATAAGGTTTCACCATGTTGGCCAGGATGGTCTCGATGTCTTGACCTCATGATCCGCCTGCCTGGGCCTCCCAAAGTGCTGGGATTACAGACGTGAGCCACTGCGCCCGGCCTTGTACTAGACTTTTTATTTGTCTTCTGAAATAAGATTGTTTTTTAGGCATATATCCCCTAACTTAGCTTTTCTTTCAGGATCCAATTGTAGAAAAGGAGAGTGGTTGTTGATTTATGTCAATTTAAACCCAACAAAAATACTTAACTTACATATGCATTCCTGTTATATTCCATTAATGCAGTATGTGTGCATTCCTCCTTTCCAAAGTGTGATAAGCAAAACAATTTAGTCCTTTCCTTAAACTCATTCTTTTATTTTTTTCTTCTCCTTTGTAGGTTCCCCTCCAGACTCTTTGCACCAAAGCTCCCTCTGAGGAAGATTCTTTGTCCTCAGTTCCCATTTCTCCTTATAAGGATGAGCCCTGGAAATATCTGGAATCAGAAGGTACCTCTAAAGGGGGAAAGGGAGGGTCAGATAGGATTTGAGATAAGTGGACAGAGCCACCCACTACACTCCCACCCAGGAATAACTTGTATGATCTTTCATTTCAGAATACCAGGAGCGATATGGTTCTCGCCCCGTCTGGGCTGACTACCGCCGCAACCACAAGGGTGGTGTACCCCCACAGCGGACTCGGAAGACATGTATTGTGAGTTTCTGAGAGTGGGATGTGGAGTGCGGGGAGGCCACAAGTAACAGTAACAGCAGCACTTTTTCTGACGTGTTTGAACATCCTTAACTGCTGTTTTTTTTCTCTCTACAGCGTCGGAATAAAGTTGTTGGGAATCCCTGCCCCATCTGTCGAGATCACAAGTTGCATGTTGACTTTAGGGTAAGGAGAGTCTTTTCTTTTTAGGGTAAGAAAAATAAAGATTAGGGGCTGGGCGCGGTGGCTCACGCCTGTAATCCCAGCACTTTGGGAGGCCAAGGCAGGTGGATCATGAGGTCAGGAGATCAAGACCATCCTGGCTAACACGGTGAAACCCCGTCTCTACTAAAAATACAAAAAATTAGCCGGTTGTGGTGGCGGGCGCCTGTAGTCCCAGCTACTCAGGAGGCTGAGGCAGGAGAATGGCGTGAACCCGGGAGGCAGAGCTTGCGGTGAGCTGAGATCGCATCACCGCACTCTAGCCTGGGCGACAGAGTGAGACTCCGTCTCAAAAAAAAAATAAAATAAAATAAAAAAAATTAAAAAGAAAAATAAAGATTAGGAGCCCCTTTGCAGTGCCAAAGAGATTACTGTAGGTGCCCCACACTTCGTATATCCAGGAGGCCCTACAGTCCGTTTTATAGTAACTGTTTCTGGCATTATAAAAACATCCCTCCAGCCTTTTACCTTCTACTATGGATTGTACTGAAAGTTTTATCCTATGCCTATGAAATTTACAGTCTAAATTGGCAGGTAAGAGAAATGGCTGTTTTTTTTTTTTGAGACGGAGTCTTACTCTGTTGCCAAGGCTGGAGTGCAGTGGCGTGATCTCAGCTCACTGCAACCTCCGCCTTCTGGGTTCAAGCGATTCTCCCGCCTCAGCCTCCCAAGTAGCTGTAACTACAGGCTTGTGCCACCAAGCCCAGCTATTTTTTGTATTTTTAGTAGAGACAGAGTTTCACCATATTGGCCAGGCTGGTCTCAAACTCCTGACCTTGTGACCCACCCGCCTCGGCCTCCCAAAATGCTGGGATTACAGGTGTGAGCCACCACACCCAGCCAGCGAAATGGCTATTTCTAGTGGGAGAGCCAATATCCAAAGATTCGTTTGTATTCATTACAGTTATTACCAAATATATTGGCCCACTTTCTTCCTGAGGTTTTCTTTATTTCCTTGTCAATGTTCAGTGCCATGCTGGCACCTGGGGCTGGAGGGCAGGTATATGAAGCAAGATAGAGTCCATTATTTTTCAAAAAGCCTTCAATATGTGAGAAGGACAGGATTTGCTCCTTAAAGAATTTGAAAACATATTGGCTGGGTGCGGCGGCCCATGCCTGTAATGCTAGCACTTTGGGAGGCCCAGGCAGGTGCTTCACCTGAGGTCAGGAGTTTGAGACCAGCCTGGCCAACGTGGTGAAACCCTGTCTCTACTAAAAATACAAAAATTAGCCAGGCATGGTGGCAGGCGCCTATAATCCCAGCTACTTGGGAGGCTGAGGCAGGAGAATTGCTTGAACCCGGGAGGCGGAGGTTGCAGTGAGCTGAGATTGCACCACTGCACTCCAGCCTGGGCGAAAGAGTGAAACTCCTCAAAGAAAAACAAAACAAAAAGAATTTGAAAACATTATATCAATAAAACAGATAATGGGAAAGTGTTCTTCTGAGCTTGCAGCAAAAGTATTAGAGCAGAAGCTATATGGCTGATCATCAGGGAAGTAGTAGAGCATTTGGATAACAGTCAGAAAATGGGGGTATTTGACTGCAATAAGAACCCTTCTAACACAGGTTATTTAGGAGTCCCATAGATAATTTCCCAGTTTCAATTGCATATAATTGGTTATAAAAAGAGATTATGGCCAGGTGCGGTGGCTCATGCTTGTAATCCCAGCACTTTGGGAGGCCAAGGTGAGTGGATCACTTGAGGTCAGGAGTTTGAGACCAGCCTGGCCAACAAGGTGAAACGCCGTCTCTACTAAAAATACAAAAAAAATTAGCTGGGTGTGATGGCGGGCGCCTGTAGTCCCAGCTTCTCAGGAGGCTGAGGCAGGAGAATCACTGGAACCTGGGAGATGGAGGTTACAGTGAACCAAGATTGCACCACTGCACTCCAGCCTGAGCAGCAGAGCGAGACTCCGTCTCAAAAACAAAACAAAACAGAGATTATAATTAATTACATAACTGAGAGAGAGAAATGTTACAAATTTAGTAGCATGGGTGATTCTGCTTGCATTCTACTCTACAATGTACCTGCTTTTTTTTCAAGAGTCTCATTTCCTAGTTAATTTGCTGAGAGAGAGTTCTATGTAAATTGTAAAATTATTCTTAGTATATAAATTATATTCAGCATACTATTAAATACATTAGTTGTTTATACATACACATTACAATATCATTTTTTGGGTGATTTCTGGGATTTCCAATGACCAGCCCCAGTTTTTCACCTAAAGGCTGACGTTAGAACTTAACCTCTGCAGCCCAGGCGCGGTGGCTCATGCCTGTAATCCCAGCACTTTCTGAGGCCAAGGTGGGTGTATCACTAGGTCAGGAGTTCAAGGCCAGCTTGGCCAAGATGGTGAAACCGCATCTCTACTAAAGATACAAAATAATTAGCCAGGTGTGGTGGCAGGCGCCTGTAACCCCAGCTACTCGGGAGGCTAAGGCAGAGAATTGCTTGAACCTGGGAGGCGGAGGTTGTGGTGAGCTGAGATCGCGCCACTGCACTCCAGCCTGGGCAACACAGGGAGACTCTGTCTCAAAAAAAAAAAAAAAAAAAAAAAAAAGAACTTAACCTCTGCATAAGAGATTTCTATGGGAGCACAGTGACAGAATATGGGATGTGCAAGGATGGATTCAGTGAATTGATGAAGCCAAACTGGGACATGAAGGAGGATGGCATCTGGAGAGCTGTAGAGGGGTGAAGGTGGTCCATGTGGGTGTGTAGGGATTGTGTACTTTCGATGTCCAAAGATCCTGCTGCTCTCCCTGCCTCTTTTCCTCACGTTTCTCTACCACTTTCCCCCACAGAACGTGAAGCTCTTGGAGCAATTTGTCTGCGCCCACACGGGTATCATCTTCTATGCTCCATACACAGGTTAGCCCATCATCCCTGCACCACCAGAGAGCTTTTCCTTGTGGCATGCCTTGTTTATGTAGTTGGCCAATAGGTATTTCTTCAGTGGCTCCTGCTTATAGCCTAAAAGGTCTGGCTGAACCTTTTGGAAATCTTGGCTTGCTGGGGGCTAAAGTAATTAAATGTGGACAAAAGAAAACAACAAATACAGCCAGGCGTGGTGGCTCATGCCTGTAATCCCAGCACTTTGGGAGGCCGAGGCGGCTGGATCACCTGAGGTTGGGAGTTCGAGACCAGCCTGACCAACATGGAGAAACCCTGTGGTGATGCATGCCTGTAATCCCAGCTACTCAGGAGGCAGAGGCAGGAGAGTCGCTTGAACCCAGGAGGCACAGGTTGTGGTGAGCCAACATTGCGCCATTGCACTCCAGCCTGGGCATCAAGTGAAGCTCCATCTCAAAAAAAAAAAAGGAAAAAGAAAAAAACAAGTACTTCTGTAAGCAAACTATCTAAATGTAGTTTTTAATTGATAAACAGTGATTAATTCCTTTCTATAGGGTCTTTTAACTTTTACAAAAGACTTCTCACAAATTGTCACATAAGTTATTTTATATCATTGTCAATTGGATTAGATTTTCCAAACTTGGAATCGTAAATTTAACAATTCAGAATTATATTTATTCCCTAACTACAGTCACAGGGCAAATCTGGCCCACTGTCACGTCCATTTGTTTTCATATTTTCTGCAATTGCTTCCATGCTACAATGGCAGAGTTGAGTAGCTGAGACAGAGACCACAGGACCTGCAGAGTTTAAAATATTTACTATATGACTCTAGACAGAAAAATTTTGCTAACCCCTGCTCTGAAGCAAGACAAATTTGCAGAGAATAATTTTTTGTTGTTTTTTTTTTTTGAGACGAAGTTTCACTCTTGTTGCCCAGGCTGGAGTGCAATGGTGCAATCTTGCCTCACCACAACCTCTGCCTCCCAAGTTCAAGTGATTCTCCTGCCTCAGCCCCCTGAGTAGCTGGGATTGCAGGCACATGCCACCATGTCCGGCAAATAGAGATGGGGTTTCTCCATGTTGGTCAGGCTGGTCTCGAACTCCGGATCTCAGGTGATCCAGCTGCCTTGGCCTTCCAAAGTGCTGGGATGACAGGCATGAGCCACCGTGCCCGGCAGAGACTAATCTTTGTTTTTGTTTTTTTTGGGGGGGTGTGGGTGGGGGGATGAAATCTCATTTACTCTGTCACCCAAGGCTGGAGTGCAGTGGCATGATCTTGGCTCACTGCCGTCTCCACCTCCTGGGTTCAAGCAGTTCTCCTGCCTCAGCCTCCCAAGTAGCTGGGATTACAGGCACGTGCCACTGTGCCTGGCTAATTTTTTTTGTATTTTTAGTAGAGACAGGGTTTCACCATTTTGGCCAGTCTGGTCTTGAACTCCTGACCTCAAGTGATCCTCCCACCTAAGCCTCCCAAAATGCTGGGATTATAGGCATGAGCCACCGTGCCTGGCCTTGCAGAGAATAATCTGAATTCACCATTGTTGGGGGTGGCAGTACAATCAGTGTTCAGTTTGTCAAGAGTTTCTTATAGTCAAGCTGTAAAGGCTGAAGGGACTATTATTGTTACTCTCTCAGATTGCCTTCCCCAACTCTGAAATCTCTTTTCCCTTTATTGAATCTTTGTGGATTGTTCAACTCAACCCTCTAATTAACCACACTTGCCCATTAAATTGTGTTCTCCCTGTCTTGGAGGTTTTACCATTAAATGGCTTCTCTATAGTGGCTAGACCCTCCTAAATCTTTATCCCAGCTCTCCAAAAGATGGGGGAGATTCTTTCCTTTGGGCAGATGGGGAAACTGAGGTCCATGGAGGGGTCAGGGGAAAGGGGTCATTAGGTAAAGCCAATCCTTCCCAATCTACCCCTCTGTCACCATATGGAAGCAGTTGTGTTCTATTATTTACTGTGCCTTAAAGAACAAGATATTTTTCTCCCCACAGGAGTCTGTGTGAAGCAGCACAAGCGGTTGACCCAGGCCATCCAGAAAGCCAGGGATCATGGTGAGCATGAGACGGGGCACACAGCAGTTTTGTTTAGGTATAAGGAAGATGACTTAGGGCTAGAAAATGGATATAAATGCTCACACCTGTTCAAGATGGTAGCACCCAGCATGTTCTTCCTGACGTTACATTGTCCCCTGTCCTTTCTCCTGAGTGTCTTACTTTATCATTGTCCTGTCTCCTTGTTCTTTGTCTTTCCATCCTTTTCCCTCCTATTTTACAACTGCTGGTCTCAATGCCTTAGGAAGTTCTTTATATAAATGTCTGGCCCTGGACTACATGGCACTGCTGCATAAGTTAGTAAAAAGTATACCCCTCTGCTAGGGCAGATGCAGCTTCATAGTCCTTGTTCAGCACTGCACAGCTTTGTAAGCAAGAGCCCCAGCAGTATGTCAGCCCACACTTGCCCTCTGGGCCGGTCACCTGTTTGCAGTATACAACATGCATAAATGTACCTGGTGGCTCTGACTGGTCCTTCCCTTTATAATCCTTTTTCTTACTTCATCTAAACCACCCTCCTCATTGCCTCTTAAATTTCTTTTCTTTTTTAATCCCTTAGGTCTCCTCATTTACCACATCCCCCAGGTTGAACCACGGGACCTTGACTTCAGTACCTCTCATGGGGCTGTGAGTGCTACTCCGCCAGCCCCCACCCTGGTCTCAGGTGACCCCTGGTACCCATGGTACAACTGGAAACAGCCACCGGAGAGAGAACTGTCTCGCCTTCGCCGGCTTTACCAGGGTCATCTCCAAGAAGAGAGTGGCCCCCCACCTGAGTCAATGCCCAAGATGCCCCCTAGAACACCAGCGGAAGCCTCCTCCACTGGGCAGACAGGCCCTCAGAGTGCTCTGTAGGAGCTGTAGACTGGGAAGAGAGGCCAGGCGTGGTGGCTCACTCCTGTAATCCCAGCACTTTGGGAAGCCAAGGTGGGCTGATCACTTGATCCCAGGAGTTTGAGACCAGCCTGGGCACCATGGTGAAACCTCGTCTTTACCAAAAAATACAAAAATTAGCTGGGTGTGGTGGTGCACACCTGTAGTCTCAACTATTGGGGAGGCTAAGGTAGGATCACTTGATCCCAGGAGGCGGAGGTTGCAGTGAGTTGCAGTCACACCCCTGCACTCCAGCCTGGGTGACAGCTAGACCCTGTCTCAAAAAAAAAAAAAAAGACTGGGAAGAGAGCTAGAGGGACTAGGAGATAATGTGTATGTAGGTTTATGTGATGGGATATCACCCTGAAGAGTTGTGTCTTTTGTGGCCAGTGACAAATCCAGGAAATGAATGTTGCTGATAGGGATAAATCTTGAGGCTGAGGGCGGGTGGTACAGATGTGTATGGGAAACCCCAACCCCTATATATTGTAAATAGATGGGCTGGGCTAAACATTGTTGCCGTTTCATACTTCTACCAACTCAGCTTTTACACAATAAAGCTCTACTGTCTCTGGTTTGCTTTGGGCTGTTTCCGATGAATGCCATTAGCGGGGGGTGGGCTGAGTGATGGTCTTTTCATATAAGCAATTGGGTGATGCTGTGGGGAGATAAGTGGTCAGGCTTAAGCCAGCCTTGCCTGTGACGCCTGGGACTAGAAGCCGGGGATGGGCAGCTGTGCCACTCTGTCAAGATGCCTTGTGGGCCCCCACTCCACAGCATGGCCCACTGTTCACTGAGGGGATAAAAGGTTGGACAGTGAGACACTGGGCCAAGGAAGACTACGTTGCCATGGCACTCACTGCCGTGGGATGCAGGGATGGAAAGGAGTGGCACTGCTAGGGGCACAGCTGGTTTGGCAAGAAAAACGGGGGCCCTGTCAGTTGCCAGGACGCTAGGGGGCAAGGTCTACAGGCGGGGCTCCTGGAAATAAAGACTCCGAGAGGCGGTGCGGCGAGAGGAGGGGCGGAAGTGACGTCGTGTGGGGCGGGTCCGACCGCGCACAATGGGCCATGGAGTTCCCGTTCGATGTGGACGCGCTGTTCCCGGAGCGGATCACGGTGCTGGACCAGCACCTGAGGCCCCCAGCCCGCCGACCCGGAACCACAACGCCGGCCCGGTGACAGCTCAAACCCACCCTCTGGCCCTTTTCTCCCGGTTCCTCTCCAAACCTGGTCCAGGCACCACGCCCCCTTCTCACTGACTAGTGATCGCCCCTTTTGATGTCCAGGCCTGCCTTTTTGGTGACCTCTGACCCTGGGCCTAGTGGGATTGATCAGCGCTTGGATCTGTGACCTTTCACCCCGGGCCCAAAATGTCCCAATCAAAGGATGTGGTTGACCTGGCCTTTCTGCTTCCTCACAATAACCTTAAGGGAGGAGGGAGTGTGCCACCTTGAAAGGTGTGACAGAAGTTTGGGTTTCAGAAGGGTGGGGTGGGAAATCAGATTGGAAGACTCCCAGGCAAAGGCAGGGAGCCTTCAGTGTTAAACCTGGGTTGGAGTTGTGGCCCAGGTTCCCAGGACTGACTGCCTAGGACCCGCTAATTTAGTGAGTATCTGACTCTTTATTTCTTCTCTTTCTCTAGTGTTGATCTACAGCAGCAAATTATGACCATTATAGATGAACTGGGCAAGGCTTCTGCCAAGGTACTGGAGAGTTTTTAGATGGAGTAAAGGGAGGACCTCTGTGGGGATGGTATATAAGGGAGGCCTGGGTCCTTCGGAGAGACTTGCAGAAAGTCTGACTTAATCTTCCCTGCAGGCCCAGAATCTTTCCGCTCCTATCACTAGTGCATCAAGGATGCAGAGTAACCGCCATGTTGTTTATATTCTCAAAGACAGTTCAGCCCGACCGTGAGTGCCACATGCTCTTCCATCCCATACTTAATTCCTTCCTTCCTCAGCCCTTCCCCCATCTTTGACTATCTCTTGCAGATAGATACCACTAGCCTGTTCATTATTTTCCCCGTCCTACAGGGCTGGAAAAGGAGCCATTATTGGTTTCATCAAAGTTGGATACAAGAAGCTCTTTGTACTGGTGAGTGTTATTGGATGCTAGGAGTTCGTATACCTTGGTTTCTGAGAACAAAAGTGCTGGAGGTTAGGGGGCAGCAGAGATGCCGGGGTTCCTAAAACATTTTTATTGTTTCTCTCTTAGGATGATCGTGAGGCTCATAATGAGGTAGAACCACTTTGCATCCTGGACTTTTACATCCATGAGTCTGTGCAACGCCATGGCCATGGGCGAGAACTCTTCCAGTATATGTTGCAGGTATCACTGACCTCTTCACTGGTTCATCCAAACTAGGGGCTCCTTTGCCCTGAGCCCTTCCAGAAGCCCTGCCTCCCACCCCCCATGTTCCCATGTCATTCTATTCCCTTCCCAGGCTTCTGGCTTCCTGTTGGCATGCTTTCCCCATACTTCCTCCTACCCTGAGTCTCCTTTTCCCTGCAGAAGGAGCGAGTGGAACCGCACCAACTGGCAATTGACCGACCCTCACAGAAGCTGCTGAAATTCCTGAATAAGCACTACAATCTGGAGACCACAGTCCCACAGGTTAGAGGTTTCAGAGAATAGATCCCCACTGAGCATTCCCATTGAATTTATTTGTTATTTATGGCAAAGAAGTAGTGACTTATTTCCTATCACATAGGTTTCATTTTCTACAACCAGGCTCTTTCTTTCTCTTGTGGTACCATCTCTCATCCTGTAGTGACTTCTTTCTCATCTATTTTGATTTTTTTTTTTGAGATGGAGTCTCGCCATGCTGCCCAGGCTGGAGTACAGTGGCGCAATCTCAGCTCACTGCAACCTCCACTTCCTGGTTTCAAGCGATTCTCCTGCTTCAGCCTCCTGAGTAGCTGGGACTACAGGCACCCACCACCACACCCAGCTAATTTTTATATCTTTAGTGGAGACGGAGTTACACCATACTGGCCAGGCTGGTCTCAAACTCCTGACCTTGTGATCTGCCCGCCTTGGCCTCCCAAAATGCTGGGATTACAGGTGTGAGCCACCGCATCTGACTTTTTTTTTTTTTTTTTCAAAGCAGAGTCTCCTGCTGTTGCCCAAGCTGGAGTGCTATGGCAGGATCTTGGCTCACTGCAGCCCAACCTTCTGGGCTCAAGCGATACTCCTCCCTTAGCCTCCTGAGTAGCTGAGACTACAGGCATGCACCACCATGCCTGGCTAATTTTTTATTTTTTGTAGAGATGAGGTCTCACTATGTTGCACTGGGTGGTCTTGAACTCCTGGCTCAAGAGATCCACCTGCCTCAGCCTCCCAAAGTGCTGGGATTATAGGCGTGAGCCACTGTACCCAGACTTATTTTGATTCTTTACCACAAGTTGTTTCCTACACCTAATTTTTCTTTTTTTTTTTTTTTGTGAGATGTAGCCTTGCTCCATCGTCCAGGCTGGATTGCAGTGGCACGATCACAGCTCACTGCAACCTCTGCCTCCGGGGTTCAAGTGATTCTTGTGCCTCAGCCTCCTGAGTAGTAGGGATTACAGGCATGCACCATCATGCCCAGCTAATTTTTGTATTTTTAGTAGAGATGGAGTTTCACCATGTTGGACAGACTGGTCCTGAACTCATGGCCTCAAGTGATGTGCCCACCTCAGCCTCCCAAAAGTGCTGGGATTACAGGTGTGAGCCACCGCACACAACCCTTATGCCTAATTTTTTTTTGAGACAGAGTCGCTCTGTCACCCAGGCTGGAGTGCAGTGGCACGATCTCAGCTCACTGCAAGCTCCGCCTCCCAGGTTCACGGCATTCTCCTGCCTCAGCCTCCCGAGTAGCTGGGACTACAGGTGCCCACCACCATACCCAGCTAATTTTTTGTATTTTTAGTAGAGATGGGGTTTCACCGTGTTAGCCAGGATGGTCTAGATCTCCTGACCTTGTGATCTGCCCGCCTCGGCCTCCCAAAGTGCTGGGATTACAGGCGTGAGCCACCGTGCCCGACCCCTTATGACTAATTTTCAACCCAAACATAGCCAGCTCATTTTCACCTCCTTGTTTTCACATAGTTCATTACTCATCTGGTCAGTCAGTATTTATTAAGGGTCCAGAATAATATGCATTCCCTGTCCTCATGGAGCTTTGGCCTAATATAGGGAAGGAAGTCTTGTTTATAACTAAGTGCAGCAAAATGTTACTAATGCTACCCATTCATCCAATAAACATTGAGTGCCTGGCAGTGTTCTGGGCACTAGGAATGGTTTACTCAATGAAACAGACAACAGCCTGGGCAACATAGCGAAACTCTGTCTCTACAAAAAATACAAAAAAAAATTAGCCAGGCGTGGTGGCACGAGCCTGTAGTCCCAGCTACTTGGGAGGCTGAAATGGGAGAATCGCTTGAGCCTGGGAGGCAGAGGTTGCAGTGAGCCAAGATCGCGCCACTGCATTATAGCCTGGGCAACAGAGAGAGACCCTGTCTCCAAAAATGAAAACAAAAACAGAAAAAAAGGCCAGGTGCGGTGCGGTGGCCCATGCCCGTAATCCCAGCACTTTGGGAGGCTGACGTGGGCGAATCACTTGAGGTCAGGAGTTTGAGACCAGCCTGGTCAACATGGTAAAACCCCGTCTCTATTAAAAATACAAAAATTAGCGGGGCATGATGGTGGGTACCTGTAATCCCAGCTACCCAGGAGGCTGAGGCAGGAGAATCACTTGAACCCGGGAGGCAGAGGTTGCAGTGAACCAAGATTGCACCACTGCACTCCAGCCTGAGCGACAGAGTGAGGACTCCATCTCAAAAAAGAAAAAGAAAAAGGGCCAGGCATGGTGGCTCATGCCTGTAATCCCCACACTTTGGGAGGCCAAGGCAGGAGGATCACCTGATATCAGGAGTTCGAGATCAGCATGTGGAACATAGTGAAACCCTGTCTCTACTAAAAATATAAAAATTAACTGGGCATGATGGCGTGCGCCTGTAATCCCAGCTACTCAGGAGGCTGAGGCAGGAGAATTGCTTGAACCCCGGAGGCAGAGGTTACAGTGAGCCGAGGTCCTGCTACAGCACTCCACCCTGGGGGACGAAGCGAGACTCTTGTCTCGGAACAAAAAAAAAAAACAGAAAAAGAAGGGAACAGACAAAAGTCCCTGTCTTAGTGGTGGAGCTTATATTCTAGCTGGAGAGACAAACAAACATAATAAACAATATGGTTAATAAGTGCTCTGGAAAAATGAGAGCAAGTAAGGGTTTGGGAGTACTCAAGTAAGGTGGGGATGGGAGTATGTGGGATTGCAGGTTGAAAGGGGATCATCACTGAGAAAGTGTCATTTGAGCAATAACTGAAAGGAAGTAAGAGTAAAAACTGGCCGGGCACGGTGGCTCATGCCTGTAATCCCAGCACTTTGGGAGGCCGAGGCGCGCGGATCACGAGGTCAGGAGATCTAGACCATCCTGGCTAACATGGTGAAACCCTGTCTCCACTAAAAAAAATACAAAAAAATTAGCTGGGTGCCTGTAGTCCCAGCTACTCGGGAGGCTGAGGCAGGAGAATGGCGTGAACCCGGGAGGCAGAGCTTGCAGTGAGCCGAGATCGCGCCACTGCACTCCAGCCTGGGTGACAGAGCGAGACTCCATCTCAAAAAAAAAGAATAAAAACCAAGGCTGGGCGTGGTGACTTACATCTGCAATCCTAGTACTTAGGGAGGCCGAGGTGGGTGGATCACTTGAGCCCAGGAGTTCGAGACTAGCCTAGGCAACATGGTGAAACCCCATCTCTACAAAAAACACAAAAATTAGCCAGGTGTAGTGGCACGCACCTGTGGTCCCAGCTACTTGGGGGTCTGAGGCAGGAGGATTGCTTAAGCCCAGGAGGTCGAAGCTGCAGTGAGCCGAGATGGTACCACTGCACTGCAGCCTGGGTAACAACGTGAGACTGTCTCAAAACAAACAAACAAAAAAAAAGAGTAAGAGCCAAGAAATATCTGGAGAGAGAGCATCCCAGACAGAAGGTACCACCAGTGTATGGCCGTGAGGTGGGAGTGTGCCTGAAAGAGCAAATTGGCTGTGTCCAGAGCAGCATGAGTCAGCAGAGGAGTATGGTAGGAGATGAGACCAGAGAGGTAATGCGGAGGAGGGGCCTTATAGGCTACTGCAAAGACTGGCTTTTATTTTAAGTAAAAAATAAGATCAGGCCAGGGGTGGCGACTCACACCTGTAATCCCAGCACTTTGGGAGGCCGAGGTAGGTGGATCACCTGAGGTCTCTACTGAAAATACCAAAATTAGCTGGGTGTGATGGCAGGTGCCTGTAATCCCAGCTGTTTGGGAGTCTGAGGCAGGAGAATCACTAGAACCGGGAGGCGGAGGTTGCAGTGAGCCGCTGAAATTGTACCACTGCACTCCTGCCTGGGCGACAGAGCAAGACTCCTTCTTAAAAAAAAAAAAAAAAAAAAAATAGCGCCAGGTGTGGTATCTCATTCCTGTAATCCCAGCATTTTGGGAGGCCCAGGCAGGTGGATCACAAGGTCAGGAGTTCGAGACCAGCCTGGCCATATGGTGAAACCCCATCTCTACTAAAAATACAAAAATTAGCCGGGTGTGGTGGCGGGCACCTGTAGCCCCAGCTACTTGGGAGGCTGAGATAGAAGAATCGCTTGAACCTGGGAGGCAGAGGTTGCAGTGAGCTGAGATCGCACTACTGCACTCCAGCCTGGATAACAGAACGAGACTCCATCAAAGAAAAAAGAAAAAGATCATTTTGGCTGTGATCTTGATTTTTTCCTTTTTAACAAGATCACTTTGGCTGTTAAGAACAGGCAATAGCCGGGCACAGTGGCTCACACCTGTAATCCTAGCACTTTGGGAGGCCGAGGCAGGTGGATTGCCTGAGGACTTCAAGACCAGTCTGGCTAACATGGTGAAACCCCATCTCTACTAAAAATAGAAAAAAAAATTAGCCAGGTGTGGTGGTGCTCGCCTGTAATCCCAGCTACTCGGGAGACTGAGGCAGGGGAATTGCTTGAATCAGGGAGGTAGAGGTTGCAGTGAGCTGAGATTGTGCCACTGCACTGCACTCTAGCCTGGTGACAGAGTAAGACCCCATATCAAAAAAAAAAAAAAATGGAAACGGCAATAAGGGAGCCAGAGTAGAAGCAAGTAGACTAATTAGGCAGCAACAATCCTGGCGAAAAATGGTGGTGGCTCAGACCAAGGTGGTAGCAGTAGTGATGGTAAAGAGTGGTCAAATTTTAAATATTTTGAAGGTAAAGCAAGTAAGATTTCCTGACAGATTGTATGTGGAGAAAGAGGACTTTAGGACAATGCCAAAGCCTGAGCAGCTGGAAGAATGAAGTTGCTTTAACTGAGATGGTAGGTAGACCAGCTTTGGGGGAAATACTAGGAGTACATTTTTAATATGTTAATTGGAGATGTCTGTGATATGTCCAGGTTTGAGTAGACAGTTGGATACTTCCCTGGAGATCAGGGAGGAGGTTTGGGGAGGAGAGTTTTCAGCATACATCTGGTATCTAAAGCCAACAGACAGGATGCGATCACCATAGAAAGATTATAGATAGAGAAGCTGCCCCTTTGGGCCCTCTTTAAGAAGTGAGGACCCCCAACTGGCTGCTCTGAAAAGCCATCTTTGCATTGTTCCTGGTTCGGTGTCCTGCTCACCACAGCCACCTCCGCCATGCACTTCCTCTGCTGCCTCAGAGTCTGGCAGCTTAATCGACATAGTCCCCAAACTCTCACTTTCTTCTTAATCCCTTGCATCGGATCACCGCTGTGCCCCACCATGTCAGAGGCAGTTGTGGACACAAGCTCCGTGATCACCACCAAGGACTTCAAGGAGAAGTTGTGGAGGAGGCAGAAAGTGGAAGAGACGCCCATGCTAACGGGAACGCTAATGAGGAAAATGGGGAGCAGGAGGCTGACAACGAGGTAGATGAAGAAGAGGAACAGGGTGGGGAGAAAGAGGAGAAGGAAGAGGAAGGTGATGGTGAAGAAAAGAACGGAGATGAAAACGAAGCAGCTGAGGCGGTATGGACAAATGGGCAGCTGATGATGATGAAGATGACGATGTTGATACCAAGCAGCAGAAGGCCAGTGAGGATGATTAGACAGCAAAAAAAGAAAAGTTAAACTTTAAATTAAGGCCACCGTGACCTATTCACCCTCCACTTCCCATCTCAGAATCTAAACATGGTTGCCCTCGAGAGGCCTGCTTGCCCTCCACAGACAGTGCCACTGCAGATGACAGGCACTCACCACCACCCAACCCAAACCAGAGAATTTGCAACAGAGGAGGAAAAAAGAACCAAAACTTCCAAGGTCTTGCTCTTTTAAAAGTACTTTAAAAAGGAAGTTTGTTTGTATTTTTTATTTACATTTTATATTTTTGTACATATTGTTAGGGTCATTTTTTTTTTCTTTGAGACGGAGTCTAGCTCTGTCGCCAGGCTCAAGTGCAGTGGTGCCATCTTGGCTCACCGCAAGCTCCACCTCCTGGGTTCAAGTGATTCTCCTGCCTCAGCCTCCTGAGTAGCTGGGATTACAGGCGCCCGCCACCACACCCAGCTAATTTTTGTATTTTTAGCAGAGACAGGCTTTCACCAGGTTGGCCAGGATGGTTTCTATCTCCTGACCTTGTGATCCACCTACCTCGGCCTCCCAAAGTGCTCGAATTACAGGCGTGAGCCACCGGCGCCCAGCCAGGTTCAGTCATTTTTAATGATCTCAGATGACCAAGCCAGCCTTTGGAGGGTTCTCTGTCTTACTTCTGACTTTACTTGTGGTGTGACCATATTCATTATAATCTCAAAGGAGGAAAAAAAAAAAAAAAAAAAACCTTGTTTAAAAAAAAAAAAAAAGCCTGGGCGCGGTGGCTCGCGCCTGTAATCCCAGCACTTTGGGAGGCCGAGGTGGGTGGATCACGAGGTCAGAAGATCGAGACCATCCTGGCTAACATGGTGAAACCCCCTGTCTACTAAAAATACAAAAAATTAGCCAGGCGTGGTGGCGGGAGCCTGTAGTCCCAGCTACTTGGGAGGCTGAGGCAGGAGAATGGCGTGAACCCGGGAGGCAGAGCTTGCAGTGAGCCAAGATTGTGCCACTGCACTCCAGCCTGGGCAACAGAGCGAGACTACATCTCAAAAACAACAACAACAACAAAAAGTCTCGTTCTGAGCATTCCAGTAGCTTCTTTAGTGTATGTAGTTAGTTGTACCATAAGTAGTTGGTTTGTGTGAGATGGTTAAAAAGGCCAAAGATAAAATGTTTCATTTATTTGCCTTTTTTGTCTATGAAATGGCTGCTTATTTATTTAGGCCTATTTGATGTATGTGTGAAACAATATTGTGCAACAATAAACCCAAATTTTATTTTGCTGAGTTGTTCTAACAGCAACAAAAAGAAGTTAAGGAAGAGAAGAAGACCAGCAAATGCAACCACAGAGTGACTAGTGAAGTAGATGAAAACTGAGGCCGGGTGTGGTGGCTCACACCTGTAATCCCAGCACTTTGGGAGGCCGAGTCGGGTGGATCACCTGAGGTCAGGAGTTCAAGACCAACATGGTGAAACCCCATCTCTACAAAAAATACAAAATTAGCCAGGCGAGGTGGCTCATGCCTGTAATCCCAGCTACTTGGGAGGCTGAGGCAGGACAATCACTTGAATCTGGGAGGTGGAGGTTGCAGTAAGCCGAGATCATGCCATTGCACTCCAGCCTGGGCAACAAAGCGAAACTCCATCTCAAAAAAAAAAAAAAAGAAAAGAAAACTGAAAAGTAAGGTGACCTCAAAGGCCACTGAAGAAAGTGTTTCCAGGAGGAAGGAATGGTTTACTTGGTCAAATGCTGCTGATCAAGGAGCAAAGAGGTCTGAGAAGTTACCATTGGATTTATCTGCGTTAGGCCATTGGTGATCTTAATGAGCAGTTTTGGTGCAGCGGTGTTTGGAAGCCTGGATGCAGTGGGTCTTGTAGACTGAGAAGCTAGGAACACAGCAAGAATAAGCTACTCTTTTAAATCCTGCTTTAATGGGAATAGAAATAGAGCAAGAGCTGGAGAGTGAAGTGGATCAAAAGAGTTGATCTTTTGCAGATGGGAGAACAAATAGCATTAGAATGATTCAGTAGAGAGAAAATATTATTATGTCAGAGAAAGTGGGGAGAACTGTTGAAGTGATGTCATTGAATGGGCGGCGGGGGCGTTGAGATTTGGTTGACAAGTTAGCCTTGGATAGGAACATGGACAGTTAATCCATTGTAACATGATTTGATAGATGTGATTACAGAGGAGGCATAAGGACATGGATTTGAGTGCTATCTTGGGCTGGGGGTTGGGTAAAGAAAGATGACATGTCTAATCTTGAAAGGCAAGTGTTTGTCAGGTGGACAAAAGGCTAAAGTGCATTTCATGTAGAGGAACAGGCATGAGCAAAGGCAGAAAGGTATTAAACCACCTTTCAGGCCAGGCGTGGTGGCTCACACCTGTAATCCCAGCACTTTGGGAGGCCAAGGTAGGCGGATCACAAGGTCAGGAGATCGAGACCATCCTGGCTAACACGGTAAAACCCCGTCTCTACTAAAAATACAAAAAAAATTAGCTGGGCGTGGTGGCAGGCGCCTGTAGTCCCAGCTAATCAGGAGGCTGAGGCAGGAGAATGGCGTGAACCCAGGAGGCGGAGCTTGCAGTGAGCCCAGATCATGCCACTGCACTCCAGCCTGGGCGACAGAGCAAGACACTGTCTCAAAAAAAATAAATAAATAAATAAAAATAAACCACCTTTCAGGACACTACAAGCAGTGTGGTGTGGTTGGAGTGCTGGGCATGTGCTTGTTGGGGGGTGGGGGTGATGAGGATGGGCTGGTAGACATTACAACAAGGTCAAGGCAAGGGATAGGCAGGGTCTTCCTACAGTATATTTTTCCATTAAGAGGCAACAGAGAGCAGTGGAAGGAGCACAGTTTTTTTTTGTTTGTTTGTTTGTATTTTGAGATGGAGTCTCAGTCTGTCGCCCAGGCTGGAGTGCAGTGGCACAATCTCAGCTCACTGGAACCTCTGCCTCCTGAGTCCAAGCAATTCTCTTGCCTCAGCCTCCTGAGTAGCTGGGATTAGAGGCGCCCACCACCACACCTGGCTAATTTTTGTGTTGATGAGGTTTCACCATGTTGGCCAGACGTCTCGAACTTCTGACCTCAAGTGATCCGCCCACCTCGGTCTCCCAAAGTGCTACGATTACAGCCGTGAGCCACCATACCCGGTCCTGGAGCACAGTATTCGATATGAAACACATTACCCAGTTAACATGTAAGGCCAGAGCAGTATAGAGTGTAAATAATAATTCACATTTCATGGGCTCTATGTGGTATCTATATGCATCATCTCAGTGGATTCTTGCACATCTTTTTGAGGTAGGTACTATTATTAAACCTATTTTGGGTTTATACAAATTAATGACTTAACCAAATTCACACAGCCAGTAAATAGTAGAGTCCACATTTGAACCCATAGCCATTTGCACCCAGTGAACTTTTTTTTTTTTTTTCTTTTTGAGGCAAGGTCTTGCTCTGTTGCCTAGGCTGGAGTGCAGTGGCACGATCACGGCTCACTGCAGTCTCTACCTCCTAGGCTCAAGAGATCTTCCCTACCAGCCTGGCCAACATGGCGAAACCCCATCTCTATTAAAAATACAAAAATAAGCCGGGCGTGGTGGCATGTGCCTGTAATCCCAGCTACTCAGGAGGCTGAGACAGGAGAAGAGCTTGAACCTGGGAGGTGGAAGTTGCAGGGAGCCGAGATGACACCATTGCACTCCAGCATGGGCAACAGAGTGAGATTCCATGTTAAAAAAAAAAAAAGGCCGGACGCATTGGCTCGCGCCTGTAACCCCAGCACTTTGGAAGGCCAAGGCGGGCGGATCACGAGGTCAAGAGATCAAGACCATCCTGGCCAACATGGTGAAACCCTGTCTCTACTGAAAATACAAAAATTAGCTGGGCATGGTGGCGCATGCCTGTAGTCCCAGCTGCTCCGGAGGCTGAGGCAGGAGAATCGCTTGAACTCAGGAGGTGGAGGTTGCAGTGAGCTGAGATCTTGCCACTGAAGTCCAGCCTGGCAACAGAGCGAGACTCCATCTCAAAAAAGATCTTCCCACCTCAACCTCCCAAGTAGTTGGGACTACAGGCGCCCACCACTATGGCTGGCTGATTTTTTGTATTTTTAGTAGAGACGGGGTTTCACCGTGTTAGCCAGGGTGGTCTCGATCTCCTGACCTCGTGATCGGCCCGCCTCGGCCTCCCAAAGTGCTGGGATTACAGGCTTGAGCCACTGGGCCCGGCCCACGCCTGGCTAATTTTTAAAAATATTTTTGTAGAGATGAGGTCTTGCTATATTGCCCAGGCTGGTCTTGAACTCCTGGGCTCAAGCTATCCACATGAGCCACCATGCCCAGCCCCCATTAAACTTTTTTTTTTGAGATGGAGTCTCACTCTGTCACCCAGGCTGAAGTACAGTGGTGCAATCTCAGCTCACTACAGCCTCTCCCTCCTGGGGTCAATGGATTCTCCTGCCTCAGCCTCCTGAGTAGCTAGGATTACAGGCGCACGTCACCACACCCAGCTAATTTTTGTATTTTTAGTAGAGACAGGGTCTCGAACTCCTGACCTCAAGTGATCCACCCGCCTTGGCCTCCCAAATTGTTGGGATTACAGGCGTGATCCACCACGCCTGGCCCCCGAGTTTTTTTTTTTTTTTTGAGACGGAGTCTCTCTCTGTCGCCCAGGCTGGAGTGCAGTGTTGCCATCTCGGCTCACTGCAAGCTCTCCTCTTGAGTAAACTCTTAATGGCTACACTATTTTCCTGGCTAAAACACTGCAGCTGGAATCAGAAGTCTGAAAGTTGAGGCCCAGCCCTGCCACTTGTAGCTACTTGGCATTGGCCAAGCGAAGCCATGTCTCCAAGGCTGTATTTCCCCCAACCTTCTTTCAAATAGTGACTTCCAGGATTGTGAAGGCCAAATTAAATGTGAAAATATAATGAAGTAACTCTAAAATTAATAGTTACTAGTTATCAAAGTAGCATCCTGGCCTCCAGCATGTCTTCCCCTGACTTTCCCCACCCCTTGGAACCCTGCTGAATTTTTTATTTATTTATTTATCCTTTGAGACGGAGTCTCATTCTCTTGCCCAGGCTGGAGTGCAGTGGCACGATCTCAGCTCACTGCAACCTCCGCCTCCTGGGTTCAAGCGACTCTCCTGCCTCAGCCTCCCAAGTAGCTAGGATTACAGGTGCACACTGCCATGCCTGGCTAATTTTTTGTATTTATAATAGACACAGGGTTTCACCATCTTGGCCAGACCGGTCTTGAACTCCTGACCTCAAGTGATGCCTGCCACAGCCTCCCAAAGTGCTGGGATTACAGGTGTGAGCCACTGAACCTGGACTTTAGCACCTTTTTATGTGCTTATTGGCCATTTGTGTATCTTCTTTAGAGAAAAGTTTATACAAGTCCTTTGTCTGTTCTTAAATTGTGTTCTTTTTTGTTCTGAGAGTTTTTCATATATTCTAGATAGAACGCACTTATCAGATGTATGACTTGCAAACATTTTCTCCCATTCTGTAGATTGTCTTTTCACTTTCTTTCTTTTTTTTTTTTTTTGAGACGGAGTCTTGCTCCATCGCCCAGGCTGGAGTGCAGTGGCACGATCTCAGCTCACTGCAAGCTCTGCCTCCCGGGTTCACGCCATTCTGCTGCCTCAGCCTCCCGAGTAGCTGGGACTACAGGCGCCCGCCACCACATCCGGCTAATTTTTTTGTATTTTTAGTAGAGATGGGGTTTCACCATGTTAGCCAGGATGGTCTCGATCTCCTGACCTCATGATCCGCCTGCCTCGGCCTCCCAAAGTGCTGGGATTACAGGCGTGAGCCACCGCACCTGACCTTTACTGTACCTTTTCTGTGTTGAGGTATGTTTAGATACATCAGCTGAACCATTATGTTAGAATTGCCTACAGCTGGCTGAGCATGGTGGCTCACGTCTATAATCCCAGGACTTTTGGAGGCTGAGGCAGAAGGATCACATGAGCCCTGGAGTTTGAGACTGGCCTGGGCATCATAGTGAGACCCCCATCTCTACAAAAAGTTAAAAAAAAATTAGTAGCCAGATGTGGTGGCATGCACCTGTGGTCCTAGCTACTTGGGAGGCTGAGGTGGGAGGATCATTTAAGCCCAGGTTGATGCTGCAGTGAGCTGTGATGGCACCACTGCACTCCAGCCTAGGCAACAGAGCGAGACTCTGCCTCTCAAAAAAAAAAAAAAATTGCCTACAGCATTCAGTACAGTAACATGCTGTACAGGTTTGTAGCCTAGGAGCAATAGGCTGTATGATATAGTCTGGGTGTGTTGTAGGCTATAGTGTCTAGGTTTGTGTAAGTACACTCTGTGATGTTCACACAATGAAATCACCCAATGACGTATTTCTCAGAATGTATCCCCATCGTTAAGTGATGCATGATTGTATTTTGTTTGTTTCATCTTCCAGGTGAACAACTTTGTGATCTTTGAAGGCTTCTTTGCCCATCAACATCGTAAGTTTTTGCATTTTGTTGGTCACGTAGTCGGGGTGAGGGAAAGGAAAGAGCTGGACTCTTGGTCCTGCCGACCCCTCACTGAGGGGCCCCGCCGCTTCCTTCCTCACAGGGCCCCCTGCTCCCTCTCTGAGGGCAACTCGACACTCTCGTGCTGCTGCAGTCGATCCCACGCCCGCTGGTAAAGCCTGTATTGAAGGGGTGGAACTGTAGTGCAGTGATGGCTACTTACTCTAGATGCCACGGGGTACAGTGCCATCTGTGGGCAATTTTGGAAAATTCTAAAGCAACCCAAGTCTCCAGCAGTCATGACTGTTTGCCTTTGCCCTCATGGGAGCTCAGTGCATTTTATATTTGGCAAGACTTTTAACTAAGCAAGCTCATTGGGAGCCTGTTTGACAGCTGATATCAATGGACCCTCTTGCCAGTTCAGGTCCGTCAACATAGGCCAGAGTCAGGCTCCTTTGTAAACCCCAGGCTTCTGTTAGCCAGTGAGGGACAGGCTGGTGCAAACAGCCCTTCCATTTGCAGTCACAGAATAGTGACACAAATGGCCCAAAATTTAAATGTTACTTTTAGAAGATAACACTCAGAGTTTATAACATTTCCAACCAGATAATGAAATTGATATGGAGAAACCAAACCTCAGAGGCACTAAAATGCTGTCCAGATTCCCCATCCCATATACACACACACACACACACACACACACACAAACACACTTACTGACAGTCTGAGCCCCACTCCTTCCTCTTCCTCACCACCTCCACCTTACCAACTTCTGACAGCTGTACAGTGCTTGCTTGCACAGAAGAGCCCCCTTCCTGAGCTGGCTCTGTGGCCAGGAAAGGATGTAACCACCATCCAAACAGCAGTCTGTAACCAGCTATGAGCATCACAGTGTCA
The DNA here is from genome assembly GCF_000001405.40 of Homo sapiens. Lineage (NCBI taxonomy): Eukaryota > Metazoa > Chordata > Mammalia > Primates > Hominidae > Homo > Homo sapiens. The sequence continues at coordinate 1,896,417 of NT_167248.2, forward strand.
GGCACTGAGAGGCACCTCAACTCGCTTTGGTTTCCAAGGCTTCTCCCATTTAGCTTGTTCAGAACCACAGGCTGTGAGAGGGACTGAGGGCCAACAAGGATGGTGAGGTCTCAGGCCTGCAGGGGAGGGTGCTGTGGATAAAGCTTAAGTGAATTTGCTGAGAAGTCTTTCATTTGCCACACATACATGATGGAGAATCTCTTGAGAGGGAAAGCCGGGAGCAAGTAGAGAAGTGAGGAGGGGGAGGCTGAACTTTGGACATTACATCAGCCTCCTGCTTACTCTGATAGCTCCCTTTCAGATGCCCATATTTATTTTCTTTTTTTTTTTTAACCTAATAAAACTTCAGTCTCTTCCCATTTTCGTATAGGAAGGAGAGATTGTGCCCTCCTTCCAAACCTCCCCTGACCTCTCCAGAGCAATTCCTGATTAACCAAGGGCTTTGTCCATCTCATCCAGAGGAACCCAGGGTCCTCGTTGGCCCGGCTGGGACCATTCCACTGCCCCAGAATACCAGGGGGCCATGACAGCACCCACTGACAGTAAGAGCTCACTTCCCTTGGCTGCCCTTCTCCTGCATCTCCCAGGCCCCCAGAGTCTCCCCTTCGATCTTTCTCCCTAGCTCTGTGTTTGGCCTACTCCTTCTGGCTTTCCTCAACAGTGTTCCACATTCCCCTCAAATTCCCTTTTGGTGTGCTGGCATTGCCATGGTGCTGCTCCTGCAAGTTCTCAGGAGGAACTGTGGTGTCAGGGAGCAGAGGTTTGGGGTTGGGGTATAGTGGCTGGGAGGAGGGGTGCAAAGTATGTCTCCTAACGCTTACCCTGCCTATGTCCCCTCCACTGCCAGCTCCAGCAAGGAAGCTGCCACCCAAGAGAGCAGAGGGAGACATCAAGCCATACTCCTCTAGTGACCGAGAATGTAAGAGGGGCAAGGGTCGGGTGTCTGGGCCTGGGGTACCTTAACACAAGGGAAGAGAATGCTCAGGGGACCCAGGGAAAGGATTCGTTCTCTCTAAAGACTCAGATTTCTTGGGCTGGGCATGGTGGCTCATGCCTGTAATCCCAGCACTTTGAGAGGCTAAGGCAGGCAGATCGCCTGAGTCCAGGGGTTCAAGACCAGCCTGGCCAACATGGTGAAACCCCGTCTCTACTAAAAATACAAAAATTAGCTGGGCACGGTGGCACGTGCCTGTAATCCCAGCTACTTGGGAGGCTGAGGCAGGAGAATGGCTTGAACCCAGGAGGCGGAAGTTGCAGTGAGCCAAGATCGTGCCACTGCACTCCAGCTTGGGTGACAGAGTGAGACTCCGTCTCAAAAAAGAAAAAAAAAAAAAAGAAAGACTCAGATTTCTCTTTTTTTCTACCAAAACCTTTGCTGTCATGACTCTCTTCCTTTTTTCTTCTTTTTCTGTCTTGCTCTTCATTCTCCCTGTCCCCAGTTCTGAAGGTAGCTGTGGAGCCTCCTTGGCCCCTAAACAGGGCCCCTCGCCGCGCCACACCTCCAGCCCACCCACCCCCCCGCTCCAGCAGCCTGGGAAACTCACCAGAACGAGGTCCCCTCCGCCCCTTTGTGCCAGAGCAGGAGCTGCTGCGTTCCTTGCGCCTCTGCCCCCCACACCCTACCGCCCGCCTTCTGTTGGCTGCTGACCCTGGGGGCAGCCCAGCTCAACGTCGTCGCACCAGGTAATAGGAGTTGAAGGGCTAAGGAGCCTCACAGCTATAAAAGAGGATGTTAGAAATGGCAAAGGGCAATTTGAATCCATCAGAGAGATGGATCAATAAGATGGGTGGCTTGGGGGGGGTCCTGAAACCTTTCAAGAAAAATATTTGTGCAAGTGATCTGGGAAAAAAATGCAGTGAAGGAGCAGAATAGGACCTTATATGGAGCCTAGGGACCCTGGCTTTAATGTGAGAGTTATGTGGAATGGTAGGAAGAACACCGAGATCCATCGAGTTGGGGGAACAGAGCCTTCTAAGATTGGGAAAATCTTCGCTTAATACTTGCTGGGGAAGGGGCAGTGTCTGACAGAGAGTGGGAAGCCACTGGCTTGTGTGCCAAGAGTCCATCGCAGCAGGCAGGGAGTGGGCATTTCCTTTATTTCTCTCCCTTTCTCTTCACCTCTGACTTCTCTGTTTTTCTCTCCCCCGCCCCCCGCCATTTCCCATCTCCCTTCCTCCCATCCATAACATCCTTCCACAGCTCCCTTCCCCGCTCTGAGGAGAGTCGATACTAACAGCTACCCTCTCCCTGCCCTGGGAGACCTGGGGTGGGCAGGGAACCCCTCCCTGAGAACCTCAGACCCACTCTTCCATTGCATCCTGTAGGACCCAGTGGAACCTGACAGAGCCCATAGGATTCCCTCTTCTACTTTCTTAGACAGCAGGGATGTCAGGGTCTCAAACTGCCTAACACTTTGTAGCTTTTCTTAACACAAAAGCACCCCTTCTCTCCTAACTTGGGCTCTGAATACTTTCCCAACAGGAAGTCTGATCTGTTGCCAGACTTCTTGGTTAGATGGCTCATACATTTATCTAGAGAAGCACACTCTTGCTTGCTGTCAAACTTTAGAACACCATGGAAGGTCTAAGGGCATCCTGTGCCAGGGAAACTTTTTAAGGAATTTTATCTATGGGATAAACCCCATATTCCCTCTAGTGTCTACTGGTGGCTCTAATACTGCTTTGTGCTGCCTGCCACACTTGCCCTTTGAGCCTGCGAATGGCCGCTAGTGAGCAAGCTCTGCTTCAGAGCAGTCTAGTTAGGTAGAACAGGGACTTACCAGCTTCCCAAAGGGATCTACTCACCATTGCCAAACTCTTCATTTCCACATTTTGTGTAGGTGTCAGGGAACCCCAAACTGGTGTTGCTTTGGGGTCTCTAAAGGAGATTGGCTGACACCACCATTTCCCCCAGATCCAGATTCTCTGAGGGAGGTTGTTTCTTGAGAGTAGATCCAGAGTGTCAAGGATCTGTTAGATCCTGGAATCCCTTCTTGCATCCATCCCTCCCTGGTAGCTAGGTCCCGATATACTCCTGTCTTGTGAGATTGTCGAGATGAGATGGGGGACCACTCTTCCTCTGTCCTTCCTCTCTCCTTTCCTCCATAGCAAGGACGACCTTCCCTGCTCCATGCCCAGAGTATAGCTAGATCCCTTCCCCTCCCTACCCTCTGAATGTGTGCTAGATCAGGTGCCCCACTGTGTTTCCTGAAATCCTTGGGAGCCGGATCTCCCCATCTCCCCTACTCACTCTTCCCTTTTCTTCTCTCAGTGTTGTCTGAATAAAGTGTGAAATCTTTTGTGTTTTCTAAATTGACATTTTCAATGAAAAAAAGAATCACAAAAAAAAAAGTTGTCAGCCTCATTTGTGCGTCATCCCTTATTTTCCTGGGATCTCAGGACCTCTGTCCCTCTCATTTCTCACTTCTGAGATCTGCACATCTTTTACCCAGGAGCCTCAGAGCTCCTGAGTCTGGTGTCTGCCTATCCCCATCTTCACTGTTAGTCCTCCTGCAGATTCTGTGTCTCCTTTCATGTAGGTGCTGGATCCCTGTGTGTGGGCTTCCGTATCTACTCCCTCATTCCCTCCAGGAACCTCCAGCTCTCCCCAGTGACTTCTACCCTTTACTCTGGGCGTGCCTTTGCCAAGATGTCAAAGCTTACCAACATCTCTGGATCCACTAATTACCTCCTGCCTCCTGTATTCGTCTTCCCACTCTGATTACCTGACGTCTGCTCCACTAAACCGCTGGATCTCTCTCAAGACAAACCCTTACCTCCATTGAGAGTGCAACACAGTCTGTCACCCTATTTACAGAGGCCCCCTTCCTTTTCCTCCTAAATTCAAAATTCAGCCTTGTCACTTCCTATTTCCCTCTGGTCTAAGGAATCTTTTTTTTTTTTTTTGAGATGGAGTCTTGCTCTGTCGCCAGGCTGGAGTGCAGTGGCACAATCTCAGCTCACTGCAACCTCCGCCTCCTGGGTTCAAGCGATTCTCCTGCCTTAGCCTCCCAAGTAGCTGGGATTACAGAAGTGCACCACCGTGCCCAGCTAGTTTGTGTATTTTTAGTAGAGACGGGGTTTCACCATGTTGGCCAGGTTGGTCTCGATCTCCTGATCACGTGATCTGCCCGTCTTGGCCTCCCAAAGTGCTGGGATTACAAGCCTGAGCCACCGCGCCCAGCCTGGTCTAAGGAATCTTATAGTTAAGGTAACCCTGTTTTCCAAACCAAACACCAGAGTACCCGATCCAACACATTTTTGACCACATGTGAGTCTGTTCTTCTGACATGATTTGGATCACACCTAGCCATAGATTTAACACATTACCTCAACTAGAAAGAATAGAGCAATAAATCAGAAGCACTCCAGAAAATCTTGGGTATAAAATGAACTTCCCCCGCCCTTTTCTGGGGCACAGCTTTGATTAAAACCTGTTAGGAATGATAATTACCCCCTTCTCTTTGTTCCTGTGCTATTCCTTTTACTCCTCTCCTCTGATTCCTCCATACCCACCCATCTTTCATCCAGTAGCCTCCTCCCCATCATCTCCCATTTCTTCTACAGGGGGACTCCCCCAGGTCTGGTAGCCCAAAGCTGCTGCTACAGCCGCCATGGGGGGGTGAATTCCTCATCCCCCAATACAGGTAAGTATTCACTCCTCCCTACCCTCAAATCAAGTAGGCCACATTCACTGTCTACTCCTGCCTTCCCATTCACATGCCTGATATTTCCACAGGCAACCAAGACTCCAAGCAGGGAGAACAGGAAACAAAGAATAGGTGAGGTCTAAACCCCTCCCCTAACAGCCTCCCACCACCATCTGACTCCCTTCCTAACATCATTCTCAGTCACTTCCTACTCTTAAATCTTATTGTATGAACTGGACACCAGCTCCTCCCACAATTCCTTCTACCTTACATCCTGCAAGCCCCTTTCCCCCACAGGTTCAACTCTGGTACTTCCCTTTGGAATACGGATTCTCTGAGAGGTTTTAAATTTGGACATAGCACTAATGGTTCCAGCTTCATACCCATCATGTGTCCTACATTAAAACCTGGCCCGAGACCTTGAAGAGTCTGTAATCTTAATTTCCTCTTTAGTATTCCTATAACCCACTCTCCATCTCCCCACCTACCAGGTCTGCCAGTGAGGAGCAGGCCTTGTCACAGGATGGGTCTGGGGAGAAGCCCATGCACACAGCTCCTCCACAGGCCCCGGCCCCGCCAGCCCAGTCCTGGACAGTGGGTGGGGACATACTCAACGCCAGGTTCATTCGAAACCTGCAGGAACGTCGCAGCACCAGGCCTTGGTGACCGCAGCCCCGTCAAACATCTTCAAAGTATTATTTCTCCCTCACTACAGGAAAGAGCCAAAGCCCAACCCTCATAATAGATGGATACATTCATTCATTCATTCATTCAGCAGGCTTATCAGATTCAAGTCATTTGTATCTTTTAACCAGACCAATAAAAGTATTTATTTTTATCACAAGAGCTGTTGAAAAATTTGACTCATTATTTCAGCCGCCTCACCCCTCACTGTCGTTGCACCCATTCAGCCTTCAGCCCTGTTTTTGCTCAGCTTTTTGCTCAAAGGCCTCAGCTGTGAATACAGCGCTTGGGGGGGCGGGGGAGGCTGTAACTTGCGCAAGCGCACTCAGGCAGTCTCCGAGCCCGCGGGCGCAGGCGCGCTTACAGCCGACAGAGCGCTTCAGCCGCTTCCCTCGAGCCTGCAGTGCGCAAGCGCGGGACATCTCCGTTTCCCTCCCTCAGCCCCTTCCCCCCCTACCCCCCCGCCCCGGCCTCCTTTCCCCTTCACGAAGCCGGCTCTGGGGCGCGCTCACCCCTGTGAGGAGGCCGGAGGTCGGACTCAGGAGGCTCCTTCTCCACTCCCGGAAGATCATGTACCAGCCCAGCCGGGGTGCGGCCCGGCGTCTCGGCCCTTGCCTGCGCGCCTACCAGGCTCGACCCCAGGTGAGCGGAGGAGAAGAGGGAGGGAGGAGAGGGGGCGGGGAGAGACCCTCCTCAAAGCCGGTGCGTGGGGCGGAGCGCGCGCTGGGTTCCGCGCAGGCGCAGAGACACCCGCCGCCCCTTCCCACCTGTGCCCTGCAGCGCGTGGACAGGCTAGGGGTCGCGGGAGCGGGAGGGAGGCGCTGCCGGGCCTGTCGCGCAAGGACGTCGGTCCTCCCAGGTTTGAGGGCGGTCAGGCGGGGTCAAGGCCAGGCAGCGGGGCGCGTCTGCGTTGCGCCCGACTCTCCGCGGTTACCTGTGCCTAGAGGTGATTTGAAGGGCAGGGGCCGAGAGATTCGTAGCCCTGCTGCGGCGCCGTCCCGGAGTTCCCCGGCCCAGACCAGACCCGCGGGGCGCCCTCAGCAGCCCGCCCGTCTTGCACTCGGAGAGCGGTCCTGGCAGGAAGGCCGGCCAGTGTGCACCCGGTTCGGGCCCCTGCGCCCGGGCTGGCAAGATGGCCACGCCCCCAGCAGAGACGGCGCCTCTAGGACACCATCGGGGACCGAGGTACCCGAGCGGTCCGCCCGCCTTCCCTGCAGTGAGACGATCCCCTGGGGGGTTCCTTGGGAGCGGAGGGACTCGGGTGAGGCCTAACTTTGGGTGACCTCCCCTTGCAGTTTCAACGTCGGTAAACCCAGGAGAGTGAAGGCCAGCCTTTAACTGTCTCCTGAGGTTGTGTCTGTCATTAGAGGGGCCCGAAATGATAATAGCTTCCATTTATGTACTGCTTTCTAGGTCGCTACGTTTTGTTTACATTCATTATTTCATATAGGCCTCATAACCCAGTGAGGCTTTATTGTTCTCATTTATAGGACATTTGTAGGAAGCGGAGGCATAGGGAATGAGAATGCCTAAAGTTACATGATAGAATTCAGATTCCTAGCTTCAGCTGGATATTCTTTTTTCTCTGTACATTTGCCTCGCACACTTAATCATGGAGATGTACAGGCCACAGCATTTAATCCACAGTACAATAAAACCTGTTATTCGTTAACTCATCAAGTATGTATTACATGATTCTTGCGATAAGAGAGGTGAAACTGCCCCCAGTGTTGGAATCTTTTTTTTTTTTTTTTTGAAATGGAGTCTTGCTCCGTCACCCAGGCTGAAGTGCATTGGCACCATCTCGGCTCACTGCAATCTCCGTCTCCTGGGTTCAAGCAATTCTCCTTCCTCAGCCTCCCGAGTAGCTGGGACTACAGGCTCCCGCCACCACACCCGGCTAATTGTTTTGTATCTTTAGTAGAGATGGGGTGTCACCATATTGGCCAGGCTGGTCTCGAACTCCTAGACCTCGTGATCCGCCCGCCTCGGCTTCCCAAAGTGCTGGGATTACAGGCGTGAGCCACCGCGCCCGGCCACATTTCTTTAAGATTCCAACACTGGGCCGGGCACGGTGGCTCACGCCTGTAATCCCAGCACTTTGGGAGGCCGAGGTGGGCGGATTACCTGAGGTCAGGAGTTCGAGAACAGCCTGGCCAACATGGTGAAACCCCATCTGTAACTAAAAATACAAAAATTAGCCGGGCGTGGTGAAGGGTGCCTGTAATCCCAGCTACTCGGGAGGCTGAGGCAGGAGAATGGCTTGAACCCAGGAGGCGGCGGTTGCAGTGACCCGAGTTCGCGCCAATGCACTCCAGCCTGGGCGACGGTGAGACTTCGTCTCAAAAAAAGAAAAAAAAGTAAAATGTCTGCTAGGTTTTGGGAGGTGCCGGTATTTATGTCACATAAAACAGTTTGCTCGGCTGGGCGCGGTGGCCCACGCCTGTAATCCCAGCACTTTAGGAGGCAGAGGCGGGTGGATCACGAGGTCAAGAGATGAAAACCATCCTGGCTAACATGGTGAAATCCTGTCTCTACTAAAAATACAAAAACTAGCTGGGCATGGTGGCGCGCGCCTGTAGTCCCAGCTACTCAGGAGGCTGAGGCAGGAAAATCACTTGAACCCGGGAGGCGGAGGTTGCAGTGAGCTGAGATCGTGCTACTGCACTCCAGCCTGGCAACAGAGCGAGACTCCATCTCAAAATAAATAATAAAATAAAATGGTTTCCTCCTGTTTTCAGTAGAGATGGAGATGAATCCATCCCTTTTTTCCTATAGTAATTCCATCCATTCTGTCAGGAGGAATAGGTATTGGAAGCCTGTTGAGCATCCAGGGGATCAAGGGGTGTTAGACAAGTGGATTCTTATCTTTCTCCCTTCTGTTCTTTCTCCTTAGGACCAGCTTTATCCAGGGACTCTACCATTCCCACCCCTTTGGCCCCACTCCACGACAACCACTTCCCCATCTTCTCCTCTATTCTGGTCTCCCCTGCCCCCACGCCTTCCCACCCAGCGTCTTCCCCAGGTTCCCCCACTACCTCTCCCTCAGATCCAGGCCCTCAGCTCAGCATGGGTGGTTCTCCCTCCAGGAAAGGGGGAGGAGGGACCAGGACCTGAGTTGCATAGCGGCTGCCTGGATGGGCTTAGAAGCCTTTTTGAGGGACCTCCCTGCCCCTATCCTGGGGCTTGGATACCTTTCCAAGTCCCTGGAACTGCCCACCCTTCCCCTGCCACCCCGTCAGGAGATCCTAGTATGGAGGAACATCTGTCTGTCATGTATGAGAGACTGAGACAAGAGGTAAGTCAGTGCAAAAGTGGCCTTCGTCTACAGTGGGAAGGATGTGGGTAATCCTTGGACGTACAGGGATAGTCAACTGGATTCTTTTTTGGAACCATGAGGCAGGCATAGAAATATATTATAAACATTTTCCTGAGAAAATGATGTTCCAGCCAGGCACGGTGGCTCAAAGTGCTGTAATCCCAGCACTTTGGGAGGCTTAGGCAGGTGGATCACCTGAGGTCAGGAGTTCAAGACCAGCCTGGCCAACATGGTGAAACCCCATCTCTACTAAAAACACAAAAATCAGCCAGGCATGGTGGCAGACGCCTATAATCCCAGCTACTCAGGAGGCTGAGGCAGGAGAATCGCTTGAACCCAGGAGGCGCAGTGAAAGGAGATATCTCCATTGTACTCCAGCCTAGGCAACAGAGCGAGACTCCGTCTCAAAAAAAAAAAAAAGAAAGAAAATGATGTTCCTCATTTTGGGTTAAGGGAGGTTAATCATGGGATGAGATCTTTCACTCCAAGATGGGAGTAAGGAGGCCTTAAAAATAGAAAACTGGGCCTGGCACATGGCTCACGCTTATAATCCTAGCACTTTGGGAGGCCGAGGCAGGCGGATCACAAGGTCAGGAGTTCAAGACCAGCCTGGCCAACACAGTGAAACCCCGTCTCTACTAAAAATACAAAAATTAGCTGGGCATGGTGGTGGGTGCCTGTAATCCCAGCTACTCGGGAGGCTGAGGCAGGAGAATCGCTTGAACCTGGGAGGCGGAGGTTGCAGTGAGCCGAGATTGTACCTCTGCACTCCAGCCTGGGCGACAGAGCTAGACTCCATCTCAAGCCTGTAATCCCAGCTACTCGGGAGGCTGAGGCAGGAGAATCGCTTGAACCTAGGAGGCGGAGGTTGCAGTGAGCTGAGATTGTACCTCTGTACTCCAGCCTGGGCGACAGAGCTAGACTCCGTCTCAAAAAAAAAAAAAAATTAGAAAACTGAAAAATAGGATTATCTTTTCTTTCCCACTGGGTTGATGCCATCTTCTTCCACCTAGCTTCCCAAGCTCTTCCTTCAGTCCCACGACTACAGTCTGTATTCCTTGGATGTGGAATTCATCAATGAGATCCTCAACATACGTACCAAGTGAGAATTGGGGCACAGGTAGGGCACTGGGGAGGAAAAGCACCCAAAGGTATATACATGACCCTTTTCACTTCCCAGAGAAGTTCCTAGACTGCTTCTCACAGCTGTTCCCCATTCCTTAGAAGCCAGTTTGGTTTTCTAATTCTGCCATCATGAGATTTCTTTCCCATCCCTTCTTCACAGGGGCCGGACATGGTACATTCTTTCACTGACCCTCTGCCGTTTCCTGGCCTGGAATTATTTTGCACACCTTCGTTTGGAGGTTTTACAGCTGACCCGCCACCCTGAGAACTGGACCCTGCAAGCCCGGTGGCGGCTTGTGGGGCTGCCCGTCCACTTGCTCTTTTTGCGGTTCTACAAGCGTGACAAAGACGAGCATTACCGGTAAGAGAGAAATGAGAAAGGACCCAAACTATAATCAGTTCCTTTTTTTTTTTTTTTTGAGACGGAGTCTCACTCTGTCACCCAGGATGGAGTGCAGTGGCGTGATCTCAGCTCACTGCAGCCTCTGCCTCCCGGCTTCCAGCAATTCTCCAGCCTCAGCCTCCTGGGTAGCTGGAATTACAGGCACACCATCACACCCGGCTAATTTTTGTATTTTTAGTAGACAGAGGGTTTCACCATGTTGGCCAGGCTGGTCTCGAACTCCTCACCTTAGGTGATCCACCTGCCTTAGCTTCCCAAAGTGCTGAGATTACAGATGATCTAGTCTCCCAGACAACCCTTGACCTATCCTCACTTGACTGTTTAAGGACAGGGATCCTGTTTAGTTTATGTTAATGTTAAAAAAAAAATAGAGACTGGGTATATTAGAAAAACCTCTGAGCTTCAGTTTCTTCCTATACAGTGCCTAGCACATGGTAGGTACTCAAATACTTACTGAACAGACTGGGTGTGGTGGCTCATGCCTGTAATGCCAGCACTTTGGGAGGCCGAGGTGGGCGGATCACTTGAGGTAAGGAGTTGGAGACCTGCCTGGCCAACATGGTAAAACCCAAAAAAATACAAAAATTAGCCCAGTGTGGTGGTACACACCTGTAGTTCCAGCTACTTGGGAGGCTGAGATGAGAGAATCACTTCAACCTGGGAGGTTGAGGTTGCAGTGAGCCGTGATCACATTACTGGACTACAGCCTGGGTGACAGAGTGAAACCCTGTCACACACACACACACACACACACACACACACACACACAAAAGTACTGAACAAATGAAAAGTCCTGTCTCATATGTTGAGCCTTACAACCTGGTAAATTTCCGCCTGGGAGTAGAATCCCAATAAATTGTTAGACTCAGCCACAAACATTGGATATAAGTTTTTAAACCAGCAGTTCCCAAACTGCTGCACAGTAGAAATGCCCAAGGATCGTTAAAAAATATTGACGCCAAACACTCTGATTTAATTGAGACAGGGCACAACCTAAGCACTGAGATGTTTGTAAGTTGCCCAGGTGATCTAATATGTAGCAGAATTTAGGGACTACTCGTTTAAACAAATGCTTGAATTCAGCTTTGGGACCAGTCACCTTCTCCCTCAGTAAGCCTCCCTCTATTCCCCAGGACCTATGATGCCTACTCCACTTTCTACCTGAATTCCAGTGGCCTCATTTGTCGCCATCGTCTAGATAAAGTGAGTCCTAGGTAGGGCTGGGTGGGGTAAAGGGTAGAACATTTGTGTGCCTCCCCCAACTGGCATTAACCTTTCTCCCTGCAGCTGATGCCTTCACACTCACCTCCAACGCCTGTGAAGAAGCTGCTAGTGGGAGCCCTGGTGGCCCTGGGGCTGTCAGAGCCAGAACCTGACTTAAACCTGTGTTCCAAGCCCTGATCCTTGACCTTGGAGTGGAGGCAGCACTGAAGACTGCTACGCCCAAGAGAAGGAGGTGGAGGCAGCCAAGAATCTCAGGAGCCAGCTTCCTCTCCTCGTTTCTCTCCTTCCTTCCTTTCCATCTCATGCTGTGTAAAGCTGCTGTGTAATTTAACTTGTAAATAATAAAGTTTAACTGACTATATGAGATAGAATTTCACATATCACTTTCTCTAGATCCCAAATGTTCCCACAAGCTTTATTCCAAAAATAATTTTATTTAATAGGTATTAAATAATGTATAGAAGGAAAAGGAGCTGGTGTCAGGTTCTGTTTACGTCCTTCTCTTACCCTAGCTCTTCTCGTGTTTTGCCTATTTTTTTGGGCATTTTCTTAGCATGGGGATCTTCTAGCTCCTTGGCCTTATAATAATGGGGAGCCACCTCCAGAAGCCAACTGCTCTCAATCTCCAGTACCTAGGAGAGAGAAAAGATCAATGGAGTTCCCTTCTTTCCAACATAGATCTTTTGTTGTTGTTATTTTTTTTTCTTAAATTGAAACAGAGTCTTGCTCTATTGCCCAGGCTGGACTGCAGTGGCGTATCATGGCTCAAAGCAGTCCTACTGCCTCAGCCTCCCAAGTAGCTGAGACTACAGGCACACATCACAGTGCACCATTAATTTTTTGTATAGTTGGGGTCTCACTATGTTGCCTGGGCTGATCTTGGCCTCCCAAAGTGCTAGGATCCTGCCTTGGCCTCCCAAAGTGCTGGGATGGTTTACAAAAATGAGCCACTATGCCCAGCCCCAACCTAGATCCTTATGTGTATGGTCAAAAGTTATCTTTCCTCTTTGACTGCAGGGCTAGGTGTAAAGGTGCCTGGCTCTATTATTATATACCCAAAGGGCAGATACACCTCTGTATGTTATTCAAGATACCAAATAAGCTATTCCCAAGAAAAGTCTAGAACAACATGCCAGGCACAGTGGCTCACACCTGTAATCCCAACACTTTGGGAGGCCGTGGCAGGCGGATCATGAGGTCAGGAGTTCGAGATCAGCCTGGCCAACATGGTGAAACCCAGTCTCTACTAAAAATATAAAATTAGCTGGGCGTGGTGGTGGGCACCTGTAATCCCAGCTACACTGGAGGCTGAGGCAGGGGAATCACTTGAAACCGAAGGCGGAGGTTGCATGAGCTGAGATGGTGCCACTGCACTCCAGCCTGGGCTACAACAGCACGGAACTCTCTCAAAAAAAAGAAAAGCCTAGAACATAAAGACTATACTCTGTGAGACCAGAGACTGCTTTGTTCATTATAGCCCCAGCACCTATACAGTAGCCATTCAAATATTTATTGAATAAGTGTCTAGTTCTCAGATCTTGGAAGATGCTGACACACCTGTTAGAAAGGATGTCTTTGGGCTGGGCATGGTGGCTCACACCTGTAATCCCTGCACTTTGGGAGGCCGAGGCAGGCATTTGAGACCAGCCTGGCCAACATGGTGAAACCTCATCTCTACTAAAAATAACAAAAATTAGCCAGGCCTGGAGGCTTGCGCCTGTAATCTCAGCTACTTGGGAGGCTGAGGCATGAGAATCTCTTGAACCCCAGAGGCAGAGGTTGCAGTGAGGCTAGATTGCGCCACTGCACTCCAGCCTGGACAACAGAGTGAGACTCCGTCTCAAAAAAAACAAAAAAAAACAAAGGATGTCTTTCTATTTTACCCTACCTTCCTCTTTCTGTACCAGTCCCAGCAACTTGAACCTGGGTTCTTAGCTTGCCAGGACACCATCTCTCTACATAGTCTCCACCTGCGTGGGCACAGGATGTTCTCCTCACCTGTCTCATGAACTCTTTGGTGGTCAAGACAAGTTCGTGGTAGAGCAGCCAGCGTGGCTGTTGCTCAAAGAGGGAGGAGTTGGGATGAATGAAGACTGTCTGCTGCTGTTTCACTGTGCGGTAGCCACTCCGAGTCAACCGTGCCGTGTGGTAAAAGTAACCAGCAGTGATGGCCTAAGGAGCGGGCAGGAAAGAAAATCAATGGAAAAGGCAGACATCTGGGGACCCTAAGAATGCACTACCTTTTTAGTTCAGGCTTCAGGAAAACTAGAGAGGTAAGGAATGCATGAAGAACTTCCCAGGAATGAACCTTCAGTGGTCTGGGGAAGAAAGGGCCCTGGGAGGACACGTCATACACAAGGGGAAGAGGGCATGCTCTCACGCTGGAGGAAATGCTGCATGCCCCCAGAGAAGCTTGCTCCTGGGAAGGTACTGGGGGTGGAAAGCAGGAGGCTGAAGAAATGCTGACCTTGCGTACACGGATATAGTCCCCCTGGCAGGAACTGAGACCAACTTCCACACGTTCCAAGAGCCCTTCCAGCTGTTCCCGCACATCCCGGGCTCGGCGCATCGATCTGAACTGTACAAAGTTCTCATAGCACCACTGGGAAGAGTAACCACTCTCAGCCCACTGGGAAGACAGTTAAAAAGAAAGGAGAGATAATTAAGTATACAGCAGGACTAAAGTCCCCCAGTGTCTCTCATTCCCACTCACCCAAGCCCAGTGACCTGTGTGTAAACATTTAGCAGAACCAGGTGGTCACCGCCAGGGAGAAAGAAGTTGACACGGGCATTGTCAGCATGGACGACCTTGTCCTTTGGTCGGTAGAAGATGGAGTTGTTGACAGAGAGCATGGCAGCCACTGTCAGGATCTCCTCTGAACAGCTGTACCTGGGACAGGAAGGGGAAAGCATGAGTTCAAAGCAAGACACATAGGAACAGATATGGTGGAGTGGGGAGTGATCACTGTGTGATGGATGTTTCCTCATGTGGGGAAGGCTGGTTGGCATAATGGCTACAAAGCAGCCAGCAGATAGATTCTGGCAGCAGCTTGGGGGTCAAGGAAGTAGGGGCCATAGATGAAACACAGTCACAAAGGAGGGACATCCATGGAGGCAGGAGCAGGAAACACCGGGGAATTCTGAGGCTTCTGCAGAAAGTGTGCATTCACTATGTGCATTTGGAAAAGATCTCTGACAGCAGAGGAATGGCATTTAAAGGTCATCCCTCCACAGCTACATCTAAATGTTCTAGTTGGAAACCTTAGGAACAAGTAAGTTCCTCAAGGGGCCGGGCGCAGTGGAATCAAGGATAGGATCAAGTGTCTTACCCTTGTGGGCCTCAAAAGGGGGCAATCAGAGTTATCTAATACTTTATTATGTGTTAAGGGATAGTATGATGAACAGAAAAAGACAGACAAAGGGGACCCTGGAGACAGAGGAGGCCTGGCCTGTTTGTGTGCTGGGGGCCCAGGTGGAGGCGAGGGCTTACTTCTCAGAGGCTAAGATCATTTTGGACAGCATGGGGTCCACCGGCAGCTCTGCCATCTTTCGACCAGACTAAGGAGAAGAGAGAGAGAGTTGAGCCCAGTCCTCCCTCAGGTTTCCCGCTACTACTACAGGGGTCCCTGGAGCCATCCTGACCCCTATCATCCTGCCTCCACCCATGCTGTCCCCCGACTCACCGTGGTGAGCTCCCCAAGGTGGTTGAGGGCTCCCAGAGCATACAGCTGCTCCAAAGCCAGCAGCAGTGTCTCATATGGTGGAGGGTCCAGGAAATCAAAGTGCATTAGGTCATGGATCCCTAGAAAGAGGTGTGATGGATGGAACAGAGTCCCTTCAAAGGACAGTGACTCCAGCCCCTCCCTCCTCTCTCAGGTAGCCCAATCACCTAAGCTCTTGAGCAGCAACACGACATTGCCCAAGCTGGTCCTCTGGATCTCAGGCACTGTGGTTTCCTCAAGCTCGTGCTGATAGGCCCAGGCGGTATACAGGCGGAAGCACTTCCCTGCAGCCACCCGACCTGCCCTGCCAGCTCGCTGATTGGCTGAGGCCTGGAAAGAAAGGGGAACAGGCTGGCTGACAATTTGGTCAGGGAAAAGAAAAAGGCAGTATTTATGCAAGAAATCTGGAAGGATGCAAACTGCTCATCCCGGTTCCCTAGGAAGCCCCCACCCTGCTTCTGAGTTGGACCTTCTCTGTGGGCCAACTCCACCTCCCCCACTCCCATGCATCCCCAGGCTGACCTTGCTGCAGGGTGTGACAGTGAGCGATTCCATGCCTGTGCGGGGGTTGTAGCTCTTCTGCTTACAGAACCCTGGATCCAGCACATAAATGATGCCCTCAATGGTGAGTGATGTCTCAGCAATGTTCGTTGCCACAACCACCTGAGTGATAGGATATGGGGTCACCCAGTGACCCCACCTACCTAGTTACCCAGAAAAAGTAATCTTGGAAAGTTAGGAGTAGTGAAGCAGTTGCAGTAAGGGGCAGGAGCTGAGGGAATTAGTAGTATCCAAGGTCAGGAGCAGGGGACAAGGCCAGAAGACAGGGGACAGGGAAGTGGGGGCTGGGAGTCAGCAGGGCCATAGGAGGAAAGGAAATGGAGAAGAGGATTTAGGGTTTTTTTTTTTTTTCAGAGATGGGAAATGGGGGTGTTCAAGTTCCTGCCCGATCCTCCCCATCACCGCTTTCGTCTTCACACAACACTTCCTGTAAGAGCCTCCTAACGTGTATCCCTGCTTCTGCTCCTAGCCTCTGTCACATGGCATCCAGGATGGTCCTTTTAAAATACAAACCTGTCACATCACTCCCCATCCTTCAGTGGCTTCCTATCCTACTCTAGAATTCAATCCAAGCCCCTTAAAAGCCTGGATCACCTACCCCAGCTGCCTTTCTGACCTCATCTGCTAGCACTCCACCACCTCCCTCACTCCTCCCACACACTGCTTTGCTCTGCCCAAGTAAGTGCACTCCTCACTGGATCATTTGCATCAGCTATTCCCTCTGTCTGGCATACTCTTCTCCCAGATATCAGCCTGGCTCCCTCCCTCACCTGGTTTGGGTCTCTATTCCACTTTCCCCTTACTGAAGAGGCCCTCCCTACACCCCAAGGAAAATACCTTCATGCCAGTCCTCACTCCCACCCCACAGAGTCAAGTTCCATCCTACTATGCTGCCTTGTATCTCTTCATAGCACTGGCCACAAATTGACAATATGTATTTATGCATCCACTGCTTCCCCGATAGACCACAAGTGCAAGTTTGTTAGGCTAAGGACTTTGTTTTGTTCATCACTGTATCATCAACCCCTGTGTACCTGACACACAGAAGGAACTCATTAAATATTTGTTGAATGAAAGTTATATCTCTGCTCAAAATCCTTTGACTGCTACTCAGCTGTCTAAAGTCCAAACTTCGCCAAGCACAGTGGCTCATGCCTGTAACCCAGCACTTTGAGAGGCCAAGGCAGGCGGATCACTTGAGTCCAGGAGTTCAAGACCAGCCTGGCCAACATGGCGAAACCCCATCTCTACTAAAAATTAGCTGGGTGTTGGCCAGGCATGGTGGCTCACGCCTATAATCCCAGCACTTTGGGAGGCCAAGGTGGGCAGATCACCTGAGGTCAGGAGTTTGAGACCAACCTGGCCAAAATAGCGAAACCTCATCTCTACTAAAAATACAAAAAATTGGCCAGGCGTGGTGGAGGGCACCTGTAATCCCAGCTACTGGGGGGCTGAGACAGGAGAATCGCTTGAACCTGTGAGGCAGAGGTTGCAGTGAGCAGAGTTGGTGCCACTGCACTCCAGCCTGGGCGACAGAGTGAGACTCCATCTCAAAAAAAAAAAAAAAAAAATTAGCTTGGGGTGGTGGTACACACCTGTAATCCCAGCTACTTGGGAAGCTGAGGCACAAGAATCACTTGAGCCTGGGAGGTGGAGGCTGCAGTGAGCCGAGATCTTGCCACTGCACTCCAGCCTGGGCAACAGAGCGAGACTCTGTCTCAAAAAAGAAAAATAAATAAAGTCCAAACTTTCCTGTCATCAAAGGCCCTCCCTAATCTTAGCCCCAAATTGTTTTTAGCCTTGTCTCCTACTCCTTCACCACATGAACCTCCCACTAAGCCTACTAGCTCACACTCTGACCTCAAACATACCTTGGGCCTTCCTCTGATGACTTCTCAGCCATTTTTCTTTTTTGAGATGGAGTCTCGCATTGTCACCCAGGCTGGAGTGCAGTGGCACAATCTCAGCTCACTGCAACCTCCTCCTCCTGGGTTCAAGCGATTCTCATGACTCAGCCTCCTAAACAGGTGGGATTATAGGCGCACGCCACCATGCCCTGCTGATTTTTGTATTTTCAGTGGAGGCAGGGTTTCACCACGTTAGGCAGCCTGGTTTCGAACTACTGACCTCAAGTGATCCGCCCACCTCAGCCTCCGAAAGTCCTGGGATTACAGGCGTGAGCCACCGCACCTGACCTCAGACATTTCTCTTAAAGGTCCATATCAAATCCCACCTCTTAGCACATCAAGGACTTCCCTTCTCCACTGAATCTACTGTGCATACTTTCCAGATCACATATTTGGCTCTCTCTTGGTTCACACCATATTTCTCCTCTCTTCAGTCCCAGGAACAAGGGACTGGCTGCTCCTCAGCTGTGTGCAGCAGTGCGCAGGACTCACCTTGCATGGGGCAGGCACACAGCTTTTTCACTACTAGTTGTGGGAAGCACAGGGGTGAAGAGTGTGGGTTTCTCCAACTGACCTTTCGTGCCCCAGGTGGTGTGGGCTGGAAGATACGGGCCTGCATGTCAGAGGGCAGATTGGCATAAATGGGCAGCACCAGGAGCTCCCGGATTTTGGAGCCCAGGCGGCGGCAGCGATCCTGGAGCATCTCACAGGCAGCCTCAATCTCCTCCTGGATAGAGGGTAGGGAGAGCAGCAGGGGTCCCAGAGTCACAGAAGGCCAACATGCCGGCCCTGTCTTCCCCTGGGATACATCATCCCCTCTCCCCACCATGTCAGGCACCTGTCCTGTCAGGAACACCAGGATATCCCCAGGGGGCTGGGTCACATGGATCTGCAACACAGATACTACACAAGCTTCCAAGTAGTCAGCCTCTGGAGCCTGGAGAGCAGAAAGAGATGGGGTCACAGGAGGGCCACCTGCTTAGGCAAACCTTTCCTCTCCTCCCAATTCAACATACACTTTATCCTAGTTCCCCTTTGAACCTTCCATTCCATCTTTCCCTCCACAGGATAACCTTCTCCAAAGGCCTCAGCTTTTCTGCCACAGACTTAAGCCCATCCTCCCTGAGGGGGCACCTTGGTGTAGAAGATGTCCACAGGAAACCTGCGTCCGGGGATTCGAAACACAGGGGCGCCATCAAAGAAGGTGGAAAAACGGGCAGTGTCCATTGTGGCTGAAGCCACCAGGACCTTGAGCTCAGGTCGGAAGCGAGCAACATCCTTGATCAATCCAAAGAGAATGTCTGTGTGTAGGGTCCTTTCGTGTGCCTCATCCACCATCACCACGCTGGGGAGGGAATAGGAGAGCAATGAGGGAAGAGCGCTAGGCAATGCAGTATCAGACACCAGGGTTAACTGGATGAGAGGGGAGTAATGGACACAAAGAGTTCAAGAATGACTGTTGACGGAGGGGGCTCTAAGGAGAAGTCAGCCATCCCACTTATGTAGAGCAACAGAAAGTCAGAGAAGGCCAGGGCCCCATGATCTGCAACCTATCCCAGCCTCAGCAGATAATAGGAAACAAGATGTAGAGGCTGCACACTGAGGCCAGGACAAGTTAGCCATACCCTCTAGTTCAGTCAAGAGTCTGCTTAGACTCAGCAGCTGCTCTTACTAGAAAAAGTTGAAGGATATGTTTTAGGCTGGGCATGGTGGTAGCTCACGCCTGTAATCCCAGCACCTTGGGAGGCCGAGGCAGGTGGATCACAAGGTCAGGAGTTCGAGACCAGTCTGGCCAATACAGTGAAACCCCGTCTCTTCTAAAAATACAAAAAAAATTAGCCAGATGTGGTGGTAGACGCCTGTAGTCCCAGCTACTTGGGAGGCTGAGGCAGGAGAATCGCTTGAACCTGGGAGGCAGAGGTTGCAGTGAGCCAAGATCGTGCCACTGCACTCCAGCCTGGGTGACAGAGCGAGACTCCATCTAAAAAAAGAAAAAAGAAAAAGTGGAAGGATTTTTTTTTTGAGACAGTCTTGCTCTGTTGCAGGCTGGAGTGTAGTGGCATGATCTCAGCTCACTGCAAGCTCCGCCTCCTGGGTTCACACCATTCTCCTGCCTCAGCCTCCCAAGTAGCTGGGACTACAGGTGCCTGCCACTGTGCCTGGCTAATTTTTTGTATTTTTAGTAGAGACGGAGTTTTGAAACAGAGTCTCACTCTGTCGCCCAGGCTGGAGTACAGTGGCACGATCTCGGCTCACCGCAAGCTCCGCCTCCTGGGTTGCGTTCACGCCATTCTCCTGCCTCAGCCTCCTGAGTAGCTGGGACTACAGGTGCCCGCCACCACGCCCAGCTAATTTTTTATATTTTTTAGTAGAGACGGGGTTTCACCGTGTTAGCCAGGATGGTCTTGATCTCCTTACCTCGTGATCCGCCTGCCTCTGCCTCCCAAAGTGCTGGGATTACAGGCGTGAGCCACCGCTCCCGGCTGATACGTTTTAAAGGAAAAAAAAAGTGGAAGGCAGGGTCCCTTTCAATAAGGGTGGGCCAGCAAGGCTGACTGGGGGTAATAGACCTGAGCTGCTGTGATTCAAATAGCCTAGAAGCTCCTGGTGTCCTGTGGGACAACTGCTGCTGGCATCATTCTTGACTGTTTCTTCTTTTGGAGACAGGAGCAAGTTAAGCCTTTCTACCTCAACTCTCACAGGACTCTGCATGCTCCTTGGTTTCCTCCTAACTCAGTTATGTGCATGACACCTTCTTTCTCTTTGTTCTTTGGCTTTTCTGGGTGGCAGCCAAGTCCCAGGAACTCATCCCCATCTTCCCCTACCCACCTCCCTGACCTCAACTCTTTGTGCCTAACCCTAACTGTGATGGTGAAGTCCCCAGCCATTCCACAAAGCAGGCTGGCTCGATGGGCAAAAACATCTGCATCAGACACTCTTGCGCTGGCTGGCTCTCCATGGGTTCTTAGAGATCTTTTGCAAGGGATATGAAGGATAAAATCCTATCTGTCCAATTGCTCCACTGTGATCTTCCAAGACCAGAAATTCACAGCCTCTGAAGAGTCAAAAAGGCACATATTGTTCAGCTGGCCTGACCCCACCCCCATTACATTCATGAATCCCTTTTCCCCCTCAACACATGTTCAACCAACCCCTGCTTGGCCATTTCCAGCACTAAGAGCTCATTATTCACAGACCAAGCTACCCAAGACTTGTGTGGAGGGCCAAGACCCAGAGTCCAACCACTCTGACAGGCCCTGCAATCTCCACCACTCTGAGGGTTACTCAGCCATTGGTATTGAGTTGGAATCTGTCTCCCTGTAACCTCCCCATGGCTCCTAGCTATGTCGTGTAGGGTCACATAAAACAATCTGATCCTTCTTTCCATGTAACAGCCTTCACATATTTAGAGGGAACCAGGATGCTTCCTGTTTCTCCCTCTGAGCTGAGCATTCCAAGTGTTTTCAAATGGTCTTCACACGGTATTTCAAGTCTCGGCAGCAATGCTCTGCTATCCTGGTTGTTTTCTAAACCCTGGAGATGAATGGGGAAAGAAGAGGCTTTCTCTACAATCTCTTCTGTCCTCCAGCCCCATCTCCGTGGTACCTGGAGGTCAGTTCAAGGACCATTTGAACCACAAAGATTCAAGAACGGGTGGATTAATCAGAAGACAATGGCTGAATTGGCTGGGTGGGAAGAAGGGAGAGAAAGGCCAGAGATTAGAGATACCTGTAACTCGCCAGGTCAGGCTCAGAGAGGAACTCCCGGAGAAGCATCCCATCTGTCATGTAGCGGAGGACAGTTCGCTCTGATGTGCAGTCCTCAAAGCGGATGCTGTAGCCAACCTGGTCAAGGGAACCATTAGCAACCAAGTGTGGGCTGGTGTGCCCTGAAAGGAACTTGGGGAAAGGTGAAGTGGGGCAGCACCAAGACTTCTGCTGTAGGGACCTGAGGGAACTGTAGACTGAGTCACAGACCCCAGACTCTACCCCCCGGTTCCCTAGAAATCTCACCTCATTCCCAAGCTTCACACCCATCTCCCGGGCCACTCGGGCGGCCACACTCATGGCAGCCACTCTCCGGGGTTGGGTGCAGGCAATCTTCATACCCTTGTTTGTATAACCCTGAATGACAAAGAAAAAAGAAGAAGTTTGCCCTTTACTAAATATGCACCCTGGGACCAGGTACATTTCAGAGAAAGAAGTTGTAAAAACCAGGCAGGAGAAAAGGAGGAAAAGACAGATGCTGAAAACCAGAAAAGAAGGGCAAATAGATAGGATGACAGACCTAGGGCCCTCAAAGGGGGTCCTCACCCAGCTCTGGGTAATTAAGTTCATGACTCTGCTAGACTTGAGCTGGAAAAGAACAGATTAGCTGAGACAGAGCCAGCTAAGGTAAAAAAGCAGGAAGGCTGGGCACAGTGGCTCATGCCTGTAATCCTAGTACTTTGGGAGGCTGAGGTGGGAGGATGGCTTGAGCTCAGGAGTTCGAGACCAGCCTGGGCAACATAGTGTGACAAAAAAATTAAAAATTCAAAATTTTGACCAGGCACAGTGGCTCACACCTGCAATTCCAGCACTTTGGGAGGCCGAGGCAGACGGATCTCCTGAGGTTGGGAGTTCGAGACCAGCCTGGCCAAAATGGTGAAACCCCGTCTACTAAAAATACAAAAAATTAGCCGAGCATGGTGGTGCATGCCTGTATTTCCAGCTACTTGGGAGGCTGAGGCAGGAGAGTCGCTTGAACCTGGGAGACAGAGGTTGCAGTAAGCCAAGATCATGCCACCGCACTCCAGCCTGGGCAACAGAGCAAGACTCTGTCTCAAAAAAAAAAAAAAAAAAATTTCAGGCCAGGCACAGTGGCTAACACCTGTAACTCCAGCACTTTGGGAGGCTGAGGTGGGCAGATCACGAGGTCAGGAGATTGAGACCATCCTGGCCAACATGGTGAAACCCCATCTCTACTAAAAATACAAAAATTAGCTGGGTGTGGTGGTACGCACCTGTAGTCCCAGCTACTTAGGAGGCTGAGGCAGGAGAATCACTTGAACCCAGGAGGTGGAGGTTGCAGTGAGTCAAGATCGCGCCACTGCACTCCAGCCTGGTGACAGAGCAAGACTCCACCTCAAAAAAAAACAAAAAATGTTTAATATGGGCATGGTGGTGTGCACCTCCCAGATACTCAGGAGGCTGAGGTGGGATGATCTCTTGAGCCCAGGAGTCCCAGGTTGCAGTGAGTCATGATGGTGCCACATCACTCCAGCTTGGGCATCAGAGCAAGAGCCTGTCTCCAAAATAAGGCAGGGGCTAGGCACAGTGGCTCACACCTGTAATCCCAGCACTTTGGGAGGCTGAGGTGGCTGGATCACTTGAGGTCAGGAGTTCGAGAGCAGCCTGGCCAACATGGTGAAACCCCATCTCTACTAAAAAATTAGCCAGGTGTGGTGGCGCATGCCTGTAATTCCAGCTACTCTGAAGGCTGACGCAGGAGAATTCCTTGAACCCAGGAGTCAGAGGTTGCAGTAAGCCAAGATCGCACCACTGCACTCCAGCCTGGGTGACAGAGCAAGACTCCGTCTCCAAAAAAAAAAAAAAAAAACTAACAAAAAGGCAGGAAAATAGTCCTTTAACTCCTTGTTTTTTGGCCACGTTGGAGCATAGGGAGGTCCACATTTATACACGCCCCACTCCACCTATCCATCTACCCGTCCTTCCAAATGAAATGAATGCAGGAAGTGAGAACAGAAATGTGAAAAGGGTATGGTCTTTACTCTCAAGAATTTCACAATTTAGTGGAAAAGATAGGTAAGTGACTACTAAAAATATAATGTAAAAGGAGCTCTGACAGGAATGAGGACATTGATGCCAGGTGCCCTGGCAAGCTGAAGGGTGAGATGACTGTACCTCCTCAAAGAGATACTGCGGGATCTGGGTGGTCTTCCCTGAGCCTGTCTCGCCTTCAATGATGAGGACTTGGTGATTTGCAATAGCAGCCAGGAGCTCCTCTCGAAATGGGAACACCGGGAGGCTGCGGCGGACGGCCTGGATGGACTCTTTCTGCTGGGCCTGAGTTGAAGTGGGTGGAGCTGACGGCTCCTAAGGAAAGAGAAGGAGGTGTGAGCTAAATAGCTCGCTACGGGTCTTCCTCAGAAAGTCTCCCAGCTCCCCTCTTACCTCATCACCCTGGAGCTGAGTGGCCCGGACAAACTCAATGGTCTCCTCCTCCTCCAGCACCAGTTGATACTTGGGCTCCTGAGAGGCAGCATCTCGGGCCCCAAACTTCAGGGACGCTGCCCCAAGCCGCGCCTCCTCCCAGCGCCGCTGCTCCTCCCCAGGGGCTCCTGATTCCTCCTCCACTAGATCCACAGCTCGGGCTGGCTACAGAGAGAGGGGATATGTGAAGACTCAAAAACAGGATGTCCTCTCTGCCCTCTCCCCTCTTCCCATTACTACCCCCGCCCACTGCCCATTGGGAACGGCAAGGCAAGAAAGGGGATGACCCACGTGTTGCCCAATCCCCTGAAGCCTTCCCCACAACTTGTCTTGGGGACCAAGGCTGAAGCAGACGCCGCTTCACCTCACCTGTCCTCGGGTTTCCTTGGGCATGTGGTAGCGATTGGTGGCCTCCAGCTTCTCCTGCTCCCCAGCTGCCCGGTACTCCCGGGCGAGATCCCGCACTCGCCGCTTATATTTGAGCTCCTGCCGCTCGTGCCGGCTCAGCTCCACGTCCCCAAAAAGGAACTCCTCATCAGCCAGCTCCGCCTCCAGGTCCTCAAGCTTCTCTCGCTCCCGCTTAGCCAGGTACTCTCGGCGAGATTTCTTCCGCAGCTCAGGGACCTGAGTTGGGAAAGGACAGTCGAATCCTCATCTTGCTGGAGGAGCAACCCCTTTCTCTACCAATCCCTACAAGGGAAAAATCCCCTGACAGGCAGGCATGAGAACCTCAGGATGCACCCTCTACCTTCCCTCTGCAATGCACAACCAAAACAATGACATACTCAAATCTGGGCCTCTTTGGATGCTACATGCTGACCCCACATCGTATCTTCCTGCAGCAGAATCCAGCTGGAAAGTCCTCTTAGGCAGCATTATCATCTTTGTTAATATAGATGCACTAGGGAGATGTCTGCGTAGCTTATATTTTACTCTTGCCATTTTATTCAAATTAGTGGAAAGGGGGAAAATAAAAGGCTAATCCAGCATTTAGAAGCACAGGACTCAAACCGAAAACAATTCAGACAAAGATAGAAACCAGTGAGGGGGCCAACAGGAGGCAATCTTCAGCCCCAGTTAGATGTTCTTTGGTCTTAAACGGAATGACTGTAGTTTGAGGAAGGGAGAAAAACTGATTATAAAAAGTTAGGACTACAGCATCAGAGTGTTTCTGTAAGGCAAATGTAATCAGGGATGTTTGGCTTTCTGGTACTAACCTCTCTTCACCATGCTGTGTCTCACTTAGTTTCTACACATTTACCTTTGATACAAACTTTTCAGGACACATTATGGATGACAGCAGAAAACTGGCAATATCTATAAGGCCCTTTCCTGCCAGGAGTCCTCCCACTATGACATCATCCTCTCTGTGATCACAACTTCCTCTACTGCAAGGTCAAAGCCCCTCTGGTGGCTGGGTGGGCGTGGTGACTCACACCTGTAATCCCAGCACTTTGAAAGGCTGAGGTGGGTGGATCACCTAAGGTCAGGAGTTAGAGACCAGCCTGGCCAACATGGTGAAATCCCGTCTCTACTGAAAATACAAAAATTAGCTGGGCATGGTAGTGGGCACCTGTAATCCCAGCTACTCGGGAGGCTGAGGCAGGAGAATCATTTGAACCCGGGAGACGGAGGTTGCAGTGAGCTTAGCTCACGCCATTGCACTCCAGCCTGAGCAACAAGAACAAAACTGCATCTTTAAAAAAAAAGCCCCTCTGCTGTTCTACCCTTAAGGGGCCTGGTTCTATTTAGTTGTTTGGCTTTTCTTGTTTGTTCTGTAAAGACTTAAAATGCAGTTTATGATCATGACCTAATCTGGGTACCACAGTCAAATATTCCTTCCATGGAAGAGCCAGATAGATTTTTTTTTTAATATGGGCAAAAAATCAGAGCCATTTGAGCATTAAAAAGAATAATGATGTGAGATTATAAAATACTGAAAAATAAAAATTCATGAGTCCAATTTGACACACACAAACAAAAAACAAGGGAAAAAAATCTGTCACCAGTGAAATGACTGTTACAGCAAACGCCTTACTCTAAAAATTCGTATTTAAAAGGAAACAAACATTTACCCTTTTTAAGAAGGAACTGTAGCTTGTTCCTAGTTGTTGAGGAAAAGCTCTTCTTTATAGACAAATTCTAGCCAATACACGTAACAGGAATGACAGAATCAAAAAATCACCATTTCGGCCGGGCGCGGTGGCTCACGCCTGTAATCCCAGCACTTTGGGAGGCTGAGGCAAGAGGATCACGAAGTCAGGAGATCGAGACCATCCTGGCTAACATGGTGAGACCCCATCTCTACTAAAAATACAAAAAATTAGCCGGGCGTGGCAGCAGGCGCCTGTAGTTCTAGCTGCTCAGGAGGCTGAGGCAGGAGAATGGCATGAACCCGGAAGGCAGAGCTTGCAGTGAGCCGAGATCGCACCGTTGCACTCCAGCCTGGGCGACAGAGCGAGACTCTGTCTCAAAAAAAAAAAAAAAAAATCACCATTTTGCAATCCCCAATAAAAATAACATGTTCAGGAAAGGATTACCAGTGGCTTCTAAAAGCATTTGATGAAAGGCTATTGGTAGAAAGGATATTAATACTAATATATAGATACACAACTGGATAGTATGTCCCCGTGATATGACATAATATGAAGTGCACATCACCGCCCAAGAAGTGTTCCTGCCACAACTGTTTAATCTGAGTGTCAATAAGCTTTAGACCCAATTCCTGCTTCAAAGAAAGCACAGGGCAGAGAAGTACTTAACACCACAAGATAAGAATCAGGCAAATCCAGAATGTAGGACACTGCAAGGTGAGACAGACAGAGAGAGAAACAAACTTAACATCTAAGACCCAAATGCAATGCATGAACCTTGACTGCATTCTTGTTAGGAAAAAGCAGTCATTAAAGTTATTTTGAGGGTAATGAGGGTATCTTTTATTGTAGAGAGATCTTAGTCGATACATAAGAATTACTG
This sequence comes from Homo sapiens, assembly GCF_000001405.40. Taxonomy (NCBI): domain Eukaryota; kingdom Metazoa; phylum Chordata; class Mammalia; order Primates; family Hominidae; genus Homo; species Homo sapiens. Next base: position 1,923,199 of record NT_167248.2, read on the forward strand.
TTCAACTTCCTGACTGTGACAAGAGCATTCTGATTTTAGAGGACAATATCTTTATCCTTAGCAGGTACACACTGATGTACTTAGAGATAAAACGCCATGATGTCTAAGACTCTTTTAAATGGTCTGAAAAGAAAAAACATACCACATTTACAATTACAATGCAAATACTACCCATAGTATTAACCATTTTTCAATCTGAATAGTGTCTATGAGTGTTCTTTGTTCTATTCTTTCAACTTCCCTATGTGCTTAAATATTTTTGTAATCGAAAAAGAAAAATTACAGCTGGGCACAGTGGCTCACGCCTGTAATCTTAACATTTTGGGAGACCGAGGGGGGTGGATCGCCAAAGGTCAGGAGTTTGAGATCAGACTGGCCAACATGGTGAAACCCTATCTCTACTAAACATACAAAAATCAGCCAGGCATGCTAGTGCATGTCTGTAGTCCCAGCTGCTCGGGAGGTTGAGGCAGGAGAATCACTTGAACCCGGGAGGCGGAGGTTGCAGTGAGCCGAGATCATGCCACTGCACTCCAGCCTGGGCGACAGAATGAGATTCTGTCTCAAAAAAAACCCGAAAAATTAAATTCAGGCCAAAACAGTAACACCACTACCACCACAACTGCACTGAGATGTCCCAGAAGCCTAACCACAGTCAATTTCAGGAAGAGATATGAGATAAATTGGTCAGGAGAGACCTGGGAACCAGTAGGCCATTCTTAGAACTCCAAAAGTTGGCCGGGCACGTGGTGACTCACGCCTATAATCCCAGCACTTTGGGAGGCCGAGGCAGGTGGATCACCTGAGGTCAGGAGTTCAAGACCAGCCTGACCAACATGGAGAAACCCCATCTCTACTAAAAATACAAAATTAGCCAGGCGAGGTGGCTCATGCCTGTAATCCCAGCTACTCTGGAGGCTGAGGCAGGAGAATCGCTTGAACTCGGGAGGTGGAAGTTGCAGTGAGCCAAGATCACGCCACTGCACTTCAGCCTGAGCAACAAGTGCAAAACTCTGTTTCAAAAAAATAAATAAATGAATTTTAAAAAGTAAAAACGGCCAGGCGTAGTGGCTCATGCCTATAATCCCAACACTTTGGGAGGCCAAGGCGGGCAGATCACAAGGTCAAGAGATCAAGACCATCCTGGCCAACATGATGAAATCTCCTCTACTAAAAATACAAAAAATTAGCCGAGTGTGGTACTGCAGGCCTGTAGTCCCAGCTACTCAGGAGGCTGAGGCAGGAGAATCGCTTGATTCCTCCACCAGGGAGGCACAGGTTGTAGTGAGCTGAGATCGCACCACCACACTCCAGCCTGGCAACAGAGTGAGACTCCATCTCAAAAATAAATAAATAAAAATAAAAAATAAAACAAAACAAATAAAAAGAAGGCTGGGCATGGTGGCTCACGCCTGTAATTCCAGCTCTCTGGGAGGCCAAAGCAGGTGGATCACAAGGTCAGGGGTTCGAGACCACCCTGGCCAACATGGTGAAACCCCGTCTCTACTAAAGGTACAAAAAATTAGCCAGGCGTGGTGGTGTGCGCCTGTAATCCCAGCTACTCAGGAGGCGGAGGTTGCAGTGAGCCGAGATCGCATCATTGCACTCCAGCCTCGGTGACAGGGCAAGACCCCGTTTCAAAAAAAAGAAAAAAGGTTTAAAAAAAAAAAAAAAAAAAAAAAGGAACTTCAAGAGTCTCAAAATTCTATTGGGGTATTGGGGAATCTAAGTGTGACTTTACTTGACAAGACCAGGCCTTTGGAAAACAGCTTACCCTACCTAGTTTCACACCATAAAAAGTCCAGTTTATGAATTACAAGGGCTCTGTCCCTGTCCAGTGAGAAGACACAGGGAGATCACAAAGCCACATAAGGGGTGCAGGAATTAGGTGGTGGGAAGGTATTTGGAGATGGTGTGCCTAAGCTGAATGGTCAGCACATCCCTGTACAGTGGGACTGCTGCCCTGCCCTTGCCCTCCAGCAACCTTCTTGACAACATTCCAGCTGCCTCATATCTCATTAGGACTCAGGAATAGGGAAAGCTCACAATTTCATTCACTAATAGAGTATATTTGATCCTAAAGTTAAGAGTCAAGGAGGACTTATGGGTAGCCTCCTTCCCCCTACAACTTAAGAAGGATCCTTCCCTCAACAACATAAGTCTATCCTCAGCTGGCTCCTAACAACCAAGCCCCTCTTCTAGAAACCTGACCACCCCATCAGCATCCACACTGTGCTTCCTCTGTATCCTCTCTCCCTATACACTCTATCAGAAAGTCTTTCCTTTTGTCTTCTGATCTTGGCTCCCTAGGCCCTGGGACTCACCATGGCCTTCCGGTCTTCCTCGGCCATCTTGAGGCGCTTCTGAGCCTCTTCATAAGCCTAGAAGAAAAAACAAGAATGGAGGGGTGTGAGGCCAAAGAGCCCCCACACTGACAGCTGCTCCCCTCTAGAATCACAAGGATCATTCAGATGCGCCCTAACACAAAAAATGTCCCCTCTCAGTGAGGAATCTCTCTGATTGCAGGTACAGCAGACAGTTGTCTTAGCCACAGGATGCACAGGGCTTCTCTCACCACAGAGGTGAACATCTCACTAGAGACAGCCCCTTGTCTTCCCAGAGATCACTATCTCTGCACTCACAGCCAACCTCAGATTTCACCCTGGGATCTTGGGGATTTACAGAACATGCTGCTCCTATTCACCTTCTTGTCTGACCGTTCCAGGACATTTCGAGTCCGATCCTTGTCCCGCTGTCGAACCCGCTCAGCAAAGGCATCACGCTCCTCCAGGTCCTGAAGGCGTTCACGCTCTGTCCGTTCCCACTCATCTTCCGACTCTGGCTTCTCTGTCTGCTGTTTACTCCCCCTGCAGCCCATCCAGGGGATTAAATAAGGGCATAGAGAACACTTCAGCCTGCCCCATCCTCTCTCACCCTGCTTCTGACTTACCCTGTTTTCTTCTTCCCTTTCTCAGAAGCCTCTTCCTCCTCTTCTTCCTCACGCTTCTTCCTGAGGTGTTTCCGCTTTTTACGTTTCTTCTGGAGGCTGCTTCCAGCCCTACTCACAGTCTCCTCACTGCTCTCTTCACTGTCTTCCAGTAACCTATAAGATCGGTTCTTCTCCAGCAGGGCCCGGGCCTCTCGCTCTGCTGCCCGAGCTGGCTTTTCTACCACTGCCTTTCGTGGTACCTGTCAGTAGAGGGGAAGATAAGGAGGTCTGAGCAACTCCTGATCTCTGCCCTCCCACTTAGCTCTGTTCCTAATTTAAGCAATTACTTAGTCTTTCCTGCCCCCGCGGCCCGGCCCCACTGTCAGGCAATGGCGTGATCTCGGCTCACTTCAACCTCCGCCTCCCAGGTTCAAGCAATTCTCCTGCCTCAGCCTCCCAAGTAGCTGAGATTACAGGCACATGCCACCACGCCCGACTATTTTTGTATTTTTAGTAGAGATGAGGTTTCACCATGTTGGCCAGGCTGGTCTCAAACTCCTGACCTCATGATCCACTCACCTCAGCCTCCCAAAGTGCTGGGATTACAGGCATGAGCCACCGCACCCGGGCACAATTACTTAGTTTTAAACCAGCTAACCAGCATTCATTCTCTTTCTTCCTCATGGCTTCACCCCATCTTCATCATCCTGAATGGGGTTTTTTATTTTTTTTTACAGACAGGGTTTCACTCTGTCCCTCTTGGGCTCAAGGGATCCTCCCACCTCAGGCTCCTAAGTAGCTAGAAACACAGGTGCACACTACCACGCTCAACTAATTTTTAATTTTTTTGTAGGACGAAGGTTTCGCCATGTTGCCCAGGCTGGTCTCGAACTCCTGGGCTCAAGTAATCCTCCTGCCTCAGCCTCCCGGGGTGCTGGGATTACAGGTGTGAGCCACTGCACCCGGCCCCCTCTGTTAATTAAACGACTGAAAGGAAGTTCAGAAGATGAGGGGGGCCGGGCATGGTGGCTCACGCCTGTAATCTCAGCACTCTGAGGGGGCTGAGAGAGGATTGCTTGAGCTGAGGAGTTAGAGACCAGCCTGCGCAACACACCAAGGCCTCATCTCTAAAAATAAAAATAAAAATAAAAGATATTAGCCGGGGGTGGTGGCGCGCGCCCGTAGTCCCAGCTACCGGGGAAGATGAGGTGGGAGGGTCGCTTCAACCAGGGAGGTCGACGCTGTAGTGAGCCGTGATCTTACGACCGCACTCCAGCCTGGGCGACGGGGCGAGCGAGACTGTGTCTCTCAAAAAAAAAAAAAAGAAAGAAAGAAATGCAGAAACTAAGATCCCTACTGAATCGCAATCTGCATTTTAACAAGAACCTTGGATGCATGTTAAGAGTTCGAGAAACACCGTTCTATTGCGCTTAACCCGACACACCTAAGCCCTCCTCAATCTTCTCCACTGAGCTGGGCGTCCAGCAGCTAGCACAGTACCTACGCGACAACGGACAAAGAATAAGTGCTTGTGAACTGAGCTTTCTTAACTTCTCGATGGACCGTTAGGCCAGCCTCACCGGGACAAATCACAGGGCCCCTCCCCACCCCTGCCGACACCTTGTTCCAGAGTCTCAGGGCGAAGTCCCGGGCCGGCCCACTGAGATCCAAGGTATCAGTGTCTCGTAGGCGCTGCACGAACTCCTCGGCAGAGGTGCAGCGCTGTGCGGTACCGATCAGAAACTGGGCGACGTGCCGCTCGCTCAGCCCCAACACCGAGTGCAGCTCGTCCTGAACCCAGCGCTCCAGACCCGCCGGCGTCGCCATGGCGACTCACGCTCCCTGCTCCCGGCCCTGAAGCGTCGGGCAGCCGCGCTCACTGCTGGGCCGGTCAGAGGCCTGGAGCCCTCGGCTGGAGCCTCAGCTTCGCAAGTCAGCTACCTTGGGACCTCTAGGATCTTCCGACATCCCAAAGCTGTCTTCCCGTACCGCGGAGCCCGGAAGGGGCTGTACTTTTTCGGCCTCTAAGCACTACGGTGGCCGAGCGAGTTCAAACCTCGCGGAACCATACCTGAAAACTCGGGGTAATTCTTTTTTCTTCATTTCGCCTCTGTCCAGTTTCTCTGACGCCCCCTGATGGTCAGTCTGTGAGTGCTTCGCTCACGCATTCATTCAACAAGTGAAATTAATTTAATGGATGCCTAATGTGTGCTCATTGCTTTCCGTCCCTGGGATATAGCAGAGGACAAATCAAAAGTTCCTTACCAAATTTACATTTTGCGGTGGGGGAGGGACAGGATACATAATAAAGAAAGTATGGAAATTTTATAGAGCCAAAAACTATACAAAGTAAGGGAGGAATGAAATTCTATTTCAGATTGGAAGATCGGGTCCATGCTCATAAAACATATTAGCATTGTTGGCCGGGCGCGGTGGCTCATGCCTGTAATCCCAGCACTTTGGGAGGCCAAGGCGGGCGGATTATCTGAGGTCAGGAGTTCGAGACCAGCCTGGCCAAGATGGCGAAACCCTGTCTCTACTAAAAATATAAAAATTAGCCTGGCGTGGTGGTGTGCGCCTGTAGTCCCAGCCACTCGGGAGGCTGAGGCAGGAGAATCATTTGAACATGGGAAGCAGAGTTTGCAGTGAGCCGAGATCCCACCACGGCACTCCAGCCTGAGCAACAGAGGAAGTCTCTGTCTCAAACAAACAAAAAAGTGACCGTTGCTAGGACTGGTTTGCCTGCAGCAGGAGTGAAGACAGGTCAGGTATAAGGGAAGACCTCTAGGCAGGAAGAAACTGGGGAACTGGGGAAAGTTGTTAAAGACAAAATCTCCAAACTAAGGAACAGGCAAACTGTGTTCTGCATTTTTGCTTAACAGCTTGAGAAAATCACTGGTGGCTGCTTATTTAAAAGTAAGCAAGGCCAGGTGCAGTGGCTCTTGCTGTAATCCCAGCACTTTGGGAGGCTGAGGCAGGAGGATATCTTGAGACCAGGGGTTTGAGACCAGCCTGGGCAACAGGGTGAGACCCCACCATCTCTACAAAAAATTAGCCAGGTGTGGAGGTGTGCACCTGTAGTCCCAGCTACTCTGGAGACTGAGACAGGAGAATTTTTTTTTTTTTTTTTGGAGACAGAGTCTCGCTCTGTTGCCCAGACTGGAGTGCAATGGCACGATCTCGGCTCACTGCAACTTCCGCCTCCCAGGTTCAAGTGATTCTCCTGCCTCAGCCTCCTGAGTAGCTGGAATTACAAGTGTGACAAGCACATGCCATCACGCCCAGCTAGTTTTTGTATTTTTAATACAGATGGGGTTTTACCATGTTGGTCAGGCTGGTCTCAAACTCCTGACCTCATGATCCGCCCGTCTCGGCCTCCCAAAGTGCTGGGATTACAGGCGTGAGCCACCGCACTGGGCCTGAGACAGGAGAATCTCTTGAGCCCAGGAGCCAGAGGTTGCAGTGAGCCGAGGTCAGGCACTCCAACCTAGGCAACAGACCAAGACTATGCTCAAAAAAAAAAAAACAAACAAAACAAAAAGCTGAATTTGTTACTCGATGCTCTGCTGTCTGATTTGTTTGATCCTGCATCATACTTTTGTGATTAATTGCAGTTACCAGGCACTACTGTTAGGAAATGAAACATTGTTCTTATTAATAGCCACAAGTGGATCTACATCACTGACTTTTTTTTTTTTTTTTTTGGAAAGGGAGTCTCGGAGTCTCACTCTGTCGCCCAGGCTGGAATGCAGTGGCGTGATCTTGGCTCACTGCAGCCTCCACCTCCTGGGTTCAAGCAATTCTCCTGCCTCAGCCTCCTGAGTAGGCGGGACTACAGGTGCGTGCCACCACGTCCAGCTAATTTTTTGTATTTTAGTAGAGACGGGGTTTCATCATGTTGCCCAGGCTGGTCTCAAACTCCTCAGATGAGGCAGTCCACCCGCCTTGGCATCCCAAAGTGTTAGGATTACAGGCATGAGCCACCACACCTGGCCTGACCTCTTGAATGCATTGTTTTCTGTTTCTGAGATGGACTGTGAGCACCCCTGGCACCTCGGAGCTTCCTAACTCTGTTTTCCTGGGTCACAACTGGAAACTTTTTAAGACCTTTACCTAACAGGCTACTAATATAATCATTCTGTTTCCTTCCCTACCCAGACCTTCTCTGAACTGGCTGAGTCTTTTGACACCTGGCTTGTTCTCTTGCTAGTAAATTGAAAACCTTTGGCGTATGCTTAAGTTCAATTTGTCTCATATATTTTGTTTTATAGTAAAGGTGTGGGGCCTCCTCTGACCAGTCTGAGAGGAGCAACTTGTAGTGGTAGAAGGACTATAACTATTCAACCATATCTTTGTTAGCCTGGAGAGCTAACAACAAACAAACAAATTTTCCTGATGAGTAAAATATTGATGTTCCACATTTGTATAAGATATTCTTTGAAATGGGAAAATTCCAAATATCAACTACATGGGCACCAAAGCCATGCACTATCAAGATGGTTTTTAAACCTTTTTTTTTTTTTTTGAGATGGAGTCTCACTCTGCTGCCCAGGCTGGAGTGTAATGGCGCAATCTCAGCTCACTGCAAGCTCCACCTCCCGGGTTCATGCCATTCTCCTGCCTCAGCCTCCCGAGTAGCTGGGACTACAGGTGCCCACCACTATGCCCCGCTAATTTTTTGTATTTTTAGTAGAGACGGGGTTTCACCGTGTTAGCCAGGATGGTCTCAATCTCCTGACCTTATGATCCGCCTGCCTCGGCCTCCCAAAGTGCTGGGATCACAGGCGTGAGCCACCGTGCCCGGCCTTTAGGCCTTTAACGATATAAAATCCATTGTCTATCAGAGGGGAACCTTTTCCAGGAAACTGACTCTTGTACATACTTACTTCATTTTGCAGCAATTTCAGATTTAGTATTCGTAGCCCCAGCTCTTTAAGTAAGTATCCCTGGATTAGCCACATGGGTTGTGTCATACACTACCTAGCTGCCTTCATGGCAGCAGGCTTCTGAATACTAGAACCCTTCAACTCAAAGTGTCCTCTGTAATATTTTAACCCTTTTCTTCTATTCATTCATTTGTTGTCATTCATTCTAGAAATAATTCCGTGTCTACTAGTTGACAGGTACAGGATATTGCAGTGAATCCAGCTGATGTAGTCAGCCCTCATGGCACTTCCAGTCTAGTGGACACTTCAACTGCCCTTTCTCATGTCACCTGCTTGTCCTGCGTGAAACCCACGTGCAGCTTCCCAGACCCCTTTTGACATGTCAGTGCCGAGTTCCTGGTTCATCCCCCATCATTTTCCTCTCCCCCAGCCACCAGAGCCTCCCCTCACATACCCTTTTTTTTTCCCAAAGAAGGAGAAGCAGACGAGTTGAAGAGAACTCCATTTTATTATGGAAAGTTAAAAAACAAACAAAACAAAACAGGCAATTGATAAAGGCGGCACAATGGGGAAGGAGAGGTGAGGTGTCTCCTTAGCCACCCGACACCATCTCAATTCAGTTCAATTGTGAACCACTAGGAGAAACAGAATTAAATAACTATCAAGGGGTACAGAGTTAAGAGTTCCAGCCTTCCCTCTTGGGGAAAACTAAGGCAAAGTAATACTGAGAAAAAGTGGAGGAAGCCACACCTTCAGGTCACTCCAATGAGGAGACTGGAGGGGACAGAGGAGAGAATTCCACGCAGACACAGCAAGTAAGCGTGGCTTGTAAACCTGGGACTTTGGCAGGTGGGGCTGGGAGCTGATGGAATTTGTAAACCAGGCTGTGGTCAAGGGAGGAGGCAGGAGCTGTAAACAAAGGGGCAGTGACCTAGGAAATGAAGGAGATGTGCCTATAAATGGAGTGGGGTCTGGGCCTCCCAGAGAGACGAGTGCTTAAATCCCGAGAGTCCCCACGGGATGGTGGGGAGGAAGGCTGTGGGGAGAGTGTACCCTGCCATGGGGGGCAGGTGCTCCATCTCCACCCTCCAGGGAGTTCTGTGCCCCTTCTCAGGACTTGGCGCTCACTCTTGGATGACCTAGGATGCACCAGCACGTTTAACCCCACCCACACCAGGGACTTTGGATTAGGGTAGAAATTGGGCAATTGGCTCTGCCCCCAGAAACAGGGTGGGGAAAGCAAGTTACAAGATGTTGGTTGCCCTTCCCTGCCAGGCTCATTATCAGGGTCTGTCTGCCCTGAATCTTCCGGGCTCCAGGATCTTCAGTTATAAGAAGGAGGGAGGTATATCCCTATGTTGGAAGATGGTCACCGCCGGCAGGACTCATCTGTGGGAGAGGGGGCAATAATGTTAGAGAATGAGTGAGAGCCTCTGCCTTCTGCCCACCCTTCCCCCCCACACAAATTGAAGGGCAGTTGGCATGCAGGAAGTCCTATAATATCTTCCATATCTAAAGCATGTTACCACCAGTAACCACATCCATCACTCATTTAGCTCGGACTCTGTGCCAGGCATCCTTATAACTGTTTAATCTCACCATAACTCCAGGAGAGATTAAGTAATATGATATCCAGCTGTGGCTCTTGGTGCTTCACAAAAAATTACTTAATCTTGGCCTGGAGCACCTGTAATCCAAGCAATTTGGGAGGCTGAGGCAGGAGGATCACTTGAGGTCAGGAGTTCAAGACCAGCCTGACCAACATGGGGAAACCCTGTCTCTACTAAAAATATAAAAACTAGCCAGGTGTGATGGTACACATCTGTAATCCCAGCTACTAGAGAGGCTGAGGCACAAGAATCGCTTGAATTTGGGAGGCAGAGGTTGCAGTGAGCCAAGGTTGTGCCACTGCATTCCAGTCCAGGCGACAGAGGGAGACGCTGTCTCAAAATAAATAAATAAATAAATAAATAAAATTACTTAATATTTTCTACAAGTCTAGGAGGTAGTTTTTGGTTTCTGTTTTTTTGAGACAGAATTTCACTCTGTCACCCAGGCTGGAGTGTAGTGGCGTCATCTCGGCTCACTGCAACCTCTGCTTCCCGGGTTCAAGTGATTCTCCTGCCTCAGACTCCCGAGTAGCAGGGATTACAGGTGTCCACCTCCATGCCTAGCTAATTTTTGTATTTTTAGTAGAGATGGGTTTTCACTATGTTGGCCAGGCTGGTCTTGAACTTCTGACCTTGAGTGATCCACCTGCCTCGGCCTCCCAAAGTGCTGAGATTACAGGCGTGAGCCACCGTGCCTGGCCTGTTTGTTTCTTTTGAGACAGGTCTTCCTTTGTTGCCCAGGCTGGAGTGCAGTGGGTGGTGCAATATTGGTTCACTGCAGCCTCCAACTCCTGAGGTCAAACGATGCTCCCACCTCAGCCTTCCAAGTACCTGGAACCACAGCTGCGCACTGCCACACCTGGCTAATTTTTTTTTTTTTTTTTGAGACGGAGTCTCACTCTGTTGTCAAGGCTGGAGTGCAGTGGCACGACCTCGGCTCACTGCAAGCTCCGCCTCCCAGGTTCACGCCATTCTCCTGCCTCAGCCTCCCAAGTAGTTGGGACTACAGGTGCCCGCCACCACGCCCAGCTAATTTTTTTTTGTATTTTTAGTAGAGATGGGGTTTCACCGTGTTAGCCAGGATGGTCTCGATCTCCTGACTTCGTGATCCGCCCGCCTCGGCCTCCCAAAGTGCTGGGATCACAGGCGTGAGCCACCGTGCCCGGCCCACACCTGGATAATTTTTCAATTTTTTTGTAGAGACAGGATTTTGCCATGTTGCCCAGGGTGGTCTTGAACTCCTGGGCTCAAGCGATCCACCCGTCTTGGCTTCCCGAAGTGCTGGGATTACAGGCATGAGCCACAGGAGGTAGTTATTATTAACTTCATTTCATAAATAATAAACTAAAGCAAGAGATCAGATGGTTTCCCTGAGATCACACAATTAAAGAGACAAGCTGGAATTCCAACTCAGGCCTGTCGACCCACCCTGTGATTTTGACCAGATTACAGCACTCAGGAAGAGTTCTCGTTTTGAAACCTGAAGACTCAATGTGTACTTCACTGCCGGGGACCTCAGTTTGCCCATCTGTTAAAGGAGCATGTTGAACCAGAGGACCCGCCAAGCCCCTTCCGAGTGCCTACATGTAATCCTCCCTCCTCTCTCCTGGACCACAGCGCCCGCTCTGACAGCAGGGGGCGCCCTCGGGCCGGCGGAGCCTCCGCTTACCCACAATCAGGGCCTTGGTGCGCAGCCCGCCCTGGAGCTCTGGCTGCAGCAGCAGCAGCTCTTCCTCATCCTCTTCGTCGTCGGGTTGGGCTGCTGGAGGGTTGGGGGCACTGGGGACCTCAGGCTCCGGGCCCAGCTCCTCCAGTACCGAACTCTCGGAGGGGTATTGGTACGTGGTCTCCAGGGCTGTCTCGCTGAAGGAGATCTTAAGCTGAAGGAGGGAGAAAAAGGGGGCAGGAGGCAAGGTCAGCAGGGGAGAAGCCCGCGGGGGTTGAGGGAGAGAAAGCGGGGGCGGGGGGGGCGGAGTCTGCAAGGGAGCAGGTGGGACTGGCGGAACGTGGGGGTGGGGGCTGGACTCAGGTGCCCCACTCACTCTCCCCATCCACTCTGGGATCCAGTTTTCCTTTCCATACTGGCTCTCCAATTCTAGAGTTTCCCTCTTCGATCATATCATTTCAAAACATCAGACTTTGCCCTGTACGTTGGCAGGGGCTTGGGAGGCAGAAGTGAATAATATAAGACCAAGGTCCCTGCTATTTCGAGTGTGGGAGGCAGAGGGGTAAAAAGAAATTAAAATACATGGCGATAAGTCTTGTGATCAGAACCGAGTCTTTGGGCACCTTGGGGGCAATCGAGTGAACTTCCCAGAGGAGCCCAGCAGACTGGCCAGTGGGGAAAGAACTGGCTGGGGAGCGAGTCTCAGACAAAAGCAAGGTTTTCATACCCACAGCCCCTTGCTGTCCTATGCAAAACCCAGGACCCTGGGCACCTGTTCCCTCCTACTCTCCTCATTCCTCTCCTATCCATAGCAAAGGGAGTCTAGGGCCTAGGAAGAGATGGGAGATGAACAGAAAGGCCGAGAGGAACCAAGAGACTCCAGCAACACACAGGGGAAAGATGAGCCGCTGACACCCTGAAGGCTGGGGGAGATGACAAGGGCAGAAAGGAAAGTCCACACAAACCTGGGGTGGGGGTCCACAGTGTGCCCAAAGGGACAGGCACAGAGACAAAATACCAGACAGGGCACAGAAAACCCTTGGTAATCACACTGTCCCAAGAGCAGGCGAGTCCCAGCTGTTCTCACTGCCTTTCTACCCTTCCCCTTTGCCCTATTAAGAAGCTCAGGGGGAAGGGGCAGGGTGGGATTAAGTCTAGGAGCCAAAGGGATTAGGGAGACAGCAGGAGGATTCCATATGAACTACTTGGAAAGGTCCAAATGATCTACTCAGGCCTTCCCTGGCATCTGTTTGGGAAGACTTGGGGTCAGCCGTACATCCCTGAGTCCCCTAATGAACTGAGGTATGAAAAGAGAGAAGCCAGAAGGGTGGCTGGGCAGGTGGTTGTTAAGAGCTGCATCAATATGACACCAGTCAGGCATGGTGGCTCACACCTGTAGCCCCAGCACTTTGGGAGGTTGAGGCGGGAGGATTTCTTGAGCCCAGGAGTTCGAGACCAGCCTGGGCAATAGAGTGACACTGTCTCTAAAAAAGAAAAAAAAAGAAAACCAGATATGACACCTGGGTCCCCATGGGAAGGTAGAACTCAGGAACTGTATATGTTACTCCTTGTTGGCTCTGAACCCTGCAGTGTCTCCCCATCTCACTTGGAGCAAAAAGTCTACTCCAGGCTGGGCGCGGTGGTTCATGCCTATAATCCCAGAACTTTGGGAGGCCGAGGCGGGCGGATCACAAGGTCAAGAGATTGAGACCATCCTGGCCAACATGGTGAAACCTGTCTCTACTAAAAATACAAAAAAATTAGCTGGGCATGGTGGCGTGCACCTGTAGTCCCAGCTACTCGAGAGGACGAGGCAGGAGAATTGCTTGAACCCGGGAGGCGGAGGTTGCAGTGAGCCGAGGTCGCGCCACTGCTCTACGGCTTGGGCAACAGAGCAAGACTCTGTCTCAAAAAAAAAAAAAAAAAAAAGTCTACTTGATTGCCCCCAAGGTGCCCAGAGCCTGACCAAAGCCTACAGGGTGCTCCCAGTATGCCACCCTCCCCTTGCCTCTCTGGCCTCTTCCTCCACTCCAGCCACACTGGCCTTGGTTCCCTCCACGCACTCCTACCTCAGGACCAGAACAGTACTAGCTATTCCTTCTGCCTGGAACACTCCCCCAAAATATCCCCATGGCTCTGACCCTCCTGATCACCCTATTTTGAAGTCTCCATATTCACTCCCCCTACCTCCTGACCCTCTAAGTTCCACTGTTCTATTTTTTTTTCCATAATCACTTACCACCTTCTAACTTACTAGATAATTTACTAATATATTATACTCATGTCTGCTGTTGAAAGGAGCTTGGGGCCGGGTAAGGTGGCTCACCCCTGTAATCCCAGCACTTTGGGAGGCCAAGACAGGTGGATCACTTGAGGTCAGGAGTTCGAGACCAGCCTGGCTAACATGGTGAAACCCCGTCTCTACTAAAAATACTAAAATTAGCCGGGTATGGTGGCGTGCGCCTGTAATTCCAGCTACTCAGGAGGCTGAGGCTGGAGAATCACTTGAACCCGGGAGGTGGAGGTTGCAGTGAGCCGAAATCTCACCATTGAACTCCAGGCTGGGAGACAGCGAGACTGTCTCAGAAAAAAAAAAGAAAAGAAAAGAAAAAAGAAAGGAGCTTAGAAGTTGGTACAATGCAAGAGGTTAGGGTTTGTTCAGACCTCACATGAGGTGCCATCAGAGGACCAATGCTGGGGAAACGATCTGCGGGTGGTCCAGCCTGTACACATTTGACCCCCAGTTCATGTCTGTGGAACTGCTGGTAGAATCTAGTGACAGCAGCCAGACTGCTTATATCCCAAGTTCTCAGAAGGGACCGCTTAGGTTTCTGTAACTGACAGATTTACCCACATTTCTGGGAACCCATTTTTGTTTTCTTCTCATATCCTCTTTTGGAATAATAACCTCTGTACTTTATTTTCTACTCTGAAAATGACTTATTTTATTTGCTCTCGGTCTATGTTTATATCTCCCCCCCTACCCTGCCTGTCTCCTCACCCCCCACCAACTTCTGACTGGGCTTCTCAGAAATGCACAGCCTGCATGGGAGTGGGGGGGTAGAGAGGGGGTGACTCACTCGCTCCTCTCCCATCAGCTATATAAGGTCACAATGGGGCTGGTCTCTCAGCCCAACCAAGAGGCCTCTGGGGTAGGGCACCAGCCACAGCCATCCCCTGGGCTCCAGTGGCAGGGCTGGGATTTCTCTCCTGATGGCAGGGATAAATTTGATGGAATTAGCCTGCAAACGAGTTATTTAGGGAAGGTGAAGCGGGGGTTGGTGGCAGGGTCCTCCTATCTCCTATTCCTGAGCCAGTGTGTTGCAGCAGAGCTGGGACAAGGCACCCAGTCCCTGAAGAACAGGTTGCTGACAGGGGGTAGAGGGTGGAGGGTGAGGCGTCTGGGTCAGAGGAACTCTGTGCTGCCTCCTCCCCACCCCCACCCAAGCAGCGGCTGCTTCCTTATTCTCTCACCACATCCTGAGCACAGATCTGGCAGGCCCAGGGCCCAGGGCCCAGGGTTCCCCACTCAGCCCCACCAGCCTTCCGGCCCCCACCCCAGGCTTCCTGTTTGGGCGATCTGCTTCCGGCTCCCCTGCTCTCTGGCCTAGGTATGGTCACCAGCACAGGTCCTGCCCTGCACTTGCTTCCTGGCTCCCCTGGGATGCTCCCTGGGCTTTGGGCCCCAAAGCTTCATGCTTCCCTCTGCTCATTCTTCCCCAGAGGCACAAGCCTCTCTCAGTAGGAAGTGACTTTTCTGAACACCTCACCCGGGTAGCATTTCCGGACTTCTGTTTTTTTCATCTGCCCAGCCCTGAGGGGAACAGGCTGGTAGCAGTCAGAGGGCTGAGGGTAGGTTCCCAAGAACCATGGCTTAGAGGTGGGAGCTTACGCTTCATGTGAAGATGAATTGGGGGATCAAATGAACCCCCCTCCACCCAAGGCTTAACCCGTATCTTTAGTCCCTGTGGTTCCCCACTGACACTGAGGACACAAAAAAATCAAATCTGAGGATGTTAACACATGGGATGAGAATGAGACTGGGCTTCCCAGGCTCTGGGGAGATGTGTGTGACTGGAGGGACTTCCTAAGTCTGAGATGTCTGAGTGTGGGACCTCTGTCTCCCTAGAGATTTTCAAGCTGGAAACAGATGGATGTGCACAGGGAAGAAGTGAGGCCAGGGCCAGGGGGAGTCATCCTGGCTGCCCCCACTTTCCTGCAGGTCTTTGTTGCAAGTCTAACCTCTGACCCTCTGCTGGCCTCAGCCCCAACCCCTGTCCAGAACTCCCACTGTGCTCCCTGGCCAGTGCCTGTTCTCAAAACTGTCTCCAAATTCACTTCTCTCTTTTGCTACCCTAAGGGGAGGGAAAGTCCAGGATGGCAGGAAAAGAGGGGAAAACCGATCCCTGAGCCAGTTCTTGGGAGGGAGGGGAAACCCAGGGAGGAAGGACAGGGGAGTGAGGGGCGGGGGTATTTTGGAAGAGGAGAAGGCTTTTCTTGTCCCAAGAGAGAAGGGAGCACTGTCTGAAGCAGTGGCCCAGCTGGGGGTGTGCAACCCCGAGGTCACCCACTTCAAATGGCCTCTCTGTGTCTCTCCCATGGGGCAGACTCGGGGTTCAAAAGCCTTCTCTCTGCTCTTTGGCCGGCCCGGTTCCATCTCCCCTCTCCCCTCCATCCTAGGATGTCCCTATTCAGCTCTGCCCTCCTTCCCACGGGGCAGTTGGACCTTTCTCCATTCACTTCTCCCTGCAGTTTCTCCCTAGAACACAAACCCACCCCACCCCCTCCACCACCCCAGGCTCCCTATCCCTTCTCCCCAGAAAAACTGCAAGTGCTCTCACCCTGGTGACCCTGCCCTCACTGATTCAAGCTCGTCACTTTAGGCTCTCCCACTGGATGGGCTGGGGCAGGTCACACTCAGGAAAGGAAGGAAAGAAAAGGGGGTTGGAAACTCAGAGCCCAAGGGAAGGGAGAATGAGCAGCCTGGCACACCCTGAAAGAGACACACCCAGAGACAGCCTTTGCTGGGGCAGGATCTTTTGGGCTCAAAATGGAAAAGGAGGGCTCTGAGAAGGAAGGGTGTATGTGCAGAGCGAGGAAGGGTGGTGGCAGGAATTAACAAGAAAGAATAGAGGAAGACAAGAAAACAGGGGTATAAAAAAGAAAGAGACCAGAGTCCAGAGAAAATTGACAAGTGGACTTCTAAGAAGTCTGGCTTGGCTGCTTCCCTACCTGTTTGTGGTGTCTTTCGGGGGACCCCTTGGCAAGGCAGCTGCGGCTGAGACGGAGGTAGCCCCCCAGAACCAAGATCTCCTCGGCAGTTGGGTACCGCTTCTTCCCAGCCCCCGGGACTGCAGCATCAACTGTGGCTGGAGAGGTTGGGGTGGCTGGGGTCGCAGGGGGCACAGACCGCCGGGGGTTGACGGTGAAGGTGTGTCCACTGCGGCGGGGGGCCCCCACCCCTGGCCCTGCCTTCACCCCATAGAACAGGCGGCTCATGAGGGGATCCCCAGGAGGTTGGGGGGCAGTTGGGGCTGGGGGTGGGGGAGACAGAGGGGCTGGTGGTGGGGGCTGGAGCTCCACTGCTTCCTCTTCCTGCTGTCTCAGGCCTCCAGTCCCAGCGTCCTCTGGTGGGAGGGGGGAGGGCACAGAGCAGCAGTTCTGCAGGGCTCTCAGAGGCCTGCCCTGAGCCCCCGCCTCCTCCTTCTCAGCCTCCCCTTCTCCAGCCTCCACACCGGGAGATTCCAGAAGCTTCTCTGCTGACTCTGGAGGTTCTGGTTTCTGAGTTTGAGCCTCTATGTCCCTGGGTGTCCATTCTCGAGCCTTCCCGGAGTTCAGGGTCCATTTCCACCCTTCTGTTGGCTTCATGCCCCTCTCGCCATCTTCCACAGGCCTCTGCTCTGCTGCCTCCACTCCTGCGGAACTGTTGCCTTGGGCCTCCCTTGTCAGGGTCTCGGACAGCTCTGCAGTCTCTTTTGGAGCTACCCCTGGAACTGGCCACTCTTCTTTTCTCCCACATTCTTCCGAGTAGTCTTGTCTTTCTTCTCCTGACCTCAGCCTCCACTCTGTTGCCTCCAGTTGTACCAAACTCTGTTCCTGAGACTCTCTGGAGTCAGGTCTCCATTTATGGGCCTCTGTCAGGCCCAACTTCTGGTAGGCAGATTCCCCTGGGCTCAGTCCACTTTCCACCTCTTTTCTCCTGGGGCTTTGCTCTCGAGACTCTGCTAGTCTCAGACTCCGCTCTGGAGTTTCTCCAGGACTCAGCCTCCATTTCCATGCCTCTGACAGTCGGGAGCTCCTGTCTCCCACCTCTCCTGGGCTTTGCCTCCAGTCCCGAGCCTCCAGAGGCCTCAGGCTCAACTCTTGGGCTCCCCCTATCCCCAGCCTCCTCTCTCTGGTCTCCCTCGGACTTAGTCTCTCTTCTCTTGACTCTCTTCCCTTGGGGCTCTGATCCCGCATCTCCCCAGGGCTGGGTCTCCGCTCCCGGGCCTCCAGAGGCCCAGGCTTTCTCTCTGCTAGCAGCTCTTCACTCCGTTGTTGTTGCTGCTGCTGCTGCTGCCGCTCCTGCCGGATGAATCGGTTCTGGTGCACTGGCCCGATGGCCTCCAGAAGGACCGCAGACTCATCCGGGTCTGGAGGTCCAGCCTCTACAGTCCCTAGCACAGGGCTAGGCTCCCCAGGGGACAGCCCAAGCTTGGCCCGGCGGCGCTCCAGGAGCCCTCGTTTCCAGGCTGGCATCTGGGACAGGCGCTCCCGTTCTGCTTTCTCTCGGCCTCGAACGGACGCCTCCTCCTGCCGGCGCCGGGCTAGCAGCTGTAGCTTCCAGTCTGGGATGGTGGCCATGGTCGTCTTGAGGTGAGGGTAGGGAGCACTGGGGACAGAGAACAGGAAGGAGAGGCTCCAGAGAGTGAGACAGCCCGGGGGTGAGACTGAGGGTGGGAGGAGAGGAAGTGGAGGGGGAGAGGTGGGACACAAAGCAGGGCAGAGGGGCTAAGGATGAGGACAGAGGGAAAGACGGAAGGCAGAGAACTGGGGAAATGGAAAAAGTGAAGAGAAGTTGTGAGCCCAAGTTGGGGGTGGTGGGGGTGATGTGAGAGGAAGAGTCCGGATTGGAGGCAATGAGGGCAGGAGCCAGATGTGGCAGCACAGGGTTAATGCGTATTAAAGACCGTCTCTAGGATGTGAGAAAGAGAGAGAAGGGCGAAAAGGAAAGTTGGCGTGAGGGAGAAGAGAGAAATGTGGCAGGGGTGAGGGGAACCTGGGTGCAGGCCAGGCTGCCTCAGCGATACCCCAGGGAGGCTAGTGTGGGAAGGAAGGACCAGGAATCCCTGAAAGGACCAGGAGGCAACGGGACCTGAGGGGGTGTTGGGGAGGCAAGGAGGGGCGGAGAGCGAACAGGTCTAGAGGAGAAGGGAAACCAGGGAAGAGGGGAAAGGAGGGCGGCGGCAGCAGCCGGGCGCGTCTCAGCGCGGGCCCCAAAGGTCCCGGCTCCGCTTCCAGCACCGCTCGGGCCACGCCTCTCCCCAGCCCCCACCCCTCTGCCCCGCACTCCGCCCCCGAGGCGGGTCGGGGGAAATACCCACCCCCGAGACTTTCGGAACCCGGGCGTCAGGGCTGCCAGCGCGTTCCCAGAACCCTGGCGTCCACCCCCACCCTGTCCTGTCACCACCGCCTGCCTCCCCCACCGACTGCCCCACGCGACCCCAGAGTGCCAAGGGCCGGCTCCATGTCTCTTCTCCCCGGCGCCTGCAAGTCCTGCGCCCCGTCCCCGCTCTCATGAAGCCGTGACAGAGCCGGCCGTCTCCACCCCGCTGTAGCCGCACAGACTGACAATCTCGGCACAAAGAGGAGACAGCCAAGGTCCGGGCCAGGGACGGGAGCAAGGACAGGGGCGAGGAGACACCCACTCCCCAAGTCTGAGCCCCTCAGTCAACTCACAGGCCGCGGGACCCCCGGGGGAGGGGGTGCGGAGGAGCCGGGCGTCCAGAGAGAGGAAGAGGAGGAGAGAGGGACCGAGGGAGATCCGGAGACTGGAGGGAGGGGAGGAGGGAGGGAGAGGAGGAGGGAAAGAGGCAGCAAAGGAGGAGGGACGGAGACAGAGACCAGGGGGCCGGGCGGGGGCGGCGACCGCTTTGTCTAAGGACAATGAGGAGAGGGAAGGGGGCGCAGGGCGGAGCCGAGGAGAGGGCGGGGCCTAGATCCCTCCCACCCCGCGTGGGACTCGCTGCGGGACTGCCCTCTTCTCGCCCCAACCACTGGTCCTCCGCTCTGTCCCCAGGGGCCCTCACCAGCTTCCCGCCCGGACACGCCAGGTGTCCAGATCCCTTCCCCCAGCTCGCCGACCCAGGGCGGTGGCCCGTGACTCAGGCCCCTCGTGGGACTTTGGGAGGAAGCGGCAGCTGCTCCGAGCGGGGCCCGCCCTTCCCATCTCCTGCCGCTCCTCCCTACGCTTTTGCCTTCTCATCTGGGTCTGTAGGTCCAGCCTCTGAAGTCCTTTGTTTTGCGGGGTCGAGGGCAGCCGCCAGGCTGTGGGGGGCTTTGTGGATGGGCGGCAGGAGAGGCGCTCAGAAGCCAGAGGTTTTGGATGCTCCCTCCCCTACCAGAGCTGCTGCCCCGACTCTTTCTAGCTTCAACCTGTCTCCCTTGGGTCTACAGGTCGGCTGCCGGGAAAAAGGGGATTTGAAGGAATGGGAATGGGGACCCGGCCGCTCTGGCAAAGTGGGGGCGGGTCTGCGGGGGTGGCCGAACCCCAGCGGTTGCCAGAGGGCGTGGTGGCTGCCCAGACTCCAGTTCGGTGCTCCCAGGCTCCCTCTGGCTTTCTTTCCCAAACTCAGCCCTGTAGCTTGGGAGACACTGACAGACTGCATGCCATATGTAGAAAAAGGCTGACTTTTATTTTCCTGCAGAGCATCTTCCTCGGGAGAGCAGGGAGCCCCAAGTCATCGAGTTAAGAGCAGGAGAATCCCCTTGACTAGGTTGGGGTCTGAGCCCAGAGGCAGGGCCTAAGGAGGTGCAGAGACTAGGGCCGGGAGTGGTGAGGCAAGGTTGGGGCCTGGAGGGACAGCTATGACCGTTGAACTTGCAGACCCTGGTCCACCTTCTTGGAGTGGAAGCCAGCGGTGCAGAAGGGGACCCCTGAGGCGCAGAGGCAAGTAACAGTGCCAGGGGAGTGGTCAGGGCAGATCCTTTCCTTCTCAGGAGGCTGTTGAGGGGGAGAGTGTCATGCTCTAAACAGTGAAGGGACAGATGACTTCCATACCCCACTCTTCCTTGCTGGTGAGAAGTGGACCTTGGAGTTCAGTGGCTGAAACTCAGAATTTAGGGTATGGAGCTGGACCCAGAGAATAAAGTCTCAAGTAGTAGAAGGGGCATCTCCTTCAGTCCATGGATTTGGGCCTCTGGCATGAAGCAGCCAGGGCCTGGATGTTAAGGATTTAGAATTCAGTGGGAGAGGAAGAACAGGGCTTGTAACCAGAGTGAGCTCCTCACTCTGCCTCCCCATCCTGGGGCCGAGAGAGCAGGTGGAGTTTTCTTTGTAGCTGGGCCCGGAGGTAGCGGAGGTCTTGCTGATCAAGCCCGTGAGCCAGGCCCAGGTAGAGGGTAAGGAGGAAAGCAAGGAGGAGACGGTCCGTGCCCAGGGTAGGCACCACCCACAGCACTGTCAGCAGCTCCACACACACTGGGTGGCGCAGGTGGGAGAAGAGTCTGAGAGCCCGGGGAGACTTCAGGGCCAGAGGCTCGCCCAGCCCCAGCACATGGTAGTATACCTAAGAGAGGGAGAAGAGCTTAGAAATGGAGTCAAGCCCTTTTCTCATCTTGGGCACTTCTTTCCTCCTCTTCCAGGCACCACCCTTCTAGAACTCAGGCCCAGGAACCCCCCTTCTGAGACTTGGATCCCTGATCCTGACTTCTGATCCATGTACCTTCCCCAGGCCCAGGAGGCCCATGCTTGCTGCCCTTACGAGGGAAAGTCAAAGGGAAGGGCCACGAGGGAGAAGCAGGGAGACAGTAGAAGAGCATGGGAGGAGGGAAACCCTTGAAAGGGAACGAGGAGTTCTAAAACGGGTCAGAGGTCATAGGTAGGGATCTCGGAGCCTCACCTGTTTGAGGCCCATGAGCTCAGCATAGTCAAAGACGAGAAGGATGCTAAAGATGAGGAGCCAGGAGATGACATGGAGCACAAAGCAGAGGAGCGGCACCCAGGTGGCCCATGGCTCAGCCCGAGCCTCCCACAACACAGGGCCTTTGGGTATGGGCTCCCAGTACCGCATCACCAGCTGTGGAAGGATAAGGGGCTGGGTATCCCAGTGGCCTAGTCTGCCCGACCTTGGGAGACCCAGACCCAGATCTGCCCCCACCACAGGCTAGCCTGCAACTCTCCCCCACCTCTCTCCTAAGCATCACCACCAAATATTCACCATGTGGAGGGTGCGTGCTGGGTGAGGTCCCAAAGATGTAAGGATGGCCTGTCTCTACCCTGAGAACTTATAGAATAGATGGGGTGACCTGATAGCTACGCAAAGTAGTAGCCTGTGCCAACCACCCAGTGAAAAGACAGACAAGGCCTTCTCTTCAGACCTAGGGAAGTGGTTTTGAAGAAAGGGTAGGACTGAAGAGAAGGGATCTCAAGCAGGACATAAACAAAGTTGCAGAGGTGAGAAGCATATCTTGTGCTTAGGGAAGGACAAGTACACCCTTCTTGATAAAAAGTAGGATATGTGCTGTGGAGGAATGGAAGCTGAGATTAGTTCCTCAATTCTCCTCCTGAACCCATATTTTGCCCCTCCAATCCACGGCACCCCTCCCACACTTGGTCTCCCTTGGGGACTCAACTGCCAGGATTTCATACCTGCAAGGCCAGGGCCTCATACCTGCAAGGCCAGGGCAGTGCAGGCCACATACAGTGACCTCTGAAGGACCCCAAAGTACCGGGATGTCCATGCCTTCACTCTTTCAGCTGCCATGAGGCTGTGCTGCCCAACAAATAGAAGCAGGAGCCCCAGATCCCATGCCAGGGGGGCAAGGATGCTGCGGTCCTGCAGGGCAGCCAGCCATCCCTGGCGGGCATCTACAGGAAGTTGAGGGAAAAAGAGACAAAAGATCGAAACAGTGGCAGAATGTTTCCCCCACCCTCATCTCCTCTTGGATCCCCAGGCCATGTCCCTTACTGCTTTCAAGAGCCTTAATGCTTCCTCTCTAGGCTGTGCCCATCTCACTTTTCCATCCCTAGTTTCTGCCCTCTTCCCTAGGCCTCCTGCAAACCTGGGGAAGAGGATTTATAGAACAACACATGTTAGGCAGTTGCAAAAAGCATGGCTGGAGAGGCCACGCTGGATTGCCCCTCTTACTTCGGTTCTCCAAATGCTCCTTCTTTTTAACACTCTCCTCTCAACAGTCCTCTCTACAAAACACTTTACTTAGAATACTCCGGTCACCGCCCTTTTCGGCTCCCTCAGTCCTCACTCTCCCGCCTCTCCAAAACTCTAATCCTTGAGTTCCTAATTTAGAACTCAGGTCTCCCTCCCCTGTAGCTTCTCGGCCGCTTTCAAGGTTCGAGTTCCCTCTCTTGGACTTCCCCTGTCATTTGTTTCCAAGCCCCGCCCTCAATCCCTCTCCTACGGCTCCACCTTCCTCCTCCCAGTTCATCCTCGATCCCTCCCGCTCACCCGGACCACCAGACTCCGGGATCCCTCCAAGAAGTGGCCGAAGGGAGGTAAAGCGCACGAACTCCACTCCGGTGCCAAAGGCCAGGATGAAAGAGGCGAGGGCAGCAGGGATCAGGAGCAGTGCAGGGGCCATGGCGAGAAATGGAGGGGTGGGGAAAGGGGCGGGGTCGGGATTCCCGCTGCCACAGGCCCCGCCCGCGGCCCCGCCCCCGGCTGAATCCAGCCCAGGAGGGCGGGGCTCCTGCACGCCACCGCCAGGCTTCCGGCCCGCCTGGCGCAGCCTTCCCCATCCAGCTGTGGATCCGTCCTGGGATGCGTGTCCCGGCCTGCTGTCTCTCCGTCACAGAAGGGAATGTTAGAATCCCGAGAGAGAGCTGTTAAGGGTAGCGGCTCTGCAGCCGCTCACGTGGGTTGAATCTCAGCTCGTCTAGTTTTCCCATCTAAAATGAAAAGTTACTGTTTTACCACAAAATAAATTAATGTATGGAATACATTGTACAGAATACAATATACAGAATAAATTCTGTAACTTACTATAAAGTTGAGTTGTTGACTGGCCAGTTGCTAAGAATGGCAAATAACTTCTCTGTAAATACTGAAAGGTTTGTTGTAATAGTGCCAGAGATTGTTGATTAGTAACCACGAGAATAAACATGTTAAAATATTTGTGATAGTAACCTTTGTCAGAATTAAAGATCATGCAGCTAAGGACCTTGTCACAGTAGACGTACACATAGTAGGGACCTTAGATATCATTAGACTAATTCCATCAACTTATAGATAGAAGAAACAGGTCCAGAGAGATAATTGCCTGAGTTAGGAAGCTGCTAATCCTGTAGGCTAAGGGACCAGATAATTGCTGAGCAGCCTCTCGCAGGCTTTACATTCCTTCTCCGTCTCCTGGGCTCAGTACTCCCACCCTCCTCTGAATCAATGCTGTTGTATGCTGTACCAGACATCTTATGTTTTCCCTTGAATTCAGTCTCCACCCTGCTTTCTGCTTCAGTAAGTTGTCCCAAATGGACGGTATCAATGAAAGTCACAGTTTTTATTGAGAAAGTCCTCTCGCCGGGCGCGGTGGCTCACGCCTGTAATCCCAGCAGTTTGGGAGGCCGAGGCGGGTGGATCACGAGGTCAGGAGATCGAGACCACGGTGAAACCCCGTCTCTACTAAAAATACAAAAAAAATTAGCCGGGCGCGGTGGCGGGCGCTTGTAGTCACAGCTGCTCAGGAGGCTGAGGCAGAAGAATGGCG
Organism: Homo sapiens; assembly: GCF_000001405.40. NCBI lineage: Eukaryota > Metazoa > Chordata > Mammalia > Primates > Hominidae > Homo > Homo sapiens. Next base: position 1,947,211 of record NT_167248.2, read on the forward strand.
TGAACCCGGGAGGCAGAGCTTGCAGTGAGCCGAGATCGCGCCACTGCACTCCAGCCTGGGCGACAGAGCAAGACTCCATCTCAAAAAAAAAAAAAAAAAAAAAGAAAAGAAAAAAAAAAAAAGAAAGTCCTCTCTACACGACTGCTCTGTCCTCATCTTTTTGAGCTTGGAGGTGATCACAACAGAGCTGTGGGTACTAAGGCACTGCACTATTCTTTCTGATTTCCCTACACCCTGCCTACTTCTTTGTAATTATCACTTTATTAAACTCTCCCCCAAATTATCCTAATTTCACTGTGCTATTCATTTCCTGCTAGGACCATGAATAGAGACACTTACCACACAAAGCAATGTGCTACAAGCTATGGGGTTCATTGGAAGTGTAAGAGGCCAGACTCGGTGGCTCACGCCTGTAATCCCAGCAATTCGGGAGGCTGAGGTGGGTGGATCACTTTAGACCAGAAGCTGGAGACCAGAATGGCCAACGTGGTGAAACCCCATTTCTACTAAAAAATTTTAAAAATTAGCTGGGTGTGGTGGTATGCGCCTGTAATCCCAGCTACTTGGGAGGCTGAGGCAGGAGAATCCACTGGGTGATGGAGCAAGATTCTGTCTCAAACAAAAAAATAAATAAATAAAATACAAGGAAGTGTAAGAAAAGATCCCTAATCTCTAGATGTTTAACCTGAGGCATTTAAATAGTACCACTCATGAAGAGGGAGTGTAGCTGAGTGCTACATGGTGCTCTACAGACAGCAGGTATGGTAAGAAATCAAGGTCTCTGGCTGGGCGCAGTGGCTCACAGCTGTAATCCCAGCACTTGGGAGGCCGAGGCAGTTGGATCATCTGAGGTCAGGAGTTTGAGACCAGCCTGGCCAACATGGTGAAACCTCGTCTCCACTTAAAAGACAAAAATTAGCCAGGTGTGGTGGCAGGAGCCTGTAATCCCAGCTTCTCGGGAGGCTGAGGCAGGAGAATCGCTTGAACCCGGGAGGTGGAGGTTGCGATAAGCTGAGATCTCGCCACTGGACTCCAGCCTGGGTGACAGAGTGAGACTCCGTCTCAAAAAAAAAAAAAAGGAGCTGGGCGCGGTGGCTCATGCCTGTTATCCCAGCACTATGGGAGGCCTAGGTGGGTGGATCACGAGGTCAGGGGTTAGAGACCAGCCTGACCAACATGGCGAAACCCCGTCTCTACTAAAAATACAAAAATTAGCCGGGTGTGGTGGCACACACCTGTAGTCCCAACTACTTGGGAGGCTGAGGCAGGAGAATTGCTTGAACCTGGGAGGCGGAGGTTGCAGTAAGCCGAGATCGCGCCACTGCACTCCAGCCTGGGCAACAGAACAAGACTCCATCTCAACAACAACAACAAAAAAAAAAGGAGCCGGGTGCAGTGGCTCACGCCTGTAATCCCAGCACTTTGCGAGGCCAAGGTGGGTGGATCACCTGAGGTCGGGAGTTCGAGACCAGCCTGACCAACATGGAGAAACCCTGTCTCTACCAAAAATACAAAATTAGCTGGGCGTGGTGGTGCATGCCTGTAATCCCAGCTACTCAGAAAGCTGAGGCAGGAGAATCACTTGAACCCGAGAGGCGGAGGCTGCAGTGAGCCGAGATCACGCCATTGAACCCAGCCTGGGCAACAAGAGTGAAACTCTGTCTCAAAAAAAAAAAAAAAAAAAATGGAAAGAAAGAAATCAGGGCCTCCGGGACATGGACAATTTTAGAGTATGAAAGCTTTGAGTTGTGCAAGGGGACTAATATTTATCTGGGTCATACTGTCTGCCACCCCCACAATGGCTGTGCTTAATGTATATTATGAGATTAGATATGTTTAATAGCCAGCAAAATGCTTGGCAAATCTCATGCTATTTCTACTACACCAAAGTTTTCCAAACTTAAGTATTACTTACATGCAGAAAAGTGTACATAAGTAATCAACTATTTTTTAAAAATTGAAATTCATGCAACATAAAATTAACCTTTTTTTTTTTTGAGTTGCGGTCCAGGCTGGAGTGCAGTGGTATGATCACAGCTCACTGCAACCTCGAACTTCTGGGCAAATGGTCCTCTTGCCTCAGCCTCCTGAGTAGTTGGGACTACAGGCATGCGCCACCACATTCAGCTAACTTTTTATTTTTTGTAGTGATGGGGTCTCACTATGATACCCAGGTTGGTCTCAAACTCCTTGGCTCAAGTGATCCTGCTGCCTTAGCCTCCCAGGGTGCCACCATGCCTTGCCTAACCACTTTATTGTATTTATTTATTTATTTATTTTTGAGACAGAGTTTCGCTCTTATTGCCCAGGCTGGAGTGCAATGGCGCGATCTTGGCTCACTGCAACCTCCGCCTCTTGGGTTCATGTGATTCTCCTGCCTCAGCCTCCCAAGTAGCTGGGATTACAGGCGCCCACCACCACATCTGGCCAATTTTTGTATTTTTAATAGAGATAGGGTTTCACCATGTTGGCCAGGCTAGTCTCAATCAAACTCCTGACCTCAGGTGATCCACCCACCTTGGCCTCCCACAGTGCTGGGATTACAGGCGTGAGCCACCACACCCGGCCTAGCCTAACCACTTTAAAGAGAATAATATAATGGTATTTAGTACATTAGTATATTAGTAATAGGTACAACCACCACCTCTATCTAATTTCAAAACATTTTTTTTTTGAGATGGAGCTTTGCTCTTATTGCCCATGCTGGAGTGCAATGGCTGATCTCCGCTCACTGCAACCTCTGCCACCCAGGTTCAAGCAATTCTCCTGCTCAGCCTCCCAAGTAGCTGGGATTACAGGCATGTGCCACCACGCCTGGCTAATTTTGTATTTTTAGTAGTGACAGGGTTTCACCATGTTGGTCCAGCTAGTCTCGAACTCCTGACCTCAAGTGATCCACCTGCCCCAGCCTCCCAAAGTGCTGGGATTACAGGCATGAGCCACCACGCTGGGCCTTCAAAACATTTTCATCACCCCCAAATAAAACTCCATACCCATGAAGTTACTCCCCATTTTCTCATCTCCCCCACCCCACAGCCACTGGCAACCACAAATCTGCTCTTGTTCTCTATGGGTTTACCTATTCTGGATATTCCTTACATGTGTAATCACATAATATGTGTTCTGTTTCTGGCTTTCCTTCACTTAGCAAAATATTTTGATATTCATCCTCAAAATATTGTAGCATATATCAGTATTTCATCCTTTTCTATGGTTGAATAATATTTGATTATATGGATATATCACAATTGTTTATCCACTCATTTGCTGATGAATATTTGTGTTGTTTCCACCTTTTTGGCTATTGTAAAAAGTGCTGATATGAACACTCACGTACAAGAATTTGTTTGAATAACTGTTTTCTTTTCCTTTTTTTTTTTTTTTTTTGGAGACAGAGTCGTGCTCTGTTACCCAGGCTGGAATGTAGTTGCACAATCATGGCTCATTGCAGCCTTGACCTCCTCCCACCTCAGCATTCCAAGTAGCTGGGATTACAGGCATGTGCCACCACACCTGGCTAAATTTTTTTTTTTTTTTTGAGAGAGAGTCTTTCTCTGTCACCCAGGCTGGAGTGCAGTGGCATGATCTCAGCTCACTGCAACCTCTGCTTCCCGGGTTCACGTGATTCTGCAGCCTCAGCCTCCCCAGTAGCTGGGATTACAGCCACATGCCACCATGCCCAGCTAATTTTTTTATTATTATTATTATTATTTTTTGAGACAGAGTCTCCCTCTATAGCCAGGCTCGAGTGCAGTGGCATGATCTTGGCTCACTGCAAACTCTGACTCTCTGGTTCAAGTGATTCTTCTGCCTCAGCCTCACGAGTAGCTGGGACTACAGGCGCACGCCACCACGCCCAGCTAATTTTTGTATTTTTAGTAGAGAGGGGGTTTCACCATGTTGGACAGGATGGTCTTGATCTCCTGACCTCATGATCCACCCGCCTCAGCCTCCCAAAGTGTTGGGATTACAGGCGTGAGCCACCAGGCCCAGTTAATTTTTTTTTTTTTTTAGACGGAGTTTTGCTCTTGTTGCAACGGCATGATCTTGGCTCACCACAATCTCCACCTCCCAGGTTCAAGTGATTCTCCTGCCTCAGCCTCCGGAGTAGCTGGGATTACCGGCATGCACCACCACGCCCAGCTAATTTTGTATTTTTTAGTAGAGACGGGTTTCTCCATGTTGGTCAGGCTGGTATCGAACTCCTGACCTCAGGTGATCCAACCACCTTCGGCCTCCCAAAATGCTGGGATTACAGGCATGAGCCACCACACCCGGCTAATTTTTGTATTTTTTAGTAGAGATGGGGTTTTGCCATGTTGGCCAGGCTCGTCTTGAACTCCTGACCTCAGGTGATCTACCCACCTTGCCTCCCAAAGTGCTAGGATTATAGGCGTGAGCCACCGCACCTAGCCCATTTTTGTATTTTTTGTAGTGACAGGGTTTTGCCATGTTGCCCAGACTGGTTGCCCGTGAAGTCCTGGGCTCATGCAATCCTCCCACTTTGGCCTCCCAAACTGCTGGGATTATAGGCATAAGCCACCCCACCCAGCCTGGACACCTGATTTAAATTCTTTTGGGTGTACACCTAGGAGCAGAATTGCTGGACTGTTCGGTAATTCCGTATTTAACTTTCTTTTTTTTCCTCCAATTTGAGAGCAGGTACTGCTTAAGTGCTTAGATTAGAAAAACAATCACAGTAGACACCTTAGCTCATTCTTCTAATAAGTCTGTTGATCCGGTTCTCCCTGTTGCCAGCATGTCCACTTTCTACAAAATGGGTGGTCTTTTTCTTTACTCTACCTTGTGGAGAGGATAATTTGAAGGGCTACAGGAAGTTATTTGCTTCTTTGAAGCATTTTCCAACAGTATAGATCTCAAGAATCAGATCCTCCATGCAGGTGATGCCATATTTACCAAGAGATAAAGCAATCAAAGTGTCATCTGTCAAAGCAATTTGCTTCTTATTGATTTTTGCCATAACCATGCTGGTAGATTAGTTCATTTACTGACTTCAGCTTTGGGTACCCCCATGCCATATATGGTTCTACAATCCTCAGCATGTTCATTGAAGCCTTGTTGAGCTTCACAAAGGTTCCACTGAAGATTTAACAAAGGCGAAGAAGCTGCAACACCTTTCGGACCTTTGGGTTCACACCACTGATACCTCTGATCCTGATGACAAACGGCAATTTGGGTTTTGCAGGTACATAGAAGTTGCCAGCTTTTCTGGCCATCCTAGCCATTCGAATTTCAGTTCTGTACATCTGCCTATATTCCTTGTGATAGTGCTTCACTTTTTCATAGATAAGCTTCCTCCTTGCCTTTTGAATCATCTTTTGGGCAAATTTCTTTCTCGGGCCTTTGATCTTCAGCTCTGGGAAATTCCTTCGCTTTTTAAGGGTTTCTGGCATAGCAAGAACCTCCTTCTTTTTCTCTCTCTTTTTTTTTTTAAGACGGGGTCTTGCTCTGTCTCCCATGCTGGAGTGCAATGGTGCGATCTCGACTCAATGCAACCTCCCCCTCCTGCATTCAAGCAATTCTCCTGCCTCAGCCTCCTGAGTAGCTGGGATCACAGGGGCTGGCCACCATGCCCGGCTAATTTTGTTTTGAATTTTTAGTAGAGACGGGGTTTTGTCATGTTGGCCAGCCTGGTCTTGAACTCCTGACCTCAGGTGACCTGCCCACCTCGGCCTCCCAAAGTGTTGGGATTACAGGTGTGAGCCACTGCACCCCGGCCCTCTCCTTCTTATCTACAACACTCTACATGAGGGTTCCAGCCAGAAAAGAGGCTACTTTTTTTTTTTTGTTTTTTTTTTGAGAGGGAGTCTCGCTCTGTCGCCAGGCTGGAGTACAGTGGAGCAGTCTTGGCTCACTGCAACCTCCACCTCCCGGGTTCAAGCGATTCTCCTGCCTCAGCCTCCCGAGTAGCTAGGACTACAGGCGCCTGCCACCACGCCTAGCCAATTTTTTGTATTTTTAGTAGAGACGGGGTTTCTCCATGTTAGCCAGGATGGTCTCAATCTCCTGATCTTGTGATCTGCCCACCTTGGCCTCCCAAAGTGCTAGGATTACAGGGGTGAGCCACCACGCCTGGCCTTTTTTTTTTTAGATGGAGTCTTGTTCTGTTGCCCAGGCTGGAGTGCAGTGGCACGATCTCAGCTCACTGCAACCTCCACTTCCCAGGTTCCAGCAATTCTTCTGCCTCAGCCTCCCAAGTAGCTGGGATTGCAGGCACATGCCACCACGCCCGGCTAATTTTTGTATTTTAAGTAGAGACGGGATTTCACCATGTTGGCCAGGCTGGTCTCTAACTCCTGACCTCAGGTGATCCACCTGTCTTGACTTCCCAAAGTGCTGGGATTACAGGCATGAGCTGCCGTGACTGGCCTTTTATTTTTTTGAGACAAGGTCTCACTCTGTTGCCCAGGCTGAAGTGCAGTGGCTCGTGTCCACCCACTGCAGCCTTGACCTCCTGGGCTCAAACGATTTTCCTCTTAGCCTCCCAAGTAGCTGGGACCATAGGTGTGTGCCACCATGCCCAGTGAATTTTTGTATTTTTGGTAGAGACGAGGTTTTGTCATGTTGCCCGGCTGGCCGTGAACTTCTGAGCTCAAGTGATCTGCCAGCCTTGGCCTCCAAAGTGCTGGGATTACATGTGTGAGCCACTGTGCCCATCCATATGTTTAACTTTTTGAGGAACCATCAAACTGTTTACCACAGAGGCTGAACCATTTAACATTCCTACCAGCAATGTATAAGGATTCTAATTTCTCCACATCCTTGTAATCAACCAACTTTTAAAATTTAAATCTGGCTGGGCACGGTGGCTCAAGCCTGTAATCCCAGCACTTTTGGAGGCTGAGGTGGGTGGCTCACTTGAGGTCACGAGTTAGAGACCAGCTTGGGCAACATGACAAAACCTCGTCTCTACCAAAAATACAAAATTCATCGGGCATGGTTGCACACACCTATGGTCCCAGCTACTTGGGAGGCTGAGAGGAAAATCGTTTGAGCCCAGGAGGTCAAGGCTGCAGTAAGCCGACATCGAGCCACTGCACTTCAGCCTGGGCAACAGAGTGACACCTTGACTCAAAAAGATAAAAGGCCAGTCATGGCGGCTCATGCCTGTTATCCCAGCACTTTGGGAAGTCAAGACAGGTGGATCACCTGAGGTCAGGAGTTCGAGACCAGCATGGCCAACATGGTGAAACCCCGTCTCTACTACAAATACAAAAATTAGCCGGGTGTGGTGGCATGTGCCTGTAATCCCAGCTACTCGGGAGGCTGAGGTGGGTGGATCACTTGAGGTCAGAAGTTAGAGACCAGCCTGGGCAACATGACAAAACCTCATCTCTACCAAAAATACAAAAATTTAGTAGAGCCCCGTCTCTACTAAACAATAAAAAAAAGAAAATTAGCCAGGCATGGTGGTGTGTGCCTGCAGTCCTAGCTACTCAGGAGGCTGAGGTGGGACTATTGCTTGAACTGGGAGGTGGAGGTTGCAGTGAGCCAAGATGGTGCCACTGCACTCCAGCCTAGGTGACAGAGATGAGACCCTGTCTCAAGAAAAAAAAAAAAATCTTAAGAAATGTCATACAAATTGTCCTAAATAGAAGATAATGATGAATTAAATACAAGTCTATGACTTTTTTTTTTTTAAGTTTGTGTCTTGAGACCTAGACATTTTAAAAAACTACACTACACCATAAGGCACAGAGTGAATATTTATTTATCACAGAGGTCAAGCCGAAGCTCTAATTTTATAAATCCTGGAAAAGCTGGCCAGAAAAGTACAGAGACTTGCCCAAAGTCAAAGCTAAAGATGCTTCCAGAGGCCAGGAGAGAAGAAAATGTTTTAGTAGCACTCCATAACTGGACCCTCAAATCTACTCACTCCAAGCATCCCTTCAAGTTCCTGACCCCAAAGTAAGAATCTCAGTAAGAAAAAAATAGAGATGGTTTCCAAATAGGAGGTAGGACACCATGAGTGGCATCGAGCAATAACTGCAACAGTCTGGCTAAAGATAGCTGCCACTTATGACATCTGAGCATGAAACTAGCTAATTTTAAAATGGCCATTTAATACATGCATGTAAGAAATCTTGTATCCCCTAAATCTATACAAATAAAAAACTATAAATACAAATAAAATAAAATGGCCATTAAAAAAACAAACAAACAAACAAAAAACAACCTGTGGCTTCCAAATCCCTTATCTTTTCATTTATTCATAAAGATTTCTGGTCCCACCCATGTTCCAGGACAAGTTGTATCAATATACCCCAATCCTTTCTAACGCCCTGAGTTCTTTCTTCCACATATCTTCTAATTCGTGGTCTGGGAGGGAAAAGGGTAGTGGAGTTCTCAGGTGGATGACATCTCCAAAGGGGAGAGGACAAAGGCCTCTGGCTTGGCTTCCTGCTTCAGCACTCCAGTCAGCAGGAACTCAGGCGAGAGGAGGGGCAGCCCAACCCGTAGTGGAATGGAGCAATGAGGGAAGTCCTGAGGGCATGTGATCACAACTCTCTGAGGCTGGGGAAGACAGAGCAAAGGCAAAATCAGGTGAAAAAGAATCCTAGAAATGGGTTCAGGACCCACTAACCAGTCTTACCATCACTAAAATAATACCTCCTAATATGAAGCCAAGTGAAGCACACCGCATACTGTCTATGAAATACTCTTGCTAGGCCGGGCGCAGTGGCTCATGCCTGTAATTACACAGCACTTTGGGAGGCTGAGGCGGGTGGATCACGAGGTCAGGAGATCAAGACCACGGTGAAACCCTGTCTCTACTAAAAATACAAAAAAAAAAAAAAAAAAAAAATTAGCCGGGCGCGCTGACGGGTGCCTGTCGTCCCAGCTACTCGGGAGGCTGGGGCAGGAGAATGGCGTGAAAACCCAGGAGGCGGAGCTTGCAGTGAGCCGAGATCGCGCCACTGCACTCCAGCCTGGGCTACAGAGCAAGACTCCATCTCAAAAGAAAAAAAAAAAGAAAAAAAAAAAAGAAATACTCTTGCTAGAGGCCAGGCACAGTGGCTCACGCCTATAATCCCAGCACTTTGGGAGGCCGAGGTGGGTGGATCACGAGGTCAAGAGATCGAGACCATCCTGGCCAACATGGTGAAACCCCGTCTTTAGTAAAAATAAAAAAATTAGCTGGGCGTGGTGGTGTGCGCCTGTAGTCCCAGCTACTCGGGAGGTTGAGGCAGGAGAACAGCTTGAACCCGGGAGATGGAGGTTGCAGTGAGCCAAGACTGCTCCACTGTACTCCAGCCTGGCGACAGAGTGAGACTCTCTCAAAAAAAAAAAATACTTTTGCTAGAAAGATGAACCTGAATTTATTCAAGCTTTTACAATTATCTGCAATTTCCAGGAAATATGGAGTACAGAGGAACAAGATAAATTATATGACAAGGAGGCAAACCCAAAATTCCAGACTGAGGAACATTCTAAAGGACAAGTGACCCAGCTTCTGCAGGAAATAGATGGCATAAAAAAAGCTGGGTGGGTTAAGGGATGCTCTAGAGTAAAGATAATTAAGAAGATAATAGGTGTGGCAGTATGTGGACCTTATTTGAATCCTGATTTGAACAACTGTATAGAGACATTTTTCAGACAATGGGAGAAATTTTATTAATGGAGTGTGAGCAAATGACCAATAAACTACTGTTAATTTTGCTTAGGATCAATAATGGCATTGTGATTATGAAATAAAATGTACGTATTTCTTAGAGATATATATTTAAGTATGTAGGAAGAAATAATATAATATTGGCAGTTTGCTTTAAAATATTTCAGCAAAGAAAGAGAAAGGAAAAAAAGAAAGAATAAAGAAAAATAAAAAGAAATGAAATACTTCAGCAAAGAAAATCAAAGGAAAAAGCCGGGCGCGGTGGCTCACGCCTGTAATCCCAGCACTTTGAGAGGCCGAGGCGGGCAGATCATGACCTCAGGAGATCAAGACCATCCTGGCTAACACAGTGAAACCCCATCTCTACTAAAAATACAAAAGAATTAGCCGGGCGTGGTGGCGGGCACCTGTAGTCCCAGCTACTCGGGAGGCTGAGGCAGGAGAATGGTGTGAACCCAGGAGGCGGAGATTGTAGTGAGCCGAGATTGTGCCACTGCACTCCAGCCTGAGAGTGAGACTCCATCTCAAAAAAAAAAAAAAAAAAAAAAAGAGAAAATCAAAGGAAAAAAGGGATAGATGGAGCAAATGTAGCATAATCTAAATTAAGCTGCTGCTGAATCTCGGTGATTGTTATATGGGGGTATCAGCAGATCTGTCCCCTCATTCCTATCCCTTTCTATACCATAGGTCTTTTCCCCCACCCTCTCACTACTTTATATTCCTTTCTGAACCTCCATTTTTTTCCCTCCAATCTTTGCCATTCCAGCCACCTCTTTAACTGCCACTGCCACCTCACCCAGACCCAGAACATCCTAAGCATACCTTATAGGACCGAGGCATGCTGGGTAGGTATGTGCCTCCACAGCAGCTAATAATCTCTCCCATCTGAGGTGGTGGTGGCTGGACTCCAGGGGTCACATAGATCTCATAGCCCTAAGAGAAAGAAATGATGGAGATGGTATTGTAGATTGGGAAGCACTGGAGGGAGGGCTGAAGCACAGGTTAAAAGATAGCCTCTCACCTCTAGCAGCCTTCGCTCCCGAGCCCTGCTCAGTGCGTCTTGAAGGCTAAAGCCAAAGTTCTTCTCTTGCTCAGGGTCGGTCACCACATATTCATCCGGGGGTAAGAAGAAACCAGCCTTGCGGGACTAAGGACGGCAGCAGTCAGCATCAAAGCTCAGCCCAGCCCCTCAATCAGCTCTGCTGCCTAGCATTTAGAGAGAGCTCACAAAATGTCTTTTAAATCAATGCAGGCTTCTGGCTCACCAATGCCCCTGTCTTCCTGTAACGCCTCTTCCCTTCCACCACTTTCTAGGGCACTATATGAGCAGTCTTGCCACTATATCGGTCTGTCATCATCCCTTGGCCTCTCACCTGATGCAGCCAGTCCAGGGACAGAATGGGGATTCCCCGCCCCAGGGCACACAGGAACTTGACTGTCCGGCGGATGCGATCAGTGACCAGGTGGGAAGCCTCTGCCGCTGAACCAGCCAGACTTCCCCCCAGTGCCAGCACAGCCCGCTCTCCCCGAGCATCCACCACTCCTGTGAAGAGCACCTGTGGAAGGGTTGACCTGAGGTGGTTACGGCAACCCATGCCATCAGCACCCATCTCTACAATCCTCTAGGTCTCCTTGCATCCTCCCCTCATCTCTGTCTCCCACAAAGTCCCATGCCTTTGTCTCTTACTTTGGGGGCTGTTGATTCTTGGTTAAGTTTGGTCCGTCGGAGGCTGCGGCTTGGTATTCTGTTGGGCTCCTCCTCTGCCTGGTCTCTCTTTCTCTTGCCTGGTTTTGGAGTCACGACATCCTGAGATTGAGAAAAATCTTGGTGGGAGTTTCAGAGCCCTGAAGTCATTTTTCCCAGCTTTGTGGTCCCAACCCTCTCCTCACCTCTTCCTTCCCTGGCTTCTCTGCAGTATCTTCTTCCTCTTCCTTGATAATCACTGTCTTCTGGGAGACTTCCCCTCTTTGGGGCTGTTTTTGATGTGGTGGTGAATCCATGGTAGCTAAAGACCTCTTGCGGCTTTGAGAGGCCTTAGGCTGGAGCTCCGGGGTGAACCTAGATCTACCTGCTGGTTCCACCTTTTGGATCTGGGAGGCATGAATTGGTGTCTCAAGAAGCTGGGGAGAGGCAGGCTCAGGAATGGCTGTAAGGGATTCAGCTGCTCTCACTGCTCCCCATCTTTGGTTCCTTGAGGCCTGGGATTTAGGTTCCAAGGGTGCAGAGCAAGGCTTATGGTCAATGGGAGCTGCGAGGGAGCCAGGGTTCCCAGCGGCTCTCTGCCTCTTGATGCAACTGGGTTGAGTAATAGGCTCAGGGGAAATAGGCTGGTCTGTGGTGACAGGAGATTGGAATTCAGGGGTGGTAGGAACCGGCATAGCTCTTACTGTGGAAGACCTCAGTGTTTTGCTCTGACCACCCTGAGCTATGGCCTCAGGGGTGACGGACTGGTCTGTGGGGGTAAAAGGCTCAAGATCAGAGGCTGCTGGTTCAACTGGTTTGGGAGTCTTGACAGAGGACCTATTTGTCTTTCTCCTAGTGGCCCTAGATGTGAGCTTGGGGGTGACAGGCTGGTCTGTGGAGGTGGTAGGATGGGGCTCAGGGGCTGTGGGGACAACTGGCTCAGGGGTCTTGACAGAGGACCTATTTGTCCTGCACCTAGTGGCCCGAGATGTGGGCTCAGGGGTGACAAGCTGGTTTCTGGAGGTGGAAGGCTGAAGCTCAGGGGCTATAGGGACAATTGATTCAGGGGTCTTGACAGAGGACCTATTTGTCCTGCCCCTAGTGGCCCGAGATGTGGGCTCAGGGGTGACAGGTTGGTCTGTGGAGGTGGAAGGCTGGAGCTCAGGGGCTGCGGGCACAACTGTTTCAGGGGTCTTGACAGAGGACCGATTTTTTCTTCCCCTAGTGGTCCGAGATGTGGGCTCAGAGGTGACAGGCTGGTCTGTGGAGGCGGAAGCCTGTAGCTCAGGGGCTGTGGGGACAACTGTTTCAGGAGTCTTGACAGAGGATCTATCTGTTCTTCCCCTAGTAGCCTGAGACGTAGGCTCAGGGGTAACAGGCTGGTCTGTGGAGGTGGAAGGCTGGAGCTCAGGGGCTGTGGGGACAACTGTTTCAGGGGTCTTCACAGAGGACCTATTTGTCCTGCCCCTGGTGGCCTGAGATGTGGGCTCAGGAGTGACAGGTTGGTCTGTGGAAGTGGAAGGCTCGAGCTTAGGGGCTGTGGGGACAAGTGTTTCAGGGGTCTTGCCAGAGGATCTATTTTTTCTTCCCCTAGTAGCCCGAGATGTGGGCTCAGGGGTGACAGGCTGCTCTGTGGAGGTGGAAGGTGGGAGCTCAGGGGCTATAGGGACAGTTGATTCAGGGTTCTTCACAGAGGACATATTTGTCCTGCTCCTAGTGGTCCGAGATGTGGGCTTAGGGGTGACAGGTTGGTCTGTGGAGGTGGAAATCTGGAGCTCAGGGGCTGTGGGGACAACTGTTTCAGGGGTCTTGACAGAGGACATATTTGTCCTGCTCCTAGTGGTCCGAGATGTGGGCTTGGGGGTGACAGGTCGGTCTGTGGAGGTGGAAGGCCGGAGCTCAGGGGCTGTGGGCACAACTGGTTCAGGGGTCTTGACAGAGGATCTATTTTTTCTTCCCCTAGTAGCCTGATATGTGGGCTCAGAAGTGACAGGCTGGTCTGTGGAGGTGGAAGGCTGGAGCTCAGGGGCTGTGGGGACAACTGGTTCAGGGGTCTTGACAGAGGATCTATTTTTTCTTCCCCTAGTAGCCTGAGAGGTGGGTTCAGAGGTGACAGGTCGGTCGGTGGAGGTGGAAGGCTGGAGCTCAAGGGCTGTGGGCACAACTGTTTCAGGGGTCTTGACAGAGGATCTACTTTTTCTTCCCCTAGTAACCTGAGATGTGGGCTCAGAGGTGACAGGCTGGTCTGTGGAGGTGGAAGGCTGGAGCTCAGGGGCTGTGGGGACAACTGGTTCAGGGGTCTTGACAGAGGACCTATTTGTCCTGCTCCTAGTGGCCTGAGATGTGGGCTTGGGAGTGACTGGCTGGGCTGTGGAGGTGGAAGGGTGGGGCTCAGGGGCAGCAGAGGTAGCTGGAAAGGGTGTCATTCTGGAGGACTTCCGAGTTCTAATTTTAGGCTTTGGGTGGAAAGGCTCCAGCTCTGAGGACAAGGGAGCCTCTGGAGCTTCCTGACTCCCATCTTGCCTGGTCTTACGAACGGTTGGCTTGATAGAAGGTAAAAGGGGAGAAAGAAGGGGCGGAGGTGCAAGATGTTTCTGGCTCTGAGAGTTAAGGGGCTTTTGGGGTGGGGCTGGGGCTTCAGGTACTGTAGGAGGCAGACAAGCATCTGGAGATTCCTGATCGCCCTAGGGAGAAACAGAAGCAAGTGAGGGGGAGGAGGTGGAGAAAAGAGATAGAACTTGGATACTGTTCTTGATACTTGTTTATGGTTAGATAGGCTTACCAGATTTCCACCGGGCGTGGTGGCTCACGGCTATAATCCCAGCACTTTGGGAGGCCGAGGCGGGCGGATCACGAGGTCAGGAGTTCAAGACCAGCCTGGCCAACATAGTGAAACCCCGTCTCTACTAAAAATACAAAAAAAAAGGCCAGGCATGGTGGCTGATGCCTGTAATCCCAGCACTTTGGGAGGCCGAGGCGGGTGGATCACAAGGTCAGGAAACCGAGACCATCCTGGCTAACACGGTGAAACCCCGTCTCTACTAAAAAATACAAAAAATTAGCCGGGCGTGGTGGCGGGCGCCTGTAGTCCCAGCTACTTGGAAGGCTGAGGCAGGAGAATGGCGTGAACTCGGGAGGCGGAGCTTGCAGTGAGCCGAGATGGTGCCACTGCACTCCAGCCTGGGGGACAGAGCAAGACTCTGTCTAAAAAAAAAAAAAAAAAAAAAAAATTAGCTAGGTGTGTTGGCAGGCGCCTAGTAGTCCCAGCTACCTGGGAGGCTGAGGGAGGAGAGTCGCTTGAACCCGGGAGGCAGAGGTTGCAGTGAGCCAAGATCGCGCCACTGCACTCCAGCCTGGGTGACAGAGTGAGACTGTCTCAAAAAAAACAAAAAAATACACAAAAATTAGCCGGGTGACATGCGCCTGTAGTCCCAGCTACTTGGGAGGCTGCGGCAGGAAAATTGTTTGAACCCAAGAGACGGAGGTTACAGTAAGCTGAGATCACGCCACTGCACACTCCAGCCTGGGTGACAGAGACAGACTCTGTCTCAAAAAAGAACAAAAACAAAAAATATGCTCACTGGATTTTCCTTTCTGTCTATGATCTCTCCTCCATTAGACTGGGATCTACCTGGGAAGCTACCTTTTTCCCACAGACCTGTCTCCATAATGCTACTATAGTGTTCTCCACACGTGGATGATGGTAAGGAAAAGGATGGCTGGGGCAAAGAAAGAAGAAACACGAAGGGTCTTTCTTTTGAGTCAGGTAGGAGATACAACTTAGGAAACAGATATGGAAAACAACGGGTGCCGAGGATAAAGGAATAGAAGCCAATCAAGGCGTGACAAAAATGGAAGAAAACTGAATAATGAGAAAGGAATAGATTAAAGTGAGGCTAGGTGAAAGAGCATTGGAGAAGATATAGAGATGACTTGTGGAATAGGAGGTAGAAAAAGTAGCTCTCACCCTGGAAACCTTCTCAGCAGCTCTGATCCTGGAAGCCTTCTCAGCAGGTGGCATCTTGCAATTCAGGAGGCCTAGACAGAAAGTAAACACAAAGGTGGCTGAGTTCCAAGCAGCTGGTTGCCCAGGGGTTGATTATCACGAGGCCTGTGTATCACCTTGGGTTCCCCTCTGCCTTCACTTACCTTTCTGATGCCTCCTGGGGCTCACTGGGGATCCCCTTCCACCTGACTGGCTCCCAGAAGGTACGGGGGCTGAGGTAGGTCCCGGAAGGTCCCCCGCCCCCACCCCAGGCTCTGGTGTTGGGCTGGAGGCCTGCCCTTTCTGGTCCTGGCTCCCTCCCTCTGGCTCCCCTCTCTGTGTATCTCTCTCCAGGATCACTTTGGGCACCTTCTCTTCTAACTCGGCTGGATCGCACTCTCTGTTTGCTACTGGTCTCTCTACTTCTCTCTCAAATGCTTTGCTTGGAAGGGTCTGCTTCTGTACTTGTTTCTCTTGTATTTCCTCAGATGTCTCAATTTCTACCTTCAAACTCTCCCTATCTCTTTCAGGACTTGCACTTTCCCCATTTTTGTCAGATTCTTGTCTCTGGGTGTCTCTAGCTAACAACTGTTTTTGTTCTCTGTCCTGTTTCCCCTTGGTTAATTCTTCCTCTCCTGTCACATCTGTCTGTCTTTCTGGTAGCAGTTTCTCAGTTTCTCTCTCCAATGGCCCTCTCTCAGGGCCCACCCTCTCTGCTGTTTCTTTTGGTATACCCATGACTTTATCCACAGTCTGCCTCCCTCTGCCTTGAATCCCCATTGGCTCTGTGTGAACTGGGCTCTCTGGATGTTGGTCTCCTGGTATTGCCCTAGGTGGAGACAGGCAAGGTCCATAGGCCTCAAGGTGCGTGTCAAAAGGCTGGGTCTCAGAGTCCTCAGACTCTCTCAGACAGAATGGCTGTGTAGCCAGGACCTCCCATGGTTCATCTAGGGTACCTGGAAGGGGAGGAAGGAAGAGAGAGAGAGGGAGAGGGAGAGAAAAGAGGGAGAGGAAGAGGGAAAGGGAAGTACAGGTTGACATAATAAATATGATGAGAAAGGATTTAGATAAACTCATGAATAATAAATCTGAACAGGTTATTAAAGGTAAGCTGGGAATAAGGGTGGTAGTTATAACATTTAACGTTTGTCTCAAAAAGGTCATAGCCTTAGGCGGGCATGGTGGCTCAGACATGTAATCCCAGGACTTTGGGAGGCCAAGACATGAGGATTGCTTGAGGCCAGGAGTTTGAGACTAGCCTGGACAACATGGCAAAACCCCATCTCTACAAAAAATACAAAAAAATTAGGTGTGGGGACGGGGACCTGTAGTCCTGTAGTCTCAGCTACCCGGGAGGCTGAGGTAGGAGAACTACTTGAACCCCAAAGGTCAAGACTGTAGTGAGCTGTGATCATACCACTGCACTTCAGCCTGAGTGACAGAGACTCTGTCTCAAAAAAAAAAAAAAAAAAAAACCCAAGAGAAAAAGAAAAACATCATAGCCTAATATGAGTTCCCTGAATAGTCTCTCATCATACCACTGCATTCCAGCCTGAGTGACAGAGACCCTGTCTCAAAAAAAGAAAGAAAGAAAGAAAGAAAGAAAAACATCATAGCCTAATAAGAGAGTTCCCTGAATAGTCTCTCTCTCTCAAGACAGTTTCACTCTGTCACCCAGGCTGGAGTGCAGTGGCATGATGTTGGCTCACTGCAACTCCCAACTGCTGGGCTCAGGAGATCCTCCCACCTCAGCCTCCCAAGTAGCTGGGACTACGGCATGTGCCAAAGTGCCCGGCTAATTTTTTGTATTTGTTGTAGAGATGGGGTTTGGTCTTGAACTCTTAGACTCAAGTGATCCACCCACATTGGTCTCCCAAAGTGCTGGGATTACAGGTGTGAGCCACCATGCTTGGCTGGAATTTCCTTCTTTTTAAAGGCTGAATAGTATTCCACTGTGTATATATACCACATTTTCTTTTTTCTTCATTGACACATAATAATTGTACATATTTATGGGGTACCTGTGCTATTTTGACTCATGCATACAATGTACAATGATAAAACCAAGATAATTGGGATATCCACTATCTCAAACATTTATCATTTCTTTGTCTTGGAAACATATCAAATCTCTTCTAGCTATTTTGAAATACACAATAAATTATTAACTATAGTAACACTACTGTGGAACTGAACACTAGAACTTATTCATTCAATCTGACTGGATTTTTGTATTCATTAACCAACCTCTTTATGCATTCTGTCCCTCTACCCTTCCTAGCCTTTGGTAACCACCATTCTACTCTCTACTTCCATGAGATCCATGTTTTTAGCTCCCACATGAGTGAGCATACAATATTTGCCTTTCTGTGCTGACTTATTTCACTTAACATAATGTCCTCAGGGTTCATCCATGTTGCTGCAGATGACAGGATTTCATTCTCTTCTGTTGCTGAATACTGTTCCACTGTGTATATATACACATTTTCTTTTTTTTTTAGATTGAGTCTTGCTCTGTCACCCAGTTTGGAGTGCAGTGGCATGACCTCAGCTCACTGCAACCTCTGCGTCTTAGGCAGCAATCCTCCCATCTTAGCCTCCCGAGTAGCTAAGACTACAGGTGCATGCCACCATGCCCAGCTAAATTTTGTATTTTGAGCCACTGCACCCAGCCTATATACACATTTTCTTTTTTTTTATTATTAGAGATGAAGTCTCACTCTGTTGCCCATGTTGGAGTGCAGTGGTGTGACCTTGGCTCACTGCAACCTCTGCCTCCGGGGTTCAAATGAGTCTCCTGCTTCAGTCTCCCGAGTAGCTGGGACTACAGGCACCTGCCACCATGCCCAGCTAATTTTTGTATTTTTAGTAGAGACAGGGTTTCACCATGTTGGCCAGGCTGGTCTCAAACTCCTGACCTCATGTGATCCACCCACTTCGGCTTCCCAAAGTGCTGGGATTACAGGCATGAGGCACTGTGCCCGGCCTACATTTTCTTTTCTTTCGTTTTTTTGAGACAGAGTTTCACTCTTGTTGCCCAGGCCAGAGTGCGATGGCACAATCTCAGCTCACTGCAACCTCTGCCTCCTGGGTTCAAGGGATTCTCCTGACTCAGTCTCCTGAGTAGCTGGGATTACAGGCATGCACCACCACACCCGGCTAATTTTGTATTTTTAGTAGAGACGGGGTTTCTCCATGTTGGTCAGGCTGGTCTCAAGCTCCCGATCTCAGGTGATCTGCCTGCCTTGGCCTCCCAAAGTGTTGGGATTAGAGGTGTGAGCCACTGTGCCCGACCCCGGCCTACATTTTCTTTATCCATTCATCTGTTGATGGACATTTAGTTTGATTTCATATCTGCCTATTGTGAACAGTGCTGCAATAGTGTGTGTGTGTTTTTTTTAAGAGACATTGGGGGTGGGGGTTGAGGGATGGGCTATTGCCCAGACTGGGCTCAACTGATCTTCCCATCCTGGCCTCCCATGTAACTGGGACTACAGGTGCTCACTACTATGCTGGGCTAATTTTTTCATTTTTGTGGAGACCAGGTCTCTCTCTGTTGCCCAGGCCAGTCCCTAAATATTTTCAACCTGCAGCTGGTTGAATTCACGGACGCAAACTCGCATACACAGAGGGCTCACTGTAATCAGAGTATGAAAGAAACATGTAGGAAGGCAAATCAAGAAAGAACGCAGGCCGGGCGCAGTGGCTTACGCCTGCAATTCCAGCATTTTGGGAGGCCGAGGCAGGCGGATCACTTGAGGTCGGGAGTTTGTGACCAGCCTGGCCAACATGGTGAAACCCTGTCTCTACTAAACATACAAAAAATTAGCCAGGCATGGTCATGGACAGCTGTAATCCCAGCTACCTGGGAAGCTGAAGGAAGAGAAACCGCCTGGGAGGCGGAGGTTACAGTGAGCCGAGACTGCACCACTGTAATCCAGCCTGAGTGACAGAGGAAAAAAAAGAGAATGCAGAATTGGGGACACAGAGGAGGGAAGAGTTTCTTATACCTGTTGTCTGGAAGCTGCAATGGGAAGGGCCAAGCTCTTGGGGTGGAGTCAACATGAAGGCCTGGGTAGGTTCATCCTCCATGCTCTGGACTGCTGTACAGGAAAAGATGGCCTAAGTTCATCTCCTCCATACTACTGTAGGGTTCCATTCCTGGTCTCCTACCCTACCCATACTAGCCTTTACCCTTCAAGGACCACCAGTCTAATCTCCCAGCTCCCACTGGTACAGGATTCAAATAACACAGAAGTCCTCACCTTCCAGGCCCTGATTCTCCAGAAAGCACTGGGTAGCTTGTAGGTCCAGATCTTCAGAATCTGGTCGGGGAGGAATATAAGACAGTTTAAAACAAAAATCATACCTGACACTAAACTCCTTAAATAATCTCTACCTTTCTCTCCCCAACCCCAGCTGTTAGAACCCTGGTTGATTTCAGAGGTCAAGGAAGGAAGGCCAGCACTTACCACCATAGTTGTCTTCAGAGTCCTTGGTCCCACCCACATGTTGTTCTCTCTCCCTTCCTGTGGGGACCTGGGCTCCCTCTCTCTGTGGCTGGGTGGATTCCCCTAGAGTGTCTGTGTCCACCACCAGATCTGTGAGGTTCTCTCTTGAGATAGGGAGGTCCTGCTCCACTTGTGCCACAGGTGGCCCACCCTGGGCCCCCACCTCATGAGCTCTCTCCTGCTTAAGAACAGCTGCAGCCCACTCTGCCCCAGCATCCCCTTCTGCTGGAAGCTGGCTCTTTCTTACATCTGCAACTACTGAGGCTGTTAGGGAGGTGCCCTCCTCTGCATCTGTTTCACAGTCCCCATGCAGAGGCCAGGCTTCCTCTAGAGATACCACAAGCAGCTTTGCTGGTCCCCCAACTGCTTTCACATCTGTTTGATTTGTCCCCTCCACAGACACCTGATGCTTCTTTATATGTATAATGGCTGACCCTGGCGGGACTTCCTTCTCCACTTGTGTGTTGATGTCCACTGTGGTGGAGGCTTGGCTTCTCTCCAGGTGGATCCCAGGTGAGCTCTTATCTGCTTCCACACTGTCATCACTGTCCCCAAAAGGAGGTTGGTCCTTTTCTGAATGTGCTCTAACAAGGGCTCTAATCTTTGTGTGATCCTTGAGGACAGCTTCTCTATTTTCCACTGGGAGCTCTTCCTCCTCCACGTCTGTGTCACTGTCTCTCTCAGTGGTGGTTTGGCTTCGCTGCAGAAGGACCACACGTTGGGGCATGTCCTCTTCTGCATCTCTGTTCCATATAGCAGGCTGGCTCTCTTTCAGATGTGCCAAAGTCAGCGCTGCTGAGACTTCTTCCTCGTCATCTGTATCGCTGTTGATAACCATGGAAGCTTGGCTTTTCTCCAGAGGGACAGCCTGTGGGGCCTTGCCTTCTTCCACATCTGTATCACTACCAGCCTGGCTCTCCTGCAGATGGGCCAGGCCTGGTGCTCCAGGACCCCTTGTACCTACTCCATGGAAGATCTTCCTCTTCTTCATAGGAATGACAACTGGGGTTGCTGGGATCCTCTCTTCTTCCGCATCAGTGTCGCTGTCGATGAAGCCAAAAGGCTGAGCCCTTTCCAAATGGACCTCAGCTGGCCTTCCAGGAGGCCTGCTGTCATCATCCACATCTGTGTCACTGTCCTCTCCAGGAGGTTGGCTCCTCTCCAGAATCACCCCAGCTGGAACCACCCCATTCCCTGCACCCCTCTTGACTTTTGTATCATTGTCCTTCTCCTTCACTAAAGGCTGATCCTTTTCAAGCTGGATTTCAGTTACAACTTCAGCTTCAGACTGCTTTGCCTCTACAGTGGCACCTCTTCTGGCAGCTGAGGAGGCCTCCTCTGTGGCTGGTTGCTGACCTTCTTCCACATCTGTGTCACTGTTCAAATTGAAGGCAAAAGGCGGCCCAAGGCCGCCCAGGACCGGGGAATGCCCCTCTTCATCACTGTGAAGGGAAGAAAAGAGAGTCTATAGAATTTATTTCCCTGGAAGGGATACCCCAACTCAACTGTGAGCTCCTTGAGGGGAGACACAAGGTAGCATATTTCTTCTTCTGTTTCCAATTTGTTTTCCACTTGGCACATCAGATGTGCTCCATAAAAATTCAGCTGAGTGAATGAATATGTATGGTTCCCCAGCCCCAACTCTCATGATAATCATCTCTTTTAGAGATTGATCCTCCAGCCCCTGGTTCTTCCTCATTTTGAAGACTCAGGTGTCTGACTCTTTGGCACTCACCTCTCTGGAACTATCACAGAGGAAGATGTGGTCCTTGATTTTTTTACCATACGCCTTTCAGAAAGAAAATCTGTCAAGAACAGAAAGGAATGAGTTGACAATTGTACACTCATTATTCCTGTCTCCTCATTCTCCCTGCCAATATACAAACTTACCTACTTCCTCCTCCGAGTCCTCAGCCAACAGAAGCCTCTGGGGTTGAGTTTCTCCCTGTACTCTGGGTGTCTCTTCTACTGTCAGAGGGCCCCGGGAGACAAAGGGCAGAGAGACATCCAGGCGATGGTACTGGCAGAGCAAGTCAGCAAAGAGAATCAATTCCTGGTCCCTCAGACGGTGACTCACCCCAGGGCTCAAAACCTTAGGAGGTCTCAGGATTTGAGTACCATTAAGGCTCCCACAGTCTCGGAGGATAGGTGCCTTGTCCCAGGCTAAGATTTCAATCTCTGCATGTTGTTTGGAGATAGATGGAAAGGGCAGGGCCACAGAGCAGTCAGGCATTCGGCCTACCACATTCTTCCCGAGGTGTAGTGGGAAATCTAAGAATTAGAGAGGTAGATAAGCTCCAAGATCAGAGTCCTGGCCTGTCATTAGGAAAAAGTGCCTATTAGGTACTCTACTACTCACTCAAGGCCTCCATATGCATTAGAAAAATAAAAGGCCCTAGGACATCTAGGCACTGAAAGAGTATATGCGATACCCCATCCATCCACAATGGATGTTTTTTTACTGTTATAAAATACACATAACACAAAATGTATCACCTTAATAATTTTAAGTGTATAGTTCAGTGGCATTAAGTGCATTCACACTGTTGTGCAATCATCACTACCATCCATCTCCAGAGCACACAATTGGATTTTATTTGATTTTTTTTTTTTTTTTGAGACAGGGTCTCATTCTGTCACCCAGGCTAGAATGCAGTGTCATGATCATAGATCAGTGCAATCTTGAACTCTTGGGTTCAAGTGATCATCTGGCTCAGCCTCCCAAGTAGGTGGGACTGCAGATGTGAAATGAACCACCACACCTGGCTAATTTTTAAATTTTTCGTAGAGACAGGGTTTTGCTATGCTACCCAGGCTGGTCTCTAACTCCTAGTCTCAAGTGATCCTTCTGCCTTGGCCTCTCAAAGCACGGGAATTACAGGTGTGAGTCACTGCACCCAGCTTCATTTCAATCTCTTAATTTTCTTTTATCAAAGTAAAATCACTTCCAGTGAGTCCAGGGTAGTAGTCTGCAACTATCAACTCAATCGGCCCCATCTCTTCCATTCATGAAAAAAAAAAATTCACATCTCATTGAAACATACATAAGCTTCTTGCAACCCTCCAAATACCTTACCACAAAAATAAAAGATCTATATCAATACTTGAACATCCAATACCCTCTGACCTTTTTCTGGTCCATGGGCACCACTAAAGATATGTAGCCGCCCTACTGGCTCCACGTTACACCTCAAGGATTCACTGGATTGCTCTGTCTCCTCCTCTTCTTCAACATCCCAGTCAATAGCCTGGGTGTCCTCCATGATCTGGGAAGGATACACATTATCAATTATCCTCATTATTGGTTCACACAAACAGCATCAGAGTTATCAGACTGAAAACTAGGGGGTAAACTGGATCATTATGAACGTTGATGCTTCTCTTTCCACCAATCTTTCTGTTGTTAACCTTCTGAAGCACTTAAAACATTTTTTTCTTTTTTGTGATGGAGTCTCGTTCTGCTCCCCAGGCTGGCATGCAGTGGTAAGATCTTGGGCCCACGGCAACCTCTGCCTCCCGGGTTTCAAGCAATTCTCTCACCTCAGCCTCCCAAGTAGCTGAGATTACAGGCACCTGCCACCATGCCTGGCTAATTTTTGTATTTTTAGAAGAGATGGGGTTTTGCCATATTGGCCAGGGTGGACTCGAACTCTTGACCTTGGGTGATCCGCCCACCTTGGCCTCCCAAAGTGCTGGGATTACAGGCGTGAGCCACTGCGCCCCGTTGTTTTTCTTTCTTTTTTAGCCCATGCTTTTTATACTTTTACCAGACCACCTCAGTTTGATCAGATGCAACTGCAAAAAATGATAATAAAAGATGACATATATAGAAGCTTCCTATGTGTCAAGCACTGTTCTAATTACTTTATATCGACTCTGACTCATTTAATCTTCACAAGAACCTTGTAAAGTAGTATTACTATCTTCCATTTCTTCAGATAAAGAAACTGCAACATAGCTGGGTTAAGATTTTCAGATCTCCTTGAAACATACATAAGCATATATAAGGTTAAGACTTGCCCCAAATCACTCAGATGTCTCTCCTCTAAAATCTTGATGGTTTTTCGTGCACACAGAATAAAATCTAAACTCCTTAGCGAGACCCTCCATGATCTGAACTTCACATCTTGTAACGCCTACCCCTCGCCCGCAAAAGCCTATGGTTCAGCCAGACATTTTCCCCAGTCTTCGAACACACTGTTCTTGTCTTCCCACATCTTCATGCCTTAGCCCAATTCCTTGGCTTTTTCCCACCTAGTTTTCTGGTCCAACTTCTACCATCCTTTAAGATTCAGTTCAAATGTCACTTTCTTTCTTTTTTTTTTTTTTGAGATGGAATCTCGCTCTGTCGTCCAGGCTGGACTGCAGTGGTGCTATCTTGGCTCACTGCAACCTCTGCCTCCAGGCTTCAAGCGATTCTCCTGCCTCAGCCTCCCGAGCAGCTGGGATTACAGGCGCCCGGCATCACGCCTGGCTAATTTTTGTATTTTTAGTAGAGACGGGGTTTCACCACGGTCTCGAGCTCCTGACCTCAGGTGATCCGCCCACCTTGGCCACCCAAAGTGTTGGGATTACAGCAGTGAGCAACCGCGCCCGGCCTCAAATGTCACTTTCTCAGCAAACCCTTTCCTGGCGTGTTCCCTGCCTTCTCGTGTTCCTGGTGTATCCTGCCTGTTCCACAGTGGTCAATGGATTTGTGCTTACTCTAAGATCTCTCGCTATATTGTAACCATTACTTTCCATTTCTGCCTTCACACTCACCCACCTCCAGGACTGGATTAGGGGAACCGTGTCTTTCCCCTAGGGTCCATCATATTCATTCAATGGTTATGGTATACCTGTTTGAAGTATTTGGTATACATCTGTGAACCAAACATGAAATCGACCCTGCCCTCGGGAAGGCTCATCACCGAGCCTACTGATGAAGGAACAAATGAGATGGAAAGAAAATAGCATAAATGGAATTCACCTGAAAATATGCCACTCTAGAGGGAAACTGTTGACAGGTAGGGAAAGTAGGATGCCCCATGGATAAAGTGTCAACTCCGTCTTTATGACAGGCCAACTCAGCGGGTGCCCACCACGCTTGGCTCCAATTCAAAGAGCCACCATCTTTGGTCCCCACCTCAGTGGGTTCCCTTGTGGCCCGACGTCTCCCTGTGTCTTCATACCTAAACTCGGAGCGGGGCGCCAGGTAAGGATGAGTATTACAGTCCGAGAAGCGAACTTCCAAGTCACCTCCGCCCAGTCGCACCCAAGGTACGCCCCTCCCGCCTTCTGGGGGAACCAAGATGGCTCCCGGGGAGCCGTGGGCCAGGCCCCTAGAACTCACCTACTTTAAGTCCCCGCGCGCGCCACCAGTAACGGTCGCGACCCGGGTGGAGCGACTGCGTGTGCCGAAAAAGAGCTTATTTGCTGATTGGCTTCTGCCGCTGTCTTTCACAACCGCAGCCAGTCGAGCGGAGGCACACCCAAAGCCCCGCCCCCTTAGAGTTCAAATAGGTGGTGTCTCCCAGGCTGCTGAGATCAGTTAATGAGACGGTAATTGAAGGCCGCCGTGCGCCAACAGAATAATGCACGTCGATTGGGCAGCTCCAAGGGACAACCCACTACCGCTTGCCCGCCCACCACCCACTTCCCGCGCAGTTCCAAACCGCGACCAGAGAGTCTGGCGCCAGCTGCCGGCAACGGATAGAGGGGCTGTGTCATAGACGTCCGACGTGTCTGGTAAGGCCAGAGCGCCTTTCCTCGGTCCTCCTAGACATGGTGTCCGCTGACTCATGAGAAATGAAAGTGGGTTGCGCGTTGCAGTCGTGGCTGGAGGCTGCAGTTTGGAGAACAGCCCGTAGGCGTGGCAGTTCACTCCTGTTGCATTGGAATTTCATTTCCTTTTGATTTGGTTTGTAGTAGAAGTAATATCTTTCTTCCTGGGAATACGTCTCTGACGGACATTTTGAGGTCATTTTCTTAAATCCAAGATCCTAAAGATCTGTAGTCGAACAGAGAAAACTGGTTTGCTCTCTGTCTTAAAGGCTGTCCCCACCTTTCGAGGGGCGAGGGAAGGATCATAAAATCATTTATTTTTATTTTTTAATTAACTAATTTATCTATTTTTTGAGATGGAGTTTTGCTCTTGTTGCCCAGGCTGGAGTGCAATGGCGCGATCTCGACTCACCGCAACCTCTGCCTCCCAGGTTCAAGCGATTCTCCTGCCTCAACCTCCCAAGTAGCTGGGATTACAGGCATGCGCCACCACGCCCAGCTTATTTTTGTATTTTTAGTAGAGACGTGGTTTCTCCATGTTGGTCAGGCTGGTCTCGAACTTCTGACCTCAGGTGATCCGCCCGCCTCGGCCTCTCAAAGTGGTGGGATTACAGGCGTAAACCACCGCATGCGGCCATCTATATTTTATTTTTTGAGACGGACTTTCGCTCTTGTTGCCTAGGCTGGAGTGCAATGGCGCGATCTCGACTCACCGCAACCTCCGCCTTCTGGGTTCAAGCAATTCTCCTGTCTCAGCCTCCCGAGTAGCTGGGATTACAGGCATGCGCTACCACGCCCGGCTAATTTTGTATTTTTAGTAGAGACGGGGTTTCTCCATGTTGGTCAGTCTGGTCTCAAACTCCGGACCTCAGGTGATTCTCCCGCCTGGGCCTCCCAATGTGCTGGGATTACAGGCGTAAGCCACTGCGCCCGGCCTATTTTATCTCACAATAAGACATGAAGAAAATGGTAACTATAACACTTGCATAATTCATAAAGTCCTTTCTGTTGGTTATCTCAATTCTGTGCACAACAGTCAAATAAGCAGATTTTACAAACGAGGAGCTGGAGCCCTGCAAAGTTAAAGGACTTTCCTAGGATCCTACAGCTAATATAGAGACAAATTGAAACAAGTTATCTGATTGTGTATTTTGAGTTATTTCTACTCCCACAAAATGACTGTGTTCATTTCCCTAAAACGTAAAGCATTATATTTTAAGTGGGTAGAGAGGGCTTACACAAGTTGATGTTCCCTCATTTAGAAGGCAACTTAGAAATACATTGATCTGCCCAGCGCGGTGGCTCACGCCTGTAATCCCAGCACTTTGGGAGGCAAAGGCGGGCGAATCACGAGGTGAGGAGATCGAGACCATCCTGGCTAACACAGTGAAACCCTGTCTCTACTAAAAATACAAAAAAAAAAAAAAGAAATACATTGATCTGTGTGATCGAATGTGAATTAACAATGACGTTGACTTGATACTACATTTCTGAGTGGTTACCACATTTTATTGATTGTATGCTTCTCACCAGACTGCAACATCCTGGAGGACAGGGAGCTAATTCTTAATCATTTTGTAACCATAGCTCCTAATTTGGTGGATACATAGTAACTATCAAATAAGTGAATAATAAATCTATGGGAAGAAGCAGATGGACTCCGTCTTGAACCCACTCAATTTTTCCCCCATCAATTACCCCTCTCTCGTTTTTCAATACTGGGTCTCTTGCAGAGTTGCAGTGGCGGCCACCTGGTCAGTGAAATCAGCGAATTGAAAAACCACTGACTTCATTAACATGTCTAAAGAGGCAGGCTGAAAAAACTGAAAATCTATCAGGCATCTCATTCCATAGTTCCCTGTTTGACAAGAAGACCAAGGTGTCTTCAAAGTCTGCCCTAAGGTCCAGATCTCCTACCCACGTAGGAGACTTCTAGTTTCACAAATCCCCGATGTCGGTTTCTCTAAACTATTTTATTCTTTGAACATACTCTCCAGACAACATCGCTATCCTGAAAAGCCCTTGCTGCAATTTTGTTTCTCTTTCAAAACAATGGCTCGAAAATTTCCAAGGAAATAGCAAGAGGGCGATTCCCTTCTTGAAGTATTTGAGGGAGCAGAAGCTTACTGAAGTTCATGCCTTGGGTCACCAAAGGCCAGGGGAGGCAGAGCACGGTGCCAGACTTCTCCCCATTTTTCGCTGAACTAAGCAATCCTTTCTCCCCTAGAGGTACTGCAGCTGGGAGCTTTCAGGGCGTGTCTTCCCCACCACCCAACTTCTGGAACCCCAGACTTCTCAATTCCTGTACCCCCAAGAACTGCTCACTTTTTGTACAAAAACCTCAGGCATAGAGGAAAGGAATCTTGCGCAAGGTCGTTTTTCATTTACAAAACAAAAACCCCATGAAAACCAAACCGGTACCCACCCATTCGTCACTTCATTTTGCAGCATGGACAACAATAGGGGACTACAACTCCCAAAGAGGACTGCGCTCGTCCACTGGCTCAGAGGCCAATGGACGCCTGGTACATGACCGGCATCGACTAATCAGGGCCAGGCTCGATGAGGCTTTGTCTCCCTACCGCGCGCGGGGCCGATTCTCCCGCCTCCCAGCCCCGGCGCACGCGCGCCCCGCCCAGCCTGCTTTCCCTCCGCGCCCTCCCCTCTCCTTTCTCCCTCTCAGAACCTTCCTGCCGTCGCGTTTGCACCTCGCTGCTCCAGCCTCTGGGGCGCATTCCAACCTTCCAGCCTGCGACCTGCGGAGAAAAAAAATTACTTATTTTCTTGCCCCATACATACCTTGAGGCGAGCAAAAAAATTAAATTTTAACCATGAGGGAAATCGTGCACATCCAGGCTGGTCAGTGTGGCAACCAGATCGGTGCCAAGGTAAGAATTTTACACCTCTTTTATTTCTTTTTACAAGGAAAAATCCAGGTAAGTTATGAAAAAATGGTTGTGGGGCATTTGCACCCGCTATCCTTAATCAAGATTTGCCCCTCTCAAGTTTGTTACATTTATATATATAACAATTGTAGCTAGCATTTGCCTTTGGAAAGCTGGGAATCATTTTTCTTGGCAGGCACATTTTGGAGAAACTAGTAAAAGGGCTCTTCGGGTTTGGGGGCGGGAAGACCGAGGACTTATAAGATGTTACTTAAAAGGGCTTCTAACGGTCCGAGAACCGGGCAGGGAGAGAGATGCGGAAACGGTCGCAGACAAAGCGGGGCGAGGTTTTGCCCATGTGCATCCCGCCCAACCCCCCTGCGGGGTACTTAGGGCCAAACCGGAGCGGGAAGGGGTGAGGCCATCGGGCGGCTGCAGAGAGCTCCAGCGCAAGGGTGGGGGGCGATGCGCCAGGGTGGGCTGCGCTGGGCGCTACCTTTCACAAAAGACCAGGGACCCCAACGCGCCCGCGACCCCAGAGGGCCGGTCCTGTATTTGTTCCTGGGTGGAAGGAGAATAAGAACGGGATTAATTTTACTTGCTTTCATGGCCCCTAAGAGAGACTTTTTTAGGGCGTGAACAGATATGTCGAGAAAATGGGGGTGTGTGGTTTTCTTTAATGAGTCCCTCAGGACTTAATGGGAGAGAAAGAATCCTTTAAATCAAGGGGTAGAAATGTAGCGAAGGAATAAAAATTCCGAGGCCAAGGGGGATTTTTTTTTTTTGCGCGCGGTTACAGTGTAGCGGGGGAGGGGCGGGAGGAAGTGCGGCTGCTACGTTGTAGCAGAAGGGCGGGGCCCTGCGGGGCGGGGCCGGGGCGCCGTGGGCGCGCGGGGACAATGCGGCGTTGCCCGCCGGCAGGGGCGCGCTACCTTGGGCCCCGCCCCTCGCGCGCGGAATTTTTGTCCCTGGCCCCGCCCACGCGCGAAGTCTTTTGTCGGCGGCTCGACCTGCGCGTGCGCCGCAGTCACGTGGAGGGCGGGGGGGGTGGTCGACTGCGGCGGCAGCTCTTTCCTCAGACCCCCAGCCTTTTGTGCGCCGCGCGGTGGGGCGGTGCCCAGCTTGGGGGAAGGAGAGCGGCGCTTATCGAAGTGTGGTCGACCTCCATCCGCCCACCGAGCACTTGGGACCCGCTGCACATATCCAGAGCAGGGAAAGCTGTGGCTTTCTCGGGGGAGCGAGTGTCTAGGGGAAGGGTGTGGCAGGCCCACGGGATGCCATGCCCTAGAACAACGGCCTGAGCGCTTGTGGAATTAAAATGGGAGATGTGGGGCCGAGGTGGGCGAATTGGGATCCCTCCAGGTCAGGGGTTCGAGACCATCCTGGGCAACAAAGCGAGACCCTCCCCCATGCCACGTTTCTACAAAAAATAAAAGTAAAAAATTAGCTGGGCGTGGTGGCGCGCGTCTGTGGTCCCAGCTACTCGAGAGGCTGAGATGGGAGGATCGGTTGAGCCTGGGAGTTCCACGCTGTAGTCATCCGTGATTGCACCACTGCACTGCAGGCTGGGCAACAGGAAGACCCTGTCTTAAAAATTAGAAGAAGCTGGGCGCGGTGGCTCACCCTTGTAATCCCAGCACTTTGGGAGGCCAAGGTGGGCGGATCACGAGGTCAAGAGATCTAGACCATCCTGGCCAACATGGTGAAACCCGTCTCTACTAAAAATACAAAAAGTAGCTGGGCGTGTTGGTGCGCGCCTATAGTCCCAGCTACTCCGGGGGCTGAGGCAGGAGAATCGCTTGAACCCGGGAAGCAGAGGTTGCAGTGAGCCGAGATAGCGCCACTGCACTCCAGCCTGGTGACAGAGCGAGACTCCGTCTCAAAAAAAATTAAGAAAAAGATGAAATAAAATGGTAGTTGGGGACATAGTTGGCTGGGACTTGACCTGTTGTGGTCTCGTTGCTCCCCCTCGGCAGTTCTGGGAGGTGATCAGTGATGAACATGGCATCGACCCCACCGGCACCTACCACGGGGACAGCGACCTGCAGCTGGACCGCATCTCTGTGTACTACAATGAAGCCACAGGTAAGGGCAGGAGCCCGGGCAGCTCAGGTTCCCTTCCCTGTCTCCCACTTATCTGGGATCTCTTTCCATTTCTGGGCACGCCTTATCCCCTTTGGGTGAATCTGTCATTTTGTCCCTTTCGTGAACCACCGTCGGGGCCAAAGACGTCTGCTGCCACCTGGTGGCGGGACCTGGAATGACAAGTCTCTGATCCCTGCTGTCTCCCATTTCCAGTATATCTATAAACCTTCCCTTCTGCCAGATTTCACAGCTCTTAACTTTATTCTCTGTAGGTGGCAAATATGTTCCTCGTGCCATCCTGGTGGATCTAGAACCTGGGACCATGGACTCTGTTCGCTCAGGTCCTTTTGGCCAGATCTTTAGACCAGACAACTTTGTATTTGGTGAGTTATACAGATGATATTAGCAGATGATATACCATCGTGTTCAACTTATTTGGGTGCAAGGACACAGCAAAAGTTAGGAGATGATTGTTGTATTGGAGTGCTAATACAGAAATGTGTTCTGAAATCTAACGGAGGGTAGAGGTAGTGCCTACTATTGCTGGTAAATTATGGGGCAGTAGGGGGAGAATATATCACAGTGAAGGAGAAAGAAGATACATCCGAGGGAATTATTTGAAAAGTTGAAAGATGGAAACATCATGTATCTTCCATACCCTGTTAATTGAGCTTTTCTCCTGACTGCATTCCAGGTCAGTCTGGGGCAGGTAACAACTGGGCCAAAGGCCACTACACAGAGGGCGCCGAGCTGGTTGATTCTGTCCTGGATGTGGTACGGAAGGAGGCAGAGAGCTGTGACTGCCTGCAGGGCTTCCAGCTGACCCACTCACTGGGCGGGGGCACAGGCTCTGGAATGGGCACTCTCCTTATCAGCAAGATCCGAGAAGAATACCCTGATCGCATCATGAATACCTTCAGTGTGGTGCCTTCACCCAAAGTGTCTGACACCGTGGTCGAGCCCTACAATGCCACCCTCTCCGTCCATCAGTTGGTAGAGAATACTGATGAGACCTATTGCATTGACAACGAGGCCCTCTATGATATCTGCTTCCGCACTCTGAAGCTGACCACACCAACCTACGGGGATCTGAACCACCTTGTCTCAGCCACCATGAGTGGTGTCACCACCTGCCTCCGTTTCCCTGGCCAGCTCAATGCTGACCTCCGCAAGTTGGCAGTCAACATGGTCCCCTTCCCACGTCTCCATTTCTTTATGCCTGGCTTTGCCCCTCTCACCAGCCGTGGAAGCCAGCAGTATCGAGCTCTCACAGTGCCGGAACTCACCCAGCAGGTCTTCGATGCCAAGAACATGATGGCTGCCTGTGACCCCCGCCACGGCCGATACCTCACCGTGGCTGCTGTCTTCCGTGGTCGGATGTCCATGAAGGAGGTCGATGAGCAGATGCTTAACGTGCAGAACAAGAACAGCAGCTACTTTGTGGAATGGATCCCCAACAATGTCAAGACAGCCGTCTGTGACATCCCACCTCGTGGCCTCAAGATGGCAGTCACCTTCATTGGCAATAGCACAGCCATCCAGGAGCTCTTCAAGCGCATCTCGGAGCAGTTCACTGCCATGTTCCGCCGGAAGGCCTTCCTCCACTGGTACACAGGCGAGGGCATGGACGAGATGGAGTTCACCGAGGCTGAGAGCAACATGAACGACCTCGTCTCTGAGTATCAGCAGTACCAGGATGCCACCGCAGAAGAGGAGGAGGATTTCGGTGAGGAGGCCGAAGAGGAGGCCTAAGGCAGAGCCCCCATCACCTCAGGCTTCTCAGTTCCCTTAGCCGTCTTACTCAACTGCCCCTTTCCTCTCCCTCAGAATTTGTGTTTGCTGCCTCTATCTTGTTTTTTGTTTTTTCTTCTGGGGGGGGGTCTAGAACAGTGCCTGGCACATAGTAGGCGCTCAATAAATACTTGTTTGTTGAATGTCTCCTCTCTCTTTCCACTCTGGGAAACCTAGGTTTCTGCCATTCTGGGTGACCCTGTATTTCTTTCTGGTGCCCATTCCATTTGTCCAGTTAATACTTCCTCTTAAAAATCTCCAAGAAGCTGGGTCTCCAGATCCCATTTAGAACCAACCAGGTGCTGAAAACACATGTAGATAATGGCCATCATCCTAAGCCCAAAGTAGAAAATGGTAGAAGGTAGTGGGTAGAAGTCACTATATAAGGAAGGGGATGGGATTTTCCATTCTAAAAGTTTTGGAGAGGGAAATCCAGGCTATTAAAGTCACTAAATTTCTAAGTATGTCCATTTCCCATCTCAGCTTCAAGGGAGGTGTCAGCAGTATTATCTCCACTTTCAATCTCCCTCCAAGCTCTACTCTGGAGGAGTCTGTCCCACTCTGTCAAGTGGAATCCTTCCCTTTCCAACTCTACCTCCCTCACTCAGCTCCTTTCCCCTGATCAGAGAAAGGGATCAAGGGGGTTGGGAGGGGGGAAAGAGACCAGCCTTGGTCCCTAAGCCTCCAGAAACGTCTTCTTAATCCCCACCTTTTCTTACTCCCAAAAAAGAATGAACACCCCTGACTCTGGAGTGGTGTATACTGCCACATCAGTGTTTGAGTCAGTCCCCAGAGGAGAGGGGAACCCTCCTCCATCTTTTTTGCAACATCTCATTTCTTCCTTTTGCTGTTGCTTCCCCCCTCACACACTTGGTTTTGTTCTATCCTACATTTGAGATTTCTATTTTATGTTGAACTTGCTGCTTTTTTTCATATTGAAAAGATGACATCGCCCCAAGAGCCAAAAATAAATGGGAATTGAAAAAAGCTGCGAGATGTGTGCTTATTTAGGGAAACACGGCTGGCTGATGGAGGCATGGGGCCTGAGTTCAGTTGCACTGCTCTCCTTAAATTGACACTTAATATTGAGTCCCTGTCCTACGGATTCAACCAACTGGATATTGGGAAAAGAGTTGTACTGGACATGTATAGACTTCTCATTATTCCCTAAACAATAATAGTATAAATTATTTACATAATATTTGCATTAGATTAGGTATTACAAGTAACGTAGAGATGATTTGAAGTACACAGGTTATATGCAAGTACTACATTTTATATGAGGGACTTGGGTGTCTGCCGATTTGGTATCTCAGGGAGGTACTGGTAAGGACACTGACTGCTTTATAGACCCTCACATCATTGTTTCTGGTACCCAAACTGCTCTGAGCACCAGTCAGTCTTTACTGTAGTCTCTGACAGCTCACTACAGCCTTGATGTCCTGGGCTCAAACAATCCATCTCATTCTCCCAAGCAGCTGGGACTGTAGGCATAAGCCAGGTGAGCCAGTGCACCAGGCCCACCAATGAGTCTTAACTGGGGAAGGCATAGGCTTAGATGCAGGATCCAGGGATGGAAAATGGAAGCTGAGAAGAATGACAAATCACGTGTAACTGGTTTCCAGACCAGCATCCACATCCTCTGGGAACTTGCAGAAATAAATGCAAGTTTTTCATCCCACCCAGATGTACTGAACCATAAATGGTTGAACTGGCCTTGGCCACCCAGCCCAGGATTCCTTTGGGTTATGTGTACCCATGGCCATTTCCTGTGATCCTGTGGGCTTAGTCAACCTATGACACCAAGATAACTAGTGAAGCCCTGGTATGGTGGCTCCCACTTGTAATCCCAGCACTCTGGGGGGCCGAGGCAGGAGGATGGCTTGAGCCCAGGAGTTCCACACCAGCCTGGGCAGCAGTGAACCATCTAACAAAAAAAAAAGCTGGGCATGGTGGTGCATGCCTGTAGTCCCAGCTGCTGGGGTAGAGGGGGGTGGTGGTTGTTGGGGGTAGGGGGGTGGGGATTGGATGGGAGGATTGCCTGAGCCTGGGAGGTAGAGGCTGCAATGAGCCCTGACCCTACCCCTGCACCCCAGCCTGGGTGACAGAGCAAGACCTTGTCTTTTTTTTTCTTTTTTCTTGAGATGGAGTCTTGCTATGTTGCCCAGGTTGGAGCACATTGGCGCGATCTTGGCTCGCTACAACCTCTGCCTCCCGGGTTCAAGGAATTCTGCCTCAGCTTCCCAAGTAGCTGGGATTACAGGCACCCACCATCACGCCGGGCTAATTTTTGTATTTTAGTAGAGATGGGGTTTCACCACGTTGGCCAGGACTGGTCTCAAACTCCTGACCTCAAGTGATCCACCCGTCTCAGCCTCCCAAAAAGTTCTGGGACTACAAGCATGAGCCACCGTGCCCGGCCCAAGCCCAAGACCTTGTCTTTAAAAAAAAAAAAGGATAACTAGGCGGGATTGCTACCTTATGGTCCCATTCTAAAACAATCTGTACCATCTACTACCTCATACTTTTAAGTTCACAATGCAAGTCTCAAAGCTACCCTGAAAACAATAATTCCTTTTGCCATGTTTTCAGGAATTCTAGGAACTAGTATTATTCCCAACATTCCTTCTATTTTAGCATGCTTTTCTGACTATAATACACTGTTGGGGGGAAAAATTAACTCTAAAACTCTTGACAGTATATAAGTAACTTGCTTTTCTCCCATTCTAGAAAGCCTATTGTATGCAAGAAAGCCTATTGTATGCAAGGGAAGAAGCTACATTCTAGCATTCATTTTCTTTCTAATAGAGCCAGGATCTTGCTTTGTCACCCAGGCTGGAATGCAGTGGTGTGATCATGGCTCACTACAGCCTTAGACTCCTGAGCTCAAGTGATCCTCCCACCTTAGCCTCCCAAGTAGCTAGGACTATAGGCAAGAGTCACCATACCTGAGTCTAGCATTCATTTTTTTTCTCTTTTTTTTTGAAACAGTCTCACTCTGTCACCTAGGCTAGAGTGCAGTGGTGCGATCTTGGCTCACTGCAACCTCTGCTTCCCAGGTTCAAGTAATTCTCCTGCCTCAGCCTCCCAAGTAGCTGGGACTACTACTTGGCATGTTTCACCCTGCCTGGCTAATTTTTGTATTTTTGGTAGAGACAAGGTTTCGTCATGTTGGCCAGGCTGGTCTTGAACTCCTGACCTCAGATGATCTGCCTGCCTTGGCCTCCCAAAGTGCTGGGATTACAGGCATGAGCCACTGTGCCGGGCCAAGCATTAATTTCCAGTTGCTTCTGTTTTATTAGTACTTACTTACAGCAATTTATTTGGGTAGCAAAGTTGAAAACCTCCAGCCCATCCCTCAGTCTTGGTCAGGAAAATATTCTAGACAACAGGCTCAAACAGTCTGATTTAATTAGGAAGTTAAATAAGTTGAGGTGGGGTGGAGTGGGATCATCAGAAGGCTGACATGGGACCGCTGGAGTTGGCAATCATAGCAGTGTGAGGTTGGCAAGGGGAGCAACCCCCTTCAAGACAAGGCACAAACTATTTGGCAAGGAGAGATGAGGGGTGGGACCTCACTGTCAATGGACATGCTCAGGGAGGCCAGTGGGTTACATGCAACAGGAGGATCATTCAGGCAACTTCAGCTATGAGGCTGGGCATCTGTGAGGGCTGAAGGCTCAGGCTGTTCTCAAAGGCTTGTGATTCACCTGGCAAAAAGACAACAGTAGATGACACTTGGGAACATTCGGGAGGCTGAGGCCCCTACTCTCCCGGGCCCCAGTTTAGACGAATGGGCTATAGGCAGAACACACACGGCCAGGGTTCTTTCTGGTGCCCTACCACCTGTTTCCCCAAACAAAGACATCAGGACCCACATACAATAAATCACTGAAGAGAGGAGAGGGGGCAGAGCCTTGTTTGCACACTCTCCTTAGCTCTGAATATTCTACTGCAGGCCTCCAGGAGGCTCCAAGGAACCCAGCTTGAAGGTCATTGGTATGATCCAGTGCTTTTATTTACATACGCTTTTTTTTTTTCTTTTTTTTTTTGAGACGGAATCTCACTCTATCACCCAGGCTAGAATGCAGTGGTGCGATCTTGGCTTACTGCAGCCTCCGCCTCCTGAGTTCAAGTGATTCTCCTGCCTCAGCCTCCCGAGTAGCTGGGATTACAGGTATGCGCCACCATACCCAGCTAATTTTTGTATTTTTGGTAGAGATGGGGTATCACCATGTTGGCCAGGGTGATCTCAAACTTCTGACCTCAGCTGATCGTCCACCCTGGCCTCCCAAAGTTCTGGGATTACAAGTGTGAGCCACAGCACCCAGCCCGAATATGCATTTCTTTCTCTTTTTTTTTTTTGAGACAGAGTCTTGCTCTGTTGCCTAGGATGGAGTGCAGTGGTGCTATCTCGGCTCACTGCAAGCTCTGCCTCCCAGGTTCACACCATTCTCCTGCCTCAGCCTCCCCAGCAGCTGGGACTACAGGCACACACCGCCACGCCCGGCTGTTTTGTATTTTTAGTAGAGACGGGGTTTCACTGTGTTGGCCAGGATGGTCTCAATCTCCTGACCTCGTGATCCGCCCGCCTCAGCCTCCCAAAGTGCTGGGATTACAGGCATGAGCTACCGCGCCTGGAATTTTTTTTTTTTTTTGAGATAGAGTCTTATTCTGTCACCCAGGCTGGAGTGCAGTGGTGTGATCTCAGCTCACTGCAACCTTCGGCTCCTGGGTTCCAGCAATTCTCCTGCCTCAGCTTCCCGAGTAGCTGAGATTACAGGCATGCACCACCAAGCCTGGCTAATTTTTTTTTGTATTTTTAGTAAAGATGGTGTTTCACCATGTTGGCCAGGCTGGTCTCCAACTCCTAACCTCAGGTGATCTGCCTGCCTCAGCCTCCCAAAGTGCTGGGATTACAGGCGTAAGCCACTGCACCTGGCCCCATTTCTTTAACATACACATAATGCTTACTATATACCAGGCACTATTCTAAACACTGCAAATATTTGCTCGAGCCCCTCAACAATTCAACAGGGTAGTTTCTAATTATTAACCCAATTTTAAGATGAGGAAACAGGTATAGAGAGGTTGATTACTTGTCCAAGATTACAGCTAGCAGGCATTGTAGCTAGGATTCGCAACAAAACAGTGGTTCCAGAGCCTGTTTGCTGACTTCTACCATGATCTACAGGTGAATTAACTGGGGCGCTGAGAAAAGCAGTGATATGCCCTAGAATTAATTAACTGTCAATAGGCTGCAACTAGTTCCCTATACTAGTGGGGTGACCACAAGCACAGGTTGCAGAGACAGTCGACCTGGATTTCACTCCAGCTGCACTAGCAGAATGAGTAGGAACATGCTGGATGTTGAGTTTCTGGACTTTGTAAAATCCTATATACCCTAATGGTAGTTTGATTTAAAACAACTCATTTATGTAGAAGCTTAGCACTGTGTCTGGCACACAGAAAGTGATTAATAAACATCAATGACTCCCAGGCCTGGATGCTGGTTAAATGCTAGGCATACTGTGTCACACAACACAGGAACCTAGCAATTCTCCTCAGCTCCAACCTGAGACCTCACCTGGGAGATGCTCACGCCTGTGAGTCTTTCCACACTCTCTGGCAGGCGAGTTAGAATGTCCAGTACTTCCCCAGTCACTTTGGCTGCCCCCATGGTCCCACTGCCGCTGGACACCAGTGTGATCTTATTGGCTGAAGTCAAGGGACCACTGATCTCCTCTGCCACCTGGCAGGAGAGAGACACCCACTCAGTGCCCATGATCTGACCACATTCCTCATAAAACAACTTACTCTGGGTTTTAAGGTCCTCGTTCCACTGATCATCCTTCCTCACTTTGGTCACTAATAATTCCCACCCCTAATTTAGAGTCCCCCTAGGCTGTTTCTCCCTAAGCCCCTCACTACACCCCACCCCTTAGTCCCTGGTTCTATTTCCTCCTTTCTTGGTGCCCACATGACCTCCAGACCTGGGGCAGCTTCTCTAGCAGCATGTCCAGCTGAGCAGCCTCTTGGTACAGCTGGAAGGCTTCTGCCTTCTTGGCCATCTGCTCAGCCTCGGCTCGGGCTCGGGCCCCTATGGCAAAGGCCTCAGCTTCCCCACGCATCTGAGGGTTAAGGATGCTTGTGAGATTGACGGAAATCATTAAGAACAAGAAATCCCCGATCAAGCAGCAACCCCCACCCTCTCCACAAGCCAGCATGGAACTGCCTCTTAACTCACCCGCACAGACGCGGCTTCTGCCTCCGCCTGCATAATTAGTTGGGACCTGTGGACAGAAGGGAAGTGGAGGGTGGAGCCCAGCAGCCCTTACTCCCAGGAGAAAGGCCCAGTGCTGCAGAGGCAGACGCTCCTGAAACCTGAAATCCATAGGAGTCCAGGTGGTGAAGGCTTCAGCACTCCATCTTGGGGTGCCTAGGTGGCAAGTGAGCTAGGCAGGGTCAGGGAGGGGACATTTACTTCTCTGCCTCGGCTAGGCGCTCCAGCTTGTAGCGCTCCGCTTCCGCTGGCTTCCGCACCCGGGCCTCCAGCTCCTTCTCCCGCCGGGCGATCTCCTGCTCCTGCACTGCCACCTGCTGGGCCCGCTCCACCACCTGCACCTGCACCCGCTGCTCCTCAATCTGCTGCTTAGTCTTGGCCACCTGGGTAGGAGGGTGAAGTCAGGTTCACGCTCTGAGTCAGAGGTGAAGAGCAAGTGCCCGGGAACCAGAGCTCCAGAGTGGGATATAAAAATAGGAGCCGGTGGCCGGGCGCGGTGGCTCACGCCTGTAATCCTAGCGCTTTGGGAGGCCAAGGAGGGTGGATTGCCTGAGTTCAGGAGCTCGAGACCAGCCTGGCCAACATGGTGAAACCCTGTCTCTACTAAAATACAAAAAATTAGCCAGGTGTGGTGGCGAATGCCTGTAGTCCCAGCCACCCGGGAGGCTGAGGCAGGAGAATTGCTTGAACCTGGGAGGCGAAGGTTGCAGTGAGCTGGGATCACGCCACTGCACTCCACCCTGGGCAACAGAGTAAGACTCCATCTCCAAAAAAAAAAAAAAAAAAAAAGGAGCAGGTGCATGAAGGTGGGTTCCCTCCTGTCTGCTTGGCCAGTCCAGTGGAGTCCAGTGTTTCTCTGATGAGCCCCCGTTTAATCTATTTTTCCCACGTGTGCCCCCTTCTAGAGTATAAATACCTTGAGGGCACTGAGCACATGTTGGCTTTCTGCTATCTCCAGTCTTGCTCAAATCCCCCCACTGTTGCTGCGATAACCTTAGTGCTAGCCTAGGCTACTGCAATAGCTGACTTATTTTTTGTGGGGGTGGGGACAGGTGATCTTTTTTGTCTTTTGCACATGGTGCAGATTTAACAGAAAAAAAAGTGAACCACGAGGCTTCTTCCTCATTCTCCAAACCACCTGGGTCCCTTTCCCAGAGAAACCACCAAGACCAGCTTCTTGTGTATCCTTCCAGGGATACTCTGAACATCTACAAGAATGTGTGTATTCATAGAATTCCTCTTATTTAGGCAGATTTCTTTCTTTTTTTTTGAGGCAGTTTCGCTCTATTGCCCAGGCTGGAGTGCAGTGGCACGATCAGCTCAGTGCAACCTTCACCTCCCAGGTTCAAGCTAATCTCTTGCCTCAGCCTCTCAAGTAGCTGGGACTACAGGCATGTGCTACCATGTCTGGCTAATTTTTGTATTTTTTTTAGTAGAGACGGGGTTTCACCATGTTGGCCAGGCTGGTCTCAAACTCCTGATCTCAAGTGATCCATCCGCCTCAGTTTCCCAAAGTGCTGGGATTACAGGCATGAGCCATCGCACCCAGCCTAGATTTCATCTTCTTATTCCTTGCAGTGTGAGGGAATCAGAAGGCTCTTATCAAGATGCTAGTGAGGAGAGGTGCCAGGCAAGGAACACATTTTTTTTTTCTTTTTGAGACATCATCTTACTCTGTCACCCAGGTTCAATGGCGTAATCATGGCTCACTGCAGCCTTGACCTGCCTGGGCTCAGATGATCCTCCCGCCTCCCCCTCTAGAGTAGCTGGGACTACAGGTGTGAACCAGCACACCCGGCTATTTTTTGTACTTTTTGTAGAGACAGGGTTTTCTATGTTGCCCAGGCTGATCTCAAACTCCTGGGCTCACGTGATCCACCTGCCTCGGCTTCCCAAAGTGTTGGGGTTACAGGCATGTGCCATCACACCCAGCCAGAACACATGCCTTCGTTGTCCCATTGCTCAGGCTCAGCCATGCACCATCATCATTGTAGGTCTCATCAATACATGTGATGCTTCCCCTGCCTCCTACCTTCCCCCGGGCCCATCTGTTCACTCCAGAGAGAAGCATAGCTCTGGAGACGGCACTCTGTACTGTCTTTCACCCTAAATTTTCAAACCCGTTCCAAACTGGCCTCGTTGCCCTCTACACCGGTGTGCAGGATCACCTCTCTCCTGTGTCCCTTAGGCAACCAT
The DNA here is from genome assembly GCF_000001405.40 of Homo sapiens. NCBI lineage: Eukaryota > Metazoa > Chordata > Mammalia > Primates > Hominidae > Homo > Homo sapiens. The sequence goes on from NT_167248.2 coordinate 1,988,028, forward strand.
TTGTCTGTTTCTTTTTCCTTCCTGTCTATGCCCACCTTTTGGTGAAACTCAACCTCCAGAAGCTTCCTCAGAAAGAATATAAAGACAATATTTTTTCTGAGGTCTTGCTTTCTCTGAGATTTTTATTCTACCTTTTTTTGAGATGGAATTTCGCTCTTGGCACCCAGGCTGGAGTGCAGTGACGCAGTCTTGGCTCACTGCAATCTCCATCTCCCAGGTTCAAGCAATTCTCCTGCCTCAGCCTCCCATGTATCTGGGATTATAGGTGCCTGCCACCACGCTCAGCTAATTTTTGTGTTTTTAATAGAGATGGGGTTCCACCACATTGGCCAGGCTGGTCTTGAACTCCTTATCTCAGGTGATCCACCTGCTTCGGCTTCCCAAAGTGCTGGGATTACAGGCGTTAGCCACTGCACCCGGCCTCTACCCTTCTATTTTAATACCAGTTAGGCTGAAAGCAGGCTGCTATGTTGGGATTAACTTTCCATCAGAATTCTGAAGGCATTCCTCCATGGTTTTCTAGCTTTTTAAGAAATCTGGGCTTGGGCCAGTCATGGTGGCTCATGCCTGTCATCCCAGCACTTTGGGAGGCTGAGGTGGGCAGATCACCTGAGGTCAGGAGTTCATGACCAGCCTGGTCAACGTGGTGAAACCCCGTCTCTACTAAAAATACAAAAATTAGCCAGCAATGGTGGCACATACCTGTAGTCCCAGCTACTTGGGAAGCTGAGGTAGGAGAATCGCTTGAACCCAGGAGGCAGAGGTTGCAGTAGCTGAGATCACGCCATTGCACTCCAGCCTGGGTGACAAGAGCAAAAATCCATCTCAAAAAAAAAAAAAAAAAAAAAAGAAAGCTGGGCTTGATGCAGTGGCTCATGCCTATAATCCCAGCACTTTGGGAGGCTAAGGTGGGAGGATAACTTGAACCCAGGAGTTCAAGACCAGCCTGTGCAATATGGCAAGATCTCACCTCTAGAAAAAAATTTAAAAATTAGCTGGGCGTGGTGGTGTGCCCCTGTGGTCCCAACTACTGGGGAGGCTGAGGTGGGAGAATCACTTGAGCCTGGGAGGTTGAGGTTACAGTGAGCCTTGTTTATGCCACTGTATTGGACAACAGAGCAAGACCCTGTCTCTGAAAAAAAAAAAAAAAAAAAAAAAAAAAGGAATCTGAAGTCATTTTGAAGCCTGCCTCTTTGAGATCTCTCTCTCTCTAGAAGCTTTCATATTTTTTGTCCTCAGCATTCTTAAGTTTCACAGTGTTATGTTTCAATGTATATATTTTTCATTCATTGCATTGGGCACTTAGTAGACCATTTCAATCTAAAACCTCATTTTTATATAATTTTTCTCAGAATGTTTCTGCTCCCAATAAGTCATGCCACATTTGCATGTGCTTGACTTTTTTTTTTTTTTTTGGAGATGGAGTCTCGCTCTGTCACCCAGGCTGGAGTGCAGTGGCATGATCTCATCTCACTGCAACCTCTGCCTCCCAGGTTCAAGTGATTCTCCTGCCTCAGCCTCCCGAGTAGCTGGGACTGCAGGCGCGTACCACCACGCCTGGCTAATTTTTTGTATTTTTATAGAGTTGGGGTTTCACCGTGTTAGCCAGGATGGTCTCGATCTCCTGACCTCGTGAGCCACCCACCTTGGCCTCCCAAAGTGCTGGGATTACAGGCATGAGCCAACACCCCTGGCCCTGCTTGACTCTTATTAGTCCCTTTCCCTTACTTCCCTGCTTCTTTCTGTGGGGTTTTATTTTTCCCCTTTGTCAGCTCTTGCCAGGTTACCAAGCATACCCTGTCCCTGGCTTTCTTGGTTGCTCCCAAATCTGTGATGGCTTGCTCTGTTGCCCAGGCTGGAATGAAATGGCACGATCTCAGCTCACTGCAACCTCTGCCTCCCGGATTCAAGTGATTCTCCTGCCTCAGCCTCCTGAGTAGCTGGGATTACAGTCACCATTTCAGCTAATTTTTGTGTTTTTAGTAGAGACGGGGTTTCACCATGTTGGCCAGGCTGGTTTCAAACTCCTTTGTCATCTGCTCAGAGGGAAGAAGGTCTCAACACTGAAAGGAAGCTCTGAGTATGTGGGTGAGGCTTGCTGACTTTGAGCTTCACCCTACGGTGATCTGGATAGGCCATGTACGGAGAAACATCTGATTCAGGATTTTAAGTTATTTCTTTTTGGATTGGTCATGTTCCCCAGAGCAGTCTTCTGATCTCTTTTTTGGAAGATGGAAGTTCTGGGAGCTGAGTGGGGTTGAGGGGGTTGGGGTTGGGGTTGGCTCTCAGTATTTAGCATTCATGAAAGTTATAGTCATTTCATGCCCCTGTTACTGGTAAACTATCTAGGTCCTCACCTGTGCTGGGCCAGCCCCCATCACATCCTCTAGTCTACTCTCTTCAGATAATAGACTTCCAATGGCAGGTATGGTAACTCACACCTGTAATCCCAGCACATTGTGAGGCTGAGGTGGATGGATCACTTGAGGCTAGCAGTTCGAGACCAGCCTGGCCGACATGGTGAAACCCCTCTCTACTAAAAAAAAAAAAAAAAATACAAAAATTACCTGGGCGTGGTGGTGGGCACTTGTAATCCCAGTTGAGGATTACTTGGGAGGGTGAGGCACGAGAATCATTTGAACCCAGGAGGCAGAGGTTGCAGTGAGCCGAGACTGCGCCACTGCACCTGCACTCCAGCCTGGACAACAGAGTGAGAGACCCTGTCTCAAAAAAAACATAAATAAAATAGATAAATAAGATAATAAACCTCCAGATGTCTGTTGGAGCAGGGCAGGAACCATTACCCAGAGGCAGTGAGGGGCTCTGAGAAGGTGCTTTTCACATGTTCCTCTTATTTAACCAGTCTACCACAGCTGGAGAAGCACTGGGTGCTGCCAGCTCCTGAGCCTCAGATCATTTCATTGTTTTCCCTTTTGCAGGTTTCAAGCTCAGCTGTGTCATACCTGCTTAGTCAATTACTACTGACTTCCAGTTTCCAAAATGATGCTCTGGTTTCCGTTCCTATTTTCTCCATCTTTTTTTTTTTTAAAGCCTAGTCAGCTGGGCATGGTGGCTCACGCCTGTAATCCTAGCATTTTGGGAGGCTGAGGCGGGAAGGATCCTTTGAGCCCAGGAGTTTGAGACCAGCCTGGGCAACATGGTGAAATTCCGTCTCTACAAAACATACAAAAATTAGCCAGGCGTGGTGGCATATGTTTGTAGACCAAGCTACTCAGGAAGCTGAGGTGGGAGTATTGCTTGAGCCCAGGCAGTTGAAGCTGTAGTGAGCTGAGATTGTACCGCTGCACTCTAGCCTGGGGGACCGAGTAAGACCCGGTCTCAAAGAGGAGAGGAGAGAAGAAAGAAGAGAAGAGAAGGAAAGAAAGGAAGAAAGAAAGACTAATCAAGTGCAATAGTGAGAAGTAGGTAAAGAGTAGAACAAGGAGTTCAATCTGTAACTGACTGAACAATCAATTGAGATAACTCACTACCTTTGGACAAGCCTCTATCTTTACCTTAAAAAAAATCATTTTAGATCGCGCCACTGCACTCCAGCCTGGGCGACAGAGCGAGACTCCATCTCAAAAAAAAAAAAAAATCATTTTGGCTTTAGTGAGGTTTTAGGAGAGAGTAAAATTAGCTACATTTGTTTAATCCATCATCTCTGAAAAAGAGCCCAACTCATCTTTTGCTTTTTTTTTTGAGACAGAGTCTCACTCTGTCATCCAGGCTGGAGTGCAGTGGCGCGATCTCGGCTCACTGCAAGCTCCGCCTCCCGGGTTTATGCCATTCTTCTGCCTCAGCCTCCCGAGTAGCTGGGACTACAGGTGCCTGCCACCACGCCCAGCTAATTTTTTGTATTTTTAGTAGAGACGGGGTTTCACCATGTTAGCCAGGATGGTCTCGATCTCCTGACCTCGTGATCTGCCCACCTCGGCCTCCCAAAGTGTTGGGATTACAGGTGTGAACCACCGCACCCGGCCTTGCTTCCTCTCTTTGCCCGTTCTCCACAAGGCAACCAGACTGATCCCTATACAAATATAAATAAGACCATGGCACCTTTCTGCTTGAAGTTCTCCAATAGCTTTCCACTGTGCTTTCAGTTCTCTTCTGTGTCTCCATCGTGACCACACAAACCCTTTGTGATCTGGCCCTGCCTGCCTTTCCTCCTCACTCACAGCACACCAGCGCCCCCAGATCAGAAACCTCCTTTCTGACTCCACCTCACAGCCTTTGCACTTACTGGTCCCCTGCCTAGCCACAAGCCACGTATGACTGACTGACTGACTGACTGTCTGTCGTCCGTCCGTCCGTCCGTCCGTCCATCCGTCCATCCGTCCATCCATCCATCCATATATCTATCTTAGAAGGAGTCTCGCTCTGTCGCCCAGGCTGGAGTGCGGTGGCGCAATCTCGGCTCACTGTGCCTTCTGGATTCAAGCGATTCTCACGCCTCAGCCTCCCAAGTAGCTGGAACTGCAGGCTCAAACCACCACACCCGGCTAATATTTTTTGTATTTTTGGTAGAGACAGGGTTTCACTGTTGGCCAGACTGGTCTCAAACTCCCGGCCTCAAGTGATCTTCCTGTCTCAGCCTCTCAAAGTGTTGGGATTACAGGCATGAACCACCGCGCCCAGCCACTTTTTAAGTATGACTACTTAAAAAGCACAGGCTAGAATATTCTTGGCTCAGAACTGTACATTGTTCCTTCTTATCTCCAAGTCTGATCTCAAACACCACTTCCTCATAGAAACTTTCTCTACCACCCGCTAACCTAATATACTAACTCCCCTCCCACAGTTTTTCACATCACCCTGTTTATTTCCTTCACAGCACCTAAACAAGAATTATAGCCTGGGAAGGTCATTTACTTGCTTACTAGCTGTTTCCTGTGTCATAATGTAAGCTGCATAAGGGCAGGAATCTTTTCTGCCTCACCTCCATATTTATAGCCTCACCTCCAAAATGGTGTCTAGCACATAGAAGGCACTTAACAGATATTTGTTGAATAAATCCTTCTTTCCTGAACACCTAGCACACTGCCTGGTGCATAACGAGAAACTGATAAAAGTTGAAAAGAGTCCAACCAGTCCAATCCCTTAATCTGCAGACAAGTAAGGTCATGTTTAGAAGGTTAAGAACCTTATCCATAGCTTCACTGCAAGCTAGCAGTTTCCATCATGGTAACCCTTTTCAAACTCAAACTCCAATGTGCATACAAATCACCTAGGAATTCACCTTGAGATTTTGTTAAAATGCAGGTTCTGATTCAGCTGGTCAGGGCCAGGGCCTGCAATTTTGTATTTCTAACAAGCTTCGCAGTGATGCTGCAGCTGCTGCTGGGTAGAACACAGTTTGAGTTGCAAAGCTGTATGCCATGTTCAACCTGTCAAGTCACCCAGGAATTTAACATAATAACAAAAGATGTTTTTACCTTCATTATGCTTTCAGCCTGTACCAACTCTTGGCAAAAACAAAATGCATAATATTGCTATCCTTTGGGTAAAGGTCTCAAAGTACAGTTGATTTTCATTGTTCTTGGTAGTTCTGTTCTATAAAGTAGCCATGAATGCTGAATTAGTTAATACCTAATTTGTTCCTAGAAGAAATACAGGCTAGGTTCCCGTGAGCCTCTGGTCAAAACATTTTCATCAACTGATCAACATAGAGCCTTGCTTTATATGTGTTTCTGTTTAAAGACACCTTATGTAAAATATATTGTTGATTCATTAACACTGAACTCACAGCTAACAGCAGTATAACTTATGCATGAACGAAGCTTACCTAACACATGTATTTCTCCCATAAGGCACATCATAGCCCGCTTGCACTAAAGGACACTAGACAGCACTACAGCACTGATGCTTGGGGGCCATTTTAAAGAGTGAATTCACCAATAAAAAGCACAAAAATGCAAAAAACACGGCAGTAAATATACTGTGAAAATAACACGGCTTACGGTATGAGAGCTGAAACAAGGCAGCAGAGCATCTCCTTGATCAACCTCACCTGGGTACTGTGCGTGTCTGCAAAAGATCCTGAAAGTGCTGCGACTTTATTGGTAACCTTTTGAGGTTACCAATACATTTTAGTGAATAGGCAAATTCTCAGATACGAATAATGAAGAATGAAGATCAACTATACTTCCTGGCAATATCAAGGGCTGCCCATATCTCACTTTGCAGGATTCAATGTCCAAGTCCATGTTTTCCTTCTTCATACCCTTTTTTAATTAACCAGGGCTGCCGCTAGCCCATAGCATGCCTCTGTGCAAATCAGAAATTCCTCTGTGTAGATGCAGACCCATGTCAGAATGCACTGCTTGATTAGAGGGGCATGGGCCGGATCTGAGCTCGGATCCACTTTCTCAGTCAGATGCCTTTGCACGGGCACAGCCTGCTCCAAACATATGATCAGCCTTATTGATCATATCCCTTCTTGGCCTTCTCTTTTTTTTTTTTCTTTTTTTGAGATGGAGTCTCACTCTGTCACCCAGGCTGGAGTGCAATGGCGTGGTCTCAGCTCACTGCAACCTCTGTCTCCCGGGTTCAAGCAATTCTCCGGCCTCAGCCTCCCAAGTAGCTGGGACTACAGGTGCGTGCCACCATACCTGGCTAATTTTTGTATTTTTAGTAGAAACAGGGTTTCACTATGTTGGCCAGGCTAGTCTCGAACTCTTGACCTTGTGATCCACCTGCCTTGGCCTACCAAAGTGCTGGGATTACAGGCATGAGCCACCGCGCGTGGCCTTTTTTTTCTCTTTTTTGGACAGGATTTCACTGTCACCCAGGCTGGAGTGCAGTAGTGTGATCTCGACTCACTGCAACCTGCGCATCCTGGCTCAAGCAATCCTCCTGCCTCATACCCCAAGTAGCTGTGACTACAGGCCCGAGCTGCCATGCCCGGCTAATGTTTGTATTTTTCGCATAGACACGGTTTCACCATGTTGCCCAGGCTGGCCTTGAACTCCTGAGGTCAAGCAATCAGCCCGCCTTGGCCTCCCAAAGTGCTGGGATTACAGGCATGAGTCACCACACCCGGCTGGCCTTTTCTTTAAAGCTTTTCAGCTGTAACGTCTGAGTCTTTTAAATCTCTCCTCATATGGGGGAGTTGGTCCAGAGATGGAGAGCCAGAATAAGACCAAAGTTAAAGTATGAGAAATAGTGTAGTGGTGTCCTGAGATGGACAGCCTGAGAGGAATGGGGAAGGGGCAGAGAGTGGCCTGGCAGTGGCTCTGACCTGAAGCTGATAGGCCAGGTCAGCCTGTGCTCGGCGGGTGTTGACCTCGATGTCATAGGCGGCCTTCTTCAGTTCGTAATCTCTCTGTGCCTTGGCCATCTCGATCTCACTCAGGTACTGAGCAGACACCTTTTCCTGCTTGGCTTTAGCTTCCTGTCCAAGCAGAGATCAGGTAGGAAATGTCAGGGCAGGGGGAGAAAGGCCACGGTGACAGCCTGCTTCCCACCAAGGTTCTCTTTCTGCCTCATGTATTTTCCCTGCTCACCCAGCACCCCTGCTTCTTCTCAGTTGTGCCACTTCTATCCCCTTTCCCACTAAGCAACCCCCATCTCTCTCACCCGGATCCCAGCATCTCTCTTGGCCTCTGCTTCTCCAATCCGTGCATCTTTTTGGACTTGAGCTGTTCGAGCCTTCCCCAAAGAGTGCAAATAGTCCTGTGGGAGAGATGTAGAAATTAGTCCTTTGGAGGGCTTAAGAGATGGGAGCAAGGAAGTGGGGAAGGATCAATTGCCTAGTTTTACCTGGTCATCGTGAATGTCCTTCAGAGTGTAGCTAACCACACTGATGCCCATGTTGACCAGGTCTGAGGAGGCCACTTTGAAAACCTGTTCTGAGAATTTCTGCCTGTCCTTATAGATCTCCTGTGATAACAGGATGGTGGGGAGAAGGGATGTAAGTTTTTTTTTTTTTTTTTTTTTTGCTCACTGCAACCTCTGCCTCCTGGGTTCAAGTGATTCTCCTGCCTCAGCCTCCCAAGTAGCTGGGATTACCGACACCCATCACCATACCCAGCTAATTTTTGTATTTGTAGTAGAGAAGGGGTTTCACCAGGTTGGCTAGGCTGGTCTCGAACTCCTGACCTCAAGTGATCTGCCCACCTTGGCATCCCAAAGTGCTGGGATTACAGGCATGAACCACCCTGCCCGGCCGGGATGTATGCTCTTGGATCCACTGTCTCTCACAGACTAGTGTGGGCCTTGGGCCCCCCTCATTTTGACATCCTTCCAGATGGTTCCCTGCCCCTAGGCCAACCTCCACAGTCATGTGGGCCATGATGGCCCTCTGGTGGCCCTCTAACGTCTCCAGGGCAATGTGGGCAATCTCAGCCTCCGTCTTCCCCAGGAACATCTGACAGGCGGCCGCCAACATCTCCTTGTTCTGCCCCTGGATTTTTACCTGTAGCCAGAGTAGGGGTAGGAAAGGTGTGGTGGGGGTCTCATGAAGTCAGAGAAAAAGCAGAGAGAGAAGGGAGAGCCCTCTAAGAAATGCTTCTTCCATTTCAGGGAAAGAAAGGAGGAGGAGGCAAGTGCCTTGGGGTGCCTGGAAAAGATGAGACTAGCAGAGGAACTTCTCTGCAGGCAAGGGTTGAGAAGACTGTGGCCAGAAGATGTCTTAATGTCTGGGAGAGAGGGTGATGGGGAAGTGGACTGTGGGGAAAAGGCTCTGAAAGCTTCACCTGGGCAATGCCAGTGACTGAGATGGGGACCCCATGGCGAGTGTAAACCTTTTCACTCTTGACATTGAGGGTCAGTGTGTTGAGAGAGATCCTAGGGGAAAAAGAAGGGACAGACAGTAAGAAGAGGAGGAAAAAGAGAAAACGGAGGTCCCCCTTCCCTGGTTCCCTTCTTGCCTACCTCTGGATCTGTTGGATGCAGGGCAGGACAAAGACACGCCCTCCAGCCACCATGACTGGGGGGCTTCGGCAGAACCCTGCAAGGTGTGGGGCAGTGAGGAACGGTGGCAGAGCTTGAATGTGGAAGACTGAGGAACTGGCGGGGGTGAGGGGACAGCAACCCACAGGAGAGAATCTGGGAGCTGGAGGGGAAGCAGTCTGGGCCTTGGAATGGTGGGAATCAAACTGGGCAGTTCGTGGCCATCAAGGGGCAGAAGTCTGGTGCTGGGAAGTTGGTAGGGAGAGGGAGAAGGGGCAGAGGCCAGACTCACAGGGGTTCTGGGGTCACTGGCTGGGAAGGGAACAACAGTACTTACCGGAGACCACCATGGCCTCATTTGGGCCACAAGTGAAAAACATGGTTCAGGCTGGAGCTGGAGGAGAGGGAGGGAAAGCCTTTGCGGATGGGGAAGGCGCGCTGTGGCGTCCACAGGGGCCCATCCTTTCCCTTTCCCGTCAGGCCCTCCCAGTCTGCATCCGCCACGGCCCGTCCCTTCTACACCCATGGGTCCGCTAAGGCTTTTCCCTACAAAATCCTTAAGATCCCCAGCTACCTCTTCTCCGCCTGCGTATGGTCCCTCCCTTCCCCTCGCCGCTCCCTTTGATAAAGGTCCCCCGCGCCCAGAGGCCTGCAGACCTTTCCCCTCTCTCCCTGCTTCTCGGCAGCCCCAGGCTCCATCTCCCCTCCCCCACTCACCTTCCGGGACGCGGGCGGCAGCCCGGCTGGGGTCTCGGGAAGGGCGGGGTCGCGCAGGGACCTGGGAGCCGGGCAGGGGCCGCTCGCAGACCAGCTTTCCTGGGAGCTGGCCCCGCTCCCGCGTTCCCCACCCTGCCGCACCCCGTTGCTGCGGCAGACGCGACCCCGCCCCCCGCAACGGACTAAGCACCCCCACTTCGCCCCGCCTCGGCCCAGTGCGCTCGGCCCGCCCCTTTCCCGGCAGGCCCCGCTAGAGTCCGCAGCCCGCCCGCCCGCTGGCTCTCGGGCCCAGCCGGGCTGCCTGGTTAGCCCGGGGAGGGCCACATCCCTGCCGCCCCAGTCACCGCCCTTCTTGAGCCGGGAATCCCGCCCACGCCGCGCCACGCTCCGCCCCCGGGTGAGGGACTTGACCTCCGCCTGGCACCCTGGCGTAAGGGTGATTGCCACATCTCGGATTCGCCGCGGGGCAACTACCTGGGAAAACCGCAGACTGGGCAATGAAAGACTACATCCGGCAACCGGATGCTGGGTTCTGTGACTCCAGGAAAAGGGGCTCCTGGGCCCAGGGAGGTGCGCGGGCTGGGGACTCGGCCACGGCGCCTCCCGCCGGTCCTTGCCATCTGAAGGCCGGGAGGAGTGGGGAGTCGGCGCTTGCAAAGATACACTCAAGACTGCAGACAGTAAATCAATTTTATTTGTGTTCACAGAACATACTAGGCGATCTCGACAGTCGCTCCGTGACAGCCCACCAACCCCCAACCCTCTACCTCGCAGCCACCCTAAAGGCGACTTCAAGAAGATGGAAGGATCTCACGGATCTCATTCCTAATGGTCCGCCGAAGTCTCACACAGTAGACAGACGGAGTTGAGATGCTGGAGGATGCAGTCACCTCCTAAACTTACGACCCACCACCAGACTTCATCCCAGCCGGGACGTCCTCCCCCACCCGAGTCCTCCCCATTTCTTCTCCTACTTTGCCGCAGTTCCAGGTGTCCTGCTTCCACCAGTCCCACAAAGCTCAATAAATACCAAGAGACCTGCATTTACAGCAGAGGGAACATCTCACACCCTTGCATAAGTTAAAATAAATATTACGTACACATCTCCATCACCTAGGAGGACGTACATAAATACATATAAATATTAATTAGGAGCAATAAGAAATAAATTAACGACGCTCTCCTTCCCACCGGGCCTAGCCCCAGCTGGGCTGTGCCTCGGTCTCTATGCGCCTCGGTCTCTGTGCGCCTCGGTCCCGCCTCAAGCACCGGGTGGCGTCTCCGCTGTAGTGTTCTGAGTTCAAGTTGCCTCGGAAGTCCCAGTTGGGGATACGCTCTCGCGCACCAGGTACGCCTGGTGTTTCTTTGTGGTTTTTCGGATTCTTTTTGGGGAGTGCGGGGAGTCACAGTTAGAAGGCGGCCGGGTGTTGCTGGAGGAAAGTGCTGAGGTCCAGAGCGTAGTCCGAGGGCTCCGAAGTCAGATTAAAGGGCTCGAGGACGGGGGACACAGGGGTGGGCGCCAGGGATGCGGCGTTAGGGGCGTCCTCTGGAGGCAGGGGCGCCGGCACACCCTCTTCAGCCATCAGGATCTGGCAGAAGACGATGGTGAGCAGCAGAAAGAGAAGCCTTTTGGCTGGGTTCGGTTCCTCGACTGGCAGCTGGCGCCGGACCTAAGGGGAGACAAAACAGGAGACAGGTCAGGTCGAGGCCTCTGGAGTCGGGTCGTTCCCCAGTGACTCCAGGGCAGCGCACCCCGCGAATGCCCACTTCGGCGATACTCACCACTCGAGGGTAGAGAACCCTGCGGCTGCGCTTTCGGTGCCCGCGAGAGGCGCTGGGGCGCCCGGCAGGGGCCGCTGCGGGCTCCGGGAGAGGGTCGAAGGTGAAGATCTCAGGACCGGAGCCCCGCCGGGGTCCCGGGATGGTGGAGGGGGCCGGGGTCGGGGCCTGCAGGATGGTCATGGTCGGGTGGCAGCTGCGAGAGTGACACATGGTGAGCCGAGCGGAGTGTAAGGCCAAGTGAGGGTCGGCTGCCGGCAGAGGTAATTTATGTGCTCCTGAAAATTGGGCGGGTCCTTCTAACTCCTCCTCCCGCAGCTGGGGAGCGGTTGGCAGCAGCGGGCTGGAAATTCCGACGATTAAACAAAGGGAGTGGGTGGAGACTTGACATGCACAATCCTAGGCGCCCAACTGCACGTTGTGAGTGTGTGAGTCGTGAGTGGGGGTGGGTGAGATCCCGGGCTGCAGGCACATGTCGAGGCATGTGGCACCTGGAGAGGGGCTCACTTTAGCCACAGGATCCCTCACAGGCCTTTTTTTTTTTTTTTTTTTGGAGATGGAGCAGTCTCGTTCGGTCGCCAGGCTGGAATGCAGAGGCGCGATCTCGGCTCACTGCAACCCCTGACTCCCTGGTTCAAGCGATTTTCCTGCCTCAGCTTCCTGAGTAGCTGGGAATACAGGCACGCGCCACCACGCCCAGCTAATTTTTGTATTTTTAGTAGAGACGGGGTTTCACCCTGTTGGCCAGGGTGGTCTCGATTTCCTGACCTCGTGATCTGCCTCGCTCCCTCCGTCCTTCTTCTAGTAGTCTCAAGTTGCTATTGTTGCCATCTTTACGTCCACGAGTTCCCAATGTTTGGTTCCCACTTATAAGTGAGAATGTATGGTATTTGGTTTGCCCGCCTCGGCCTCCCAAAGTGCTGGGATTACAGGCGTGAGCCACCGTGCCCTGCCAAGAGGGCTTTTTATTGGAGATCAGGCCATCCTGCTGCAATACTGACCCAGTTATATGCACGCATTCATGCACTTGTAGGTATCCTTAGAATATAAACTCCCCAAGAAGGAAATTGTTACAGAAATAGTCAAGATTAAGGGAGAAATGAACACACTAGCACACACAGACACAAACCTGCCTGCCTGAGCACACATGAAGACACACACCGCGTAGCCATACAAAAGAACAAAATTATGTGCTTTGCAGCAACATGGATGCGGCTGGTGGCCATTATCCTAAGCGGATTAACTCAGGAACAGAAAACCAAATACCACACATTCTCACTTATAAGTGGGAACCAAACATTGGGAACTCATGGACATAAAGATGGCAACAATAGCAACTTGAGACCAGTAGAAGAAGGACGGAGGGAGTAAGGCAAAGGTTGAAACACTAACTATTGGGTACTATGCTCAGTACCTGGGTGACAGGATCATTCATACCCCAAACCTCAGCATCATGCAGTATACCTAGGTAACAAACCTGCACATATACCCCAGAATTTAAAATAAAAGTTGGGGAGGGAGGGAAGGATAGAAAGATTAAAAAAGTAATACACAATGGTGGGGCATGGTGGCTCTTGCCTGTAATCCTAGCATTTTGGGGGGCTAAGGTGGGAGGATCACTTGAGCTCAGGAGCCTGGGCAACATAGTGAGACCTTGTCACTATAAAATAACAACAACAACAACAACAATACACAATTAAATATTATTCAGCCATAAAAAGAATGCAATCCTGGAAAAAAAGGAAAACATACCACGTACACCTACCAACACACATGTACACAGTAAAGGTGCAAAGACTGTATAGGGACAGTTCAGCAAAACTACTCTCTTAGGAGCGTGCAGAAATATTCACATAAAGGCTGGTGCAGAGGGCCACAAATACAAAGGCAATAGGTTAGCAGCCACCCAGATTTGCCCCTTGCTGTAAGTCAAACAACCAAATTTATGGGACAAACATTCTAAATTGTGAGACATTATACAAATGTTACAGTAATGGTAATTACTCAACTTAAAGCAGATTCACATTTCCATAACTTCCTTACAGACAGCTGCTCATGGACACAGAATTTAACTTTTTTTTTTTGTTTTGAGACAGGATCTGGCTTTGTCGCCCAGGTTGAAGTGCAGTGGCATGATCTCGGCTGACTGCAACCTCTGCCTCTTGGCTCAAGCCATACTCCTACCTCAGCCTCCTGAGTAGCTGGGACCACAGGTGAGCACCACCATGCCTGGCTAATATATATATATATATATATATATATATATATATAAAATTTTTTGTAGAGCCAGGGTTTTGCCATGTTGCCCAGGCTGGTCTTGAACTCCTGAGCTCAACCAATCTGCCTGCCTCGGCCTCCCAAAGTGCTGGCAGCCACCGTGCAGAATTTAACATCTTTTGAGCATTCACCTGTTTCAGGCGCCCTCTGTTGAGGGTACTACTGTTGAGAGTCCTGAGGCTAGTTTCAGTATAAGTGCTGTGCCATGCAGCTGCCTGAGGAAAGCCAGATAAAGCTGATACTCCAGCCATGAGGGCCTTACCCTCCGGCATGAGGAGGGAACCATGGCCAGGAGAGCTCTCTATCTGTCTGTCTCTGTTGCTCTCTCTCTCTCTCTTTTTTTGTTATATTGAGTTTCTGCCTGAAGGAAAGGCAAGCTTTCTTGAAGATCCTAAGAAAGGCCAGGCACGGTGGTTCACACCTGTAATCCCAACACTTTGGCAGGCCGAGGCGGGTGGATCATTTGAGGTCAGGAGTTCGAGACCAGCCTGGTCAACATGGTGAAACCCTGTTTCTACTAAAAATACAAAAATTAGCCAAGCATGGTGGCGCATGTCTGTAATCCCAGCTACTCGGGAGGCTGAGGCAGGAGAATCGCTTGAACTCAGGAGGCAGAGGTTGCAGCAAGCTGAGAGCGTGCCACTGCACTCCAGCCTGGGTGACAGAGTGAGACCCTGTCTCAAAAAAACAAGAACAAAACAAAAAACAAAAACAAAAACAAAAAAACCTAAGAAAACTGAAGACTAAGTGTTAAGGGGGGGACCCAAAAGAGCTAGTGTTCACATCTGTCCAATCAATCAGGGGAGGCTTCATGGAAGAGTGGCACTGAAGGTGACCTTGAACAGTGGGTGGGATATGACAAATTCAGATGTGGAGGATGACTGTAAGAATGGAATTAGCAAAGACCTTGAGCTGGAAAAGTACAGGATGTGTTTGGGGAATCACAAGAAAAACAATCTCAGAGTAAGTTTCCTGTAACGGAGTAGTGGGAAGTAATAATGGCTGGAAAGGAGTGGAATTGGGCAGAGTGGGGAGAGCAGAGCTGCCAGGTCAGGAGCCTGGGTTTCACTCTAGACTGTAGAGCTTGTGGGTTGCTGGATGAGATAAAGGGAGGAAAATTCAAGCAGGAAACTGATTGGGATGAGGAGTGATGCTCTGGACGGGTAGAGACTAAGGCAGTAGACAGGAGGCTATTGGAGGGGCTCAGGTAGATGATAACAAGAGCCTGAGAAGGTGGCCCTAAGAGACATTCCTAGCATAAGATAATCAGAATTGGGCAATGAGATGGATATCATTAGGGGAAGGGAGCATGGGAGAGGGAGAGTTGCCGACAGCAAGAGGATGAAAAGATCTGAGATGACTCCAGAGATTTGAAATACATCTGGCTCAGATCTTTCTACCATCATTTTAAGCCTGGTGCACAAAGTGAATACATATATGATCTCTTCCACTGGAGGCTGTGTCATACACATCTTTGTGTCCTCCAGAGAACCCAGCATGGTACCTTGTAGGCAGCAGTTGCTCAATAATCTTGTTAAATGCCAGGTGAAATGTACAACTGTAAGTGTGCATGTAGTATTCCCACCTTGGCTGGGTCACACCAAGCTTCTGAGATGTGGCTACACTCCTCCAAACCACTCATACAAATGTACAACATCTTTAGAAAAGCTGGGACAATTCTTACACAGACACCAAACAGGAAACACTTTTCTCCCCTCCCACTTAGGAAACACTTAAAAGGATTTTTCAATCAAGAACATGTAGGAACACAAATAAGAGGACAGGCCACAACCGGCTAGAAATACACTACTGCTCTGTGTACAATTCCTGGGCCTACAAGTCACTTTATTTTATACTCACTACTCTTATCTAAATACACAAGATCCCTTCCACATTACACACTTCTTCCTGGCTGGCATAAAACACACCTCCTCTGTAAACAAAGGCGCATTGCTTTCCCACGCCTGTCTTCACACCTGCCATCATTCTTACATTTACACCCAAGCACAGGGAGCCCACCACCCCCAACATCCTTATTCCAAGGCAACTCGCACGCTACACAATGACCAACATAAACCCATGACTACTTACACATGTGGACAGACCCTCACACTCACATAAACATAAATTGGGAGTAGGGGGAGATAGTGATGATGGAAGAAAACTAGTGGGTGGGAGAGAGAGAGAAGCACCAAAGGTTAGGAATGCATTACTTGTTTATGATGGAAAATTTCTCTAGGGCATTAGGCAGAGGAGGGGAAATGAAGGGGATGCCAGGATCTTGTTTTGCCACTACCTCCCACATCTGGAATCTGGGCCTCCAGCTGGGTCTAGTTATCCTCGCTGTCCTCCCGGCACAGAGAGACCTTTCTTTGTGGCAAGACCAGAATGGGACAAAGAGAAGACCTGAGAACCCGGACTGCTCACCATTCCCAACCAATCCCATCCCCATTCCTGCTACCCTCAGAGCCCTAGGGCTCTGCTCCTGCTCCTTCCTGCCACACAGGAAGCTAGGGAAATGTTGGGGGTGAATCATTAAGCCAATAAGGGGGTGGGGGAGTGCAGGCTGGGGAATGAGTTAAGGCCAGAAAGTGCCAGGGGCTGAGACGAGCAACTGGACTGGCTCCCACTGCCCTGATACTGGAGAAACAGGCCCTTAGCCTCCTCCATTTCCAGCTCTCCTCCTCATTTCCTTCCCATCTTCCCCCAGATCACCATGTTCCTTCATTTCCCTCGTTTGACCTTTGCCTTGATCCATCACCACTGCTAGCCTCCTTCTCAGCCCCTTGTTTTTCTTCATGACACATATCACGTTGGGGAATCATTTTATGTATTTGCTTTTTGCTGTTGTTTGTCCCGCCTACTGGAATATAATCTCCACGAGTGTACAGGGCCACATCTGACCTTTTTCTCATTAGATCTCTGTAGTATCTCCAGTACTTGGCTGTCACCTAGTAGGAACTTAATAAATATTCTTAAATCTGTCTCCTCCGAGGAGCTAAACCTCATCTCCAGAGAGGTCTGTTTATCTAGCCATGTTCCTTTAGAGGCCCCCATGTTTGCTCTTCAAAGAGGAGGTTGGGGGCACTCAGGTGTGGCTCAGGTGATCCGCCGCTGAATCAGGAACAATTGTGCAGTGACGACAGCGACAGCAAAGCCCTGGCCCGCGCCCTTTACAATCCCTGACATAGGAGTGAGTCAGGCCTGCTGCCTCACCTGGGTACTGCTGCACTGCTGACCACAGGCCCAGAACGGGGGACGGCAAGAATGGGCACTGGCGGAGGCAGAATGGGCAGGGGAAAGGGAGGCAGAGATTTGGAAATGGGAGCATCTGAGAAAGGAAAGCAGGGTGAAGGGACTGCACCAGGGTCCTGGGGGTAGGGAATGACAAAGTGAAAGCTTTTTAGCTGCACCTGGTATTCAGTAGATCCTCAATAACTACTTGGTGACTTGAGATGGGTTTGAGATAGAAAGGAAACACGGAATAGCAAAAAGAACATATTGTAATCTAGTGGTGTTAGACGAAATTGGGTTTAAGTGCCAGCTCTGCTACTTATTAACTAGGCAATATTGGGCCAGTTACTTAATGTTGCTGAAAATCTGTTTCCTCAATTGATAAATGGGCAAATTGACCTCTAGGTAACTGCAAAGGTTAAGAATATAAATTTACTCCTTCTGGGCACATAGTAGGTGCTTCTTGCATGGAGCAGGGGCATTATTATAATTATGAGAAGAGGGACTGCTTTGGAACAGGGATGGGCAGCAGTGAGCCAACCCAGGAGTAGGGAACTGGAATGAGAAAATAACCTCTAACTGCTAACATCACCAGGAGATACAAGTTCTTTCTCTTTTTACTCTGCCCTCCCTCCCTCTCCATATCAGGCAGGTTTTGTGGCTCTTTATTTTCCAGAGAAGCAAAGACTTCTGCATTCCTAGTTCCTGTTCAACTAATGTGAGTGATTTTATTTTTTTATGTATGTATTTATTTATTTTTTGAGACAAGATCTCACTCTCTCACCCAGGCTGGAGTGCAGTGGCATAAACATGGCTCACTGCAACCTCAACCTCCTGGGCTCAAGTGATCCTCCCACCTCAGCCTCTTGAGTAGCTGGGACTCCAGGAACGTGCCACCATGCCCAGCTAATTTTTATTTATTTTGGTAGAGACAGGGTCTTGCCATGTTGCCCAGGCAGGTCTCAAAATTCTGGGCTCAAGCGATCCTCCCGCCTCAACCTCCCAAAGTGTTGGGATTACAGGCGTGAGCCACAAAGTCTGGCCTTTATTTATTTAAAAAATTTAGTTTGGCTGGGCGTGGTGGCTCACGCCCATAATCCCAGCACTTTGGGAGGTTGAGGTGGGTGGATCACGAGGTCAGGAGTTCGAGACCAGCCTGGCCAACATGGCAAAACCCCGTCTCTACCAAAAATACAAAAATTAGCTGGGCGTGGTGGCGTGTGCCTGTAATCCCAGCTACTCGGGAGGCTGAAGCAGGAGAATTGCCTGAACCAGGGAGGCAGAGGTTGCAGTGAGCTGAGATTGCACCACTGCACTCCAGCCTGGGCGACGAGAGTGAAACTCCGTCTTAAAAAAAAAGAAAGTCTTACTCTGTCGTCCAGGCTGGAGTGCAGTGGCACAATCTCGGCTCACTGCAACCTCTGCCTCCCGGGTTCAGGCGATTCTCCTGCTTCAGCCTCCCGAGTAGCGCATGCCACCATGCCCGGCTAATTTTTGTATTTTTGGTAGAGATAAGGTTTCACCATGTTGGCCAGGCTGGTCTGGAAAACTCCTGACCTCACGTGATCCGCCCCCTCGGCCTCCCAAAGTGCTGGGATTACGGGCGTGAGCCACCACACCCAGCAAAAAAAAAAATTTGTTTTTACTCACCACTATACTGACAAGGAACAGGTGATTTTAAACATCCCCTCCCACCTACATTTTAGCTGGAACAATTCTCCAGAGGCATGGGGGTAGAGTGGGGTGGTGAGTTCTAGGCAGCAAGTTAACAAATGACCCCTAAAGATATTCATCTAGGCTCTAGGAGGCCCAAAATCAGGCCCTGGCAGTTCCCCTGACGCAAAACCATGGCAAGAGTTCCGGGAGCACCAAGGCAAGGTCACAAAAGTGGCACGATGACCCTACCCTGGGATGCAGCTCAGCCTGACCCAGCCCAACTCAACCCAGCTACCCTGGAGGCTGCTATGAGCTGAGCCGGGAGCTGGGAAAGGGCCCAGCATTCCTGTCCTTCTGCCAAAGCCGGCTTCTTAGGACCCCAGTGTTGTGGCTCCTCCTTTGGTCTTGGTTTCTTTCCCACCAGATTATAACTCCACCAGAGTAGGACTTTATCTATCTTGTGTACTGCTCTATTTTCAGTGCCTAGAACTGTGCCTGTCAATCAATACAGGCTGCTGAAAAGGCTAGAAATACAGGATCGTTGATGTCATTACTGTTACAGTGCTGTTCCCGTGGGAAGCAGCCTGCATCTCTCTGTAGACAGCTCCAATGTCAGCCATTGGAGAATTTGATGGAGATTGAAGTCAAAACATAATCATAGGGGAAAAATGCACAACAAATAAAATATTTCCCCTTTTGTCCAGACTTTTCAGACACCCCGTATTTACTGGATGAGTTGATCTACAAAGTGAAAGGCATAAATTAAAGGCTCTCTAATGTTTCTCCTCCTCTGAAACCCCATGATTCAGCAGCGTCTCCCATGTGTGCTCAAAAGTTGGACGTGCCTCCAGCCTACCCTCCAAAGCAGTTGCCATAGGCTCTTTTCTTCCAAGGTTGGGAGGGACAGTTCATTCCCCAAGAGGCCTCTCCAGGGGCGGAGGCGGGTGCTGGGGCTGGCCTGTCTGCAGCTCCCTGGCCCTACCCAGTGGGGATCGCGTGTCAGTACTGGGGTTTGGTGGGCTGCCAAGGGGTGAGCCCTGAGGCGGTTTTCTGGGAAGGATAGATGCCATGTGTGACTCAGAACCAAGTTAGGGAAAAAACAAGCTCACTCAATCTCTAGCACCCTCTGCCTGGCCTGGCTTTGCCCATGAGCTCATAAAAGAGGAAGCTGGGCCGGCCAGACAGTAGCTCTGCTTTCCCTCATGTTTTCTCTCCACGTCTCACGGATTCCCTAGAGTGTCTGGGCCTCAGGCCACCGTCATCCTAGCTCCTGGGCCCTGGCTCTTTTATGACACTTTCCCTTCCCAGACACTTGGTCATTTCTTTCCCCAGGTTGGGAATCCCACCTACCATAGAAGGGGAATTGCACACAAGGGGAGGTTGCAAATCTCTGTGTTCCTTGGCCCTGCTGAGGCCTCCACTGTCAGCCATGACCATTTGGGTTTGTGCGTGTGACTGCTGTGTCTCTGACACAGACCAAGTGGTGCTGACCCTGGGAGCCTGAATTAATAGATTTCTTGAGAGCTGAGATTCTCTGGTTCAGGAAAGAAAAAGGGGGTACCAAATGACTGGGCAGCCGAGCCACCCTCAGGGCTGCAATATTCCAGTTGGGACCAACTTACCTAGTACTTTTGGCATTCAGAACAGTTCACTACCAAAAAGGCACATTTTATTTTAGTGAAAATGGGACAATCATGGGCCATAAAGAACCTTCCTAACTATTGTTCCTCCGGTTCACCTCCTATACCCCCCAGGGCTTTCTTGTTCAAAGACAGACTTGACCATGTCCATGCCTGCTTCAGTAAGTTCAGTGGCTCCAAACTCTCTGAGTTCCCAACCCAAATCCAGGCACCTTGCAGGCTTTCTCTTTCAACACCCCCATTGCTTCTTGATGTTGTGCATCTCTAATTTTGTCCTTTTTCTCACACATGCCAAACTCTTACCCATTGGACCCTATAACCGTTCTATTTCTTTTCCTTTTTCCTCCCTATTCTCCTGGGAAAAAACCACTCCTGAACCTGCCATCCAGAATTAGTTCATCTACATTGTATACAAATCTCTCAAAGCATCACACACACGATATTATAGTCATTTGTCTATCTTTTTGATTGCCAGGAGAGGCACGTGCCATTGAGATGCAGCCGTCTTAATACTGGTAACCTCTTGAC